>NC_000005.10:168791627-169094657 GCF_000001405.40 Homo sapiens | reverse complement strand
GAGTGGATAAGGGCTGTAATTTTTTTTTGAGACTGAGTCTTGCTCTGTTGCCCCTGCTGGAGTGCAGTGATGCAATCTGGGCTCACTGCAACCTCCATCTCCTGGGCTCAAGCTATTCTCCTGCCTCAGCCTCCCAACTAGTTAGGACTACAGGTGTGCACCACCATGCCTGGCTAATTTTTTGTATTTTTAGTAGAGACGGGGTTTCACTCTGTTGGCCAGGCTGGTCTCAAACTCCTGACCTCAGGTGATCCACCCGCCTTGGCCTCCCAAAGTGCTGGGATTACAGGCGTGAGCCAACACACCTGGCCTGGGCTATAGCTTCGAAAAACAATTTGGGTTGGAATTCTGGCTCAAAGTCATTATTAGCACCGTGACCTTGGACAAGTCGTTTAACTTCATGAGCCTCTGTTTCCTCATCTGTAAAACAGGAATAGTAATGACCTCATTGGGATCTTACAAATATTAAGTTAAATTAACAAAAAGAATACAGGGTGCAGATTTACTGGACTCAAATCCTGGCTCCAACATTTATTAGCTGTGTGATCTTGGACCAATTTCTTTATATTTCTATTTTCAGTTCCATCATCTATAAATGGGATTAACATTCATTCCTACTTCATAGTGTTGTTAGGACCATGATGTGAGTTCACAGATAGGAAATGCTTAGAACGGTACCAGGAACATAGTATACTCTTAACAAACATTAGGTAAGGAGAAAGGTATTACTTCTATTTAGATATTACTTCTATTCTTAGTACTTTTTAAGAAATAATTTTTACTTGAAATAAAAATTCATAAGGCCTCTTCAAGGCCATGCTTATAAGATCACACTTGATCATTTGTATTGCAATTGTGATCAACTGATCACACTTGATCAATTGTGTATTATTTTAGAGAGTGAGGAATGAATGGAGCATCAGCTTATAATCCATAGCCTGACTTATATCTGGCACAACTAATGGGGGATGCAAATAAATTCTAACAATAATATATTACTTCTTATAAAAACAAAGACTAAAACCCATGAGCTACTCTATTGTAAAACTCTGCTTCCCATAAGTTGGGGCAGGAAGGGTTGTAAGGATCTGCAGAGAAATCTGAGAACATTTTCAGGAATGATCAACTCGACCCTCAGCACAAGCCAGACCTGGGCCAATCAGCTTCTGTCTCCCACCCCCACCCCCAAGCCCCTGCCCCAGGACCTCATTGGGTTCTTTTGAATATTAAGTTAAATTGATAGAAAGAATACAGGGTGTAGATTTACTGGACTCAAATCCTGGCTCCAGTTTGCCCAGTTATAATCAGTTCCAGAATTTTGCTGGACCTTTTGGGAGAAGAGGGTTTTCTTTAACCTACAATAATCACTAAACTGGTAGGGTACAATCCTGGAGAAGCCGGAAACCAGGTGATGACTAGAACCCACCTAAGAATGAAACCAGTAAAGAAGAAGCAAGAGAGGTGAATTCTTGATAATACTTACCTCACCAGATCTGGCTGTACCTGGGTCCTGTTAACCCTCATAATTTACAGTTATAAATAAATTCCTATTGTTCTTAAACCAGTTTCTGTCACTTGCCCTTAAAGAGGCCTAACAAATATATCCAACTTATTGTTTTGTGACAGAAATAAAAAATATTGAAAACCGTTTTCCAGAACTCCGCCCTGGATAAAACACAGCAAGCTCTCTGCACTTCCTCCATCCACTTAGAAATAAGCCGCTACACACTCTGTATCAGGTCAGCATAATAGTTCTATGCCCACGCTAGCTGATGTAGATGGCAAATTGATGTACAAAAAATGAATCAGGAAGGTGTCAGAATTGCCGGAGATCTGAAGAATTGGGCTCAGGACAGGGATGAGAAGAAAGGAAGTGGGTACACCAAGACCACAAAGGGACAGGATGGAGAGAAGGGCACTGCCACCACTGGTGCTGGCCCTGGATGTGGACACCTCACTCTGGTACTTCTGCCCCAGAAATGGACTGTGCTGCCTGCCATCTCTGCAAGAATTATGCGTGCTGACAGACACTGCTTTTTCATCAAAAGCTCCAGATTCAAAAGTCTCAGGCTAGTGTGTCTCATTGGCTGAGCCTAGGTCACACGCCTGACTACGGAGGCAACAGGGAAACTGAGGACCTGACCATTTTGGCTTCTGGAGTGGAGGGTAGACTACAACTCCCACTGAGACTTCGGTAGCAAGAAATAAAAATGGAATGGGATGGAATACAATGGAATGGAATAGAACAGAACAGAATAGAATTGGTACATCTCCGCTATGGTCCATATGTCCTTTCCCAGAAACACTGCCACTCCTCATGGCCATTTACTCACCATCCTTGGTCCCTAGCAATGGCCACAGCTCCTCTCCTTCACTCTGTGGGTCAATATGAATCTGATTTGACCAACCCTGCCTACCTCTGAGTCTTTTTTTTGAAACAGAGTTTCACTCTTGTCACCCAGACTGGAGTGCAATGGCACGATCTCGGCTCACTGCAACCTCCACCTCTCGGGTTTAAACGATTCTCCTGCCTCAGCCTCCGAAGTAGGTGGGATTATAGCTGCCTGCCACCACGCCTGGCTAATTTGTGTATTTTTTAGTAGAGATGGGGTGTCACCATGTTGGCCAGGCTGGTCTCGAACTTCCAACCTCAGGTGATCCGCCTGCCTCGGCCTCCCAAAGTGCTGGGATTACAGGCACGAGCCACCGCACCCACTCTGAGTCATTTTTTCTGGGCCTCTCAGTGATTTCTGGTACATGTTACCATCCCAGGCTGTCAACCTTGGGCAATGTGATTTCCAGAAGGACCTTGGCCCAGCCCATGCCATCTGTGAGCAGACTAAATATGTTCAGAGCACTGGGTGATAACTGATTATCAGGCCGGTCCAGCTTCGCCACGAGGCTTTGCACACGTCTGCTTGCACTGTGGGGAGGAGAGCCAGGCAAGGAGCAGCCAGAGGAAACCACGAGCCCCATCAAGCCTGCCCTCCTTGTCATTTCCCTATGGTCTCCCTTGAAACTAATCTCATTCCTCTTGACGACTGCACAGTGAGGCTGCTTGCTTCAGTGATTGTCAAGGTAGCTTATCCTTTCGTTAATTAACTACTCAGAAAAATGCTGTACAACAGTGTGCTGTTTAGCTTCCAGCTTGTTAACATGGGGGACTCCAGAGGAACTTTGACCTGGCCCATGGCCATGAGTTGCATGAGTCAAGAGAAAAGCAGGATGGAAGAGGTGTCTTTTTCTCCATGGCTCCCCCTTATTGTCAGGAATTACAGGTTGAATGGGTGGGAAGAATGGGACCAACCATGCCGTTGGAAACACTGCATTTTCTGCCACCTAAAGCAAGAATGCATCCCTTACAGGGTCTTGGGAGGTAAGGGCTGGCTTATAGGGTAGGAAGATATGCCGTGTAGAGTCTGCCTAGATGACTAGAAATATTAGAATGTGTTAACTTCTTCATTTGGGCAATATGAAGAAATAAGAGATCAAAGTTAAGATGTGACTTAAAACCTAAAGTCAAGTTAATATTTATTTGTCATCCATTATATACCCGTCACAATGTTGAGAACTAGGGCGCTCTCTCTCCAAGATCTAATTCTGCCCTCAAGGAGGTCAGCCTGGTAGGACAGATAAGACAATGCAATAAGCTGCTTCAGCATGAAAGGACAATGGGCACGGGACAGAAGCCAGGGATGCTGTTTTGGGAATACGATGGAGGAGCACAATACACAGACTTGTAGCTTAAGATAACAGTCACGTATTCTTTCGCAGTTCTGGAGGCCAGACTTCTGAAATCAAGATGTGAACAGGGCTGTCTTTCCTCTGGAGGCTCTAGCAGAGAATTTGTTCCCCGTCTCCTCCAGCTTCTAGCAGCTGCCAGCATTCCTTGGCTTGTGGTGGCATCACCTCCATCCGGCCTCTGTCTTGTCTTCACATTGCCTTTTCTTCTGTGTGTCTGTCTATGAAGCCCATCCAGAAAACCCAGCTTCAGTCTCTCTTTTCAAGATCCTTAACACGTCTTAGTCACATCTTTTGTCATATAAGGTAATATTCAGAGGGTTGAGGGATTAAGAAGTGAACATTTTTGGGAGGCCATCATTCAGCCTACGAAGGCCCCTATTCCAGCCTGAGGTGGGGTGGGAAAGGCTTCCTGGAGGACAAGGCCTGCCGATCCTGGCCCTGTTTGCCTCAAACCCATTCTTCTTCCTTCACCTGCTCTGCTCTGTGACTCCGTGGGGTTGTTGATCTCTGCAGGCTGCAGTTCCCAGGCTTGCATGTCAGCTGGCTTCCATCTGGGCCCTGACAAGGAGAGTCATTCATGAGAGACTGGTGGTGGAGGCACTGGGAGGGAGAAGCAGAGTATCATTATTATTACTATTATTTCTCCTCCTTCTCTGCTCTCTTTTCCTCCCTCCTCCCCTTCACCCTCTTCTTTGGTTTGACAGCCTCTCTGGAAATGGCTGTGTCACCTTGGTATTTTCATCTCCTGCCAGACAGGCCCCTGGGCTCTGTAACATCACCCGTTCCCTTTATCCCTCTAGCGTACAGGTGGGAACAGCTCCCTGCTGTTGCTTATCTATGGGATGTCTCAGCATTCTGGGTTGGGCTCTCAGTTCTCTTGTCACCTGCATACACAATTCACCTGCATTAAATTCTTTCTGTAGGAAATACCTGAAGTGGTTTTGATTCTCTTGGTAGGACTCTGAATGATACCAAGTCCAAGCTGAGATTCAAGGATGTAGCCTAGGGTAGGAAGGATCATCGTGCCATGAGTTATAGTGGTCAGCCACACACACAGCCCCTACCTCTGGAACCCTAGGCCAAGTGGAAAATACACTAAGCAACTTATCACTCAAGTTAATCTATGGTTACAAACACTGGCAAGTGTGTGAAGGGGAAATGCAATAGTTGTAGAGAAGTACAGTGATGGGACTTCCAGTCCAGGATGGAGGGTCCTTAGGGCTCCCTGAGGAGGAGAAGTTTGCTGAGATCTGACAGGTACAGAGCTCTCCAGGGTCTGAAAGGTCAGTGTGACTGGTGAACCCACAGCCAGAGTGAAGGATTCACCACTAGGGGCACAGAGTGTAGGCAGAGAGTGCACGGGATTTGGGTTTGGGAAAAGGAGTCAAATGGTATTGTTTGCTTGGAGCAGAAGGGAATGTATTCTAGGCTAATAGCTACCTAAGACAGGCCTTAGCTTGTCCACAGGAGAACAGGGACAGACAGCACCCCTGCTAACCCTGCCTTGGAGTTTGAGCAGCCGGTTTTCTTTTCAAGAAATGAAGTAGCACGTGGTGAAGTAGAAGCCATGCAAGAGAACCTCAGGCTTTAGACACTCTCAGGAAGAGGTTTCTAGAAGTTTCCAGCACAAAGAGACCTGTCACTCTCCACCTCCCAAAGAGGTCCTTACACACAGTGGTGGATGACAAGCATGAAGGATGAAGCAGGTTCTGCCTCTGGTTGGGAAGGGGTCCTACATTTCTTTATTAGCACTTGTGTGCAGATAGCGGTACAGGGCTGCTGCATCAGAATCCTAGGCACATCGGTATGAAACACAGATTCCCTGGCCCTACCACTGGAGAATCAGAGTCAGCACTTCTTTTTTTTTTTTTTTTTTTTTTTTTTTTTTTTTTTTGAGATGGAGTCTTGCTCTGTCTCCCAGGCTGGAGTTCAGTGGCATGATCTTGGCTCACTGCAACCTCTGCCTCCCAGGTACGAGCGATTCTCCTGCCTCAGCCTCCCAGGCAAATGGGACTACAGGCATGCGCCACCATGCCTGGCTCATTTTTGTATTTCTAGTAGAGACAGGGTTTTGCCATGTTGGCCAGGCTGGTCTTGAACTCCTGGCCTCAGGTGATCTGCCCACCTCAGCCTTCCAGAGTGCTGGGATTACAGGCATGAGCCACCGTGCCCAGCCACAGTCAGCTCTTCTCAAGAAGGGCCTGGAATCGGTATTCCTCAAAGCTCCTTGGAGATTTGGATACCCAGCCAGGTGCAGCAGCCAGTGCTCAATCTGATTCTCGGAAAGACCCTTGCCCCAGCTCATGGTTTTGGTGTAATTATCAGTCTCTCCATACTGCATTCCTCTGACCAGTCTTGCTCACTCCTGGACTAGTTGTAAATCCCTGGCTCAGAAATGCCGTTGCTATGGAAAGGGTTTTATGCTGTGATTCTCTTTGGGTTTGCTATTCTTATGCCAATTGTTTTTGTTGTCATTGTTATTGTCGCTGTTGTTGTGGCAAAAAAAAAAAAAAAAATCGAAGAAAAAGAACTTTGACAGGGGAGTAGGAGGCAGTACGGATCTCAGCATTTTGCAAACTCCTGGATGATGGACCCTTTGTAATACGTGCTGTGTCTTCTGAAACACCGTGAACCACCTGGCTAAGATGAGACCAACTTAGGAGGGAGGACAGGCTTATTTATGAACACAAGCCATACGGCCAGCCGACACACTGCAGGAGATAGAGTTGCTCAGTCCCTTCCTTCTTGAAAGCAACTGTCCTTTGTTTCCTACTTTAGAGAATCTGGAGAGTAATTGGCCAAGAAAACAGCGGTAGGGAATGGCTACCATGCAGAGAATTGTAAGATGTTGGCAGCTAGGGGCACCTCTGCCCTCCTGCCTATTTCTCGAAGTAAGGAAAGTCCTGGCCTATAGGTGGCCCAGAGAAAAAGGGTGGTAGGAGGATAAAGAGAACGGAGGAAAGTAGGGGGATGCCAAGTTAGAACTCAATATGTTGGTCTACAGAGCAATTTGTTTTCCTTTCACTAACACTTATTTTTGATTATCAAAGGCATACATTCCTCCCTGTGAAAATTATAAAAAATACAGAAAGTATAAAGAAAGGAAAAAATCACTTAGGATGTCATCAGTCACTACTGGCATTTTGGCCTATTTCCTTTTAATTTTTGATATGCAATGTTTTTTCTTTATTGGTTGTAACTGTACTACAAAAACCTTTGCTGGTTTTCTGGGTTTTCATTTAACAAAAAACATACTGAGATCATTGTGCCATATTATTAAAAGCTTTTTGAGAATATTTAGATGATCATATAATATTCCACTGGGTGGCTGCAGCATGCCTTAGCTAACTATTCCCCTCATGTTAGGCACATAGGTTGTTCCTAATTGTACACTGAAATAAAAGCTCCCCAAATGTGCAGAGGCCAGGGGTGCATTCTTAGTCCTGACCTCACTTTTCTCTTGAAGCAACAGGAGAAAGCACTGCCTCACATCCCTACAAAGTGAGCCCAGCTCCAGAAATCAACAGCAGACAATAGAGATTTGCCTACAAATGCCCTGGGCCTACCTGGGAGATGGCAGCATTACCAACCTCACAGCAAAATATAGTTGAAAATCTCCACTAGACACTTCTGTCCTCTACCCCTCTCACCACCTTCTGGACTCTGTTTTCTCCTCCCCTGCCACAGCCACCCCCTGCAGGATGCCTCCCTAGCAGTTAGTGCTTTGCAGAATATCCGGGGGAAGAAGCTAAGTTGTTTTGTTGTTTTGTTTTGCTTTGCTTTGTTGTGAAACACAAAATAGCATGCCGGGAGGGTGCAAGATGTCAAGCTGCTAAATATTTACTCAGTTGCTGTATTGCTGACTCTTATTGCTGGCTAGTAAGTAGTTGCAAGATAGACTCTAGTTTTTGGACGGCACTTTGCATAGCACTAATCTTCAGCCCTTTCCTTTTATGCTCAGCAGTTTCTCACTTCTTAGCTTCTCCAAACTTGCATTCTCACACCATCATCCTGCCCAACAAAGACTTCTCCTTTGGATGTCCCCCTGTTAGAAGGCAGTCAAGGCCAAGTTAATTATACCAGTAGTGCTGAAATGAACATTTGGGCCTAAACCTTTGTCCACATTTCTGCTTAGGATAGATTTCCCGGAGATGAATTAAGGGTCAAAGGTCAAGGGCATTCTTAAGACTCTTGACCCACGTTACCAAACTGCTTTCAGAAAGTTTGCACAAATTTTCATAATCACCAGCAGGAGTTAAGAGGTCCAGCTTGACTGAATCCATGCTAATACTGACATCAGTTTGATTTTCAAAATTTCATCTTTGCTGTAGTGAAGTCAAGGAAAAAAATACTATCTCTGAATGGTTCTAATGTGCATTTCTTTTATTTTTAGTCAAGCCGTATATAGTTCATGTGTACTTTTTACAAATGAATTTTCAGGCCGAACTGTTCAACCACCAATTAGAAACAGATAAAGGAATCTCATTGGTGTTATATTTCCAGAACACATGCATTAACTAGTTAGATACCTGTGGGCTGGGAGTCTGGCCAACACTTGTCAAAAGCTTTAAAGAGAAATCATTCTGAGATCCAAACAATGGATTCACCAACACACTTTCAGAACTTACAATAGTGGTTGCCAGTTCCTGGGTTCTGATCCTTGCTGCTTGCCATCTTGCAAGTCATTTATATTTTGTTCATATGTAAAATGGGGTGGTTAGCCTATGTAACCCTCTACGCTCTTAAAAAACAAAAAGAGGTATTTGTGCCCCTTGGCCTTGACTGTTCTCACAGGGGCCACGAGAGCTTCTGAAGGACACGTTGGGGCTGTGAGGAAAGGCCGTTGGCTTTAGGGGAGGGTTGCCATTTCTGCTGAGGAGGCTAGCTGTAGGGAAAATGAGGGCCTCTGAAAAGTGATTTGGGGAGCCCTCATGGAGTAAAGGGTGCTGCTGACTCTTGCCGCTGCAGGCTGGTGCTCTGTGGCTGAGTCAGATGGAGGTCAAAGACACCAACGTTGGACCAGCTTTGAAAGGTGGCAAGATGGGGCTGCCTAGCAACACCCATGTCATTTCTGCCTGTGGTTTGCACGAGATCCACCCAGCTGTGAATATCACAGAAGGAATTTTCACGAACTCATGGACCTTTCATTACTCCAGAAATGAGAGCGATGACAGAGCGTAGGCATTGCATGTCTCTGGCTGGTCCCTTTAAGACGACGATTTGTCTTGCTGAGCTGGGGCAGGCTGTGTTGGGTTTGGGTATTGACACCAAACAGTTCTGATTCACAGCGGTAACCTCCTTCTTATTTCCATTTCATTAATTTTCATCAAGGCTTAAACAGCCATGCATGTGGCCTGGATTTGGGGAATTGGGGTGGATCTGGACAATTAAAAGTCCCTTAAGTTTTGCAGTTTATCTCTGAGTAGAGCAAGACCAAAGAAAAAACCCCTCCCACGCCCCTTTGCTGCTGTGTTAGTTGAAGCGATTTCAGTGGGATTAATTGACTGCTGGAATGATTTGCATTTTATTGCCCAGGTCTGCTCACTGGGTCAGAAGATGTCATAAAAGCAGAAACCCCAGGTTGCTGACAGCCTCAGAGACAACAGGCTGCTCCACAAAGAAATTGGACCAGCCGTTCTCATTCTTTATAACTCAGCAGTGTAATAAGCCACATGTGTTTCCAGCCGACCTGCTCTGGCTCTGAGAGTCAGATTTTGTGTTTTTCCAGGAGCCCAGGAAGCAAGTAAACCCCAGTAGAAGTTGGAGGGCTGAATTTAAGAAAGAAAGAAACCTGGAGTCTATAGAGAATTGGATGTGGTTGGTAACCCAGTAGGAATTTTCTCCAAGGTGTGGGTAGAAATCTCCTCCACGTGTTGCTGCTGTTAAACTTGTAAAACGTTTATAGCTGTAGGTTGTTGTTGTTGATAGCAGGGATTAGACACTCCTGCTGGGAGACACGGGTAACATGAATGGGTGAGGTTGGTCAGGTGGTGAGTGGAGGGAACTGGGCTCCCCTGGCCCATGGGAGCCTTTGTGTGGATTAGGAAAAGGGGCCCCTTCCTCCCAGTGGAAGCCAACTTGGCCCAGCTTTGATTTGCGCCCCTCTGGGCCCCCTCAGCAGGTACAACCTATCCAACAGCATGCAATGGCCCTGGCCCCTGAAAGAGGGGAACTCTGCTCTGCTCAGGACCAAGTTTGTCACCCAGGGGTATGGACCCAGTGTTGCTGCAGCTTCTGGTTTTTGGTTTTGTTTTTCAAAAGAAACTGAACATTTGATTTCATGTGTGTAAAATATCCCAATTTTGAGGCTGGGCACGGTGGCACACGCCTGTAATCCCAGCACTTTGGGAGGCCGAGGCAGATGGATCACCTGAGGTCAGGAGTTTCCAACCAGCCTAACATGGTGAAACCCCGTCTCTACTAAATACCAGAAACAAAAAAAAAAAAAAAAAAAAAAAATCTGGGCATGGTGGCGCATGCCTGTAATCCAAGCTACTTGGGAGGTTGAGACAGGAGAATCACTTGTACCTGGGAGTCAGAGGTTGCAGTGAGCTGAGATCACGATCGCGCCATTGCATCCCAGACTGGGCAACAAGAGCGAAACTGTCTCAAAAAAAAAAAAAAGAAAAGAAAAAGAAACATCCCTATTTCCCTATTTTGGAATGTAAGCCATGGCTTCAATCTTTTTTTTCTCTTAAATACTGTTGGAGTCAACCAACAGAGGTGTGTGTGAGGGAGCCTAGGCTAGAAGGCTGCAGACTCTGGTACTGTATTGTCTAGGAGTCTCTAATATCCCGCTCTCGGCCAAACTGAAACAAGAGTTGAGGATTCCAGAAATCTTTTGATTCTTACACTCAAACAAGCACACTTTTGGAAAAGAACAAATGCTAAGCATGATCCTGGTCACTGGTAAGGTGGAGACTGCCCTCCAAGCGAAGGGAGTAACAGGCAGAGAAAGTGAGGTACAGGGCTTGTGAGAGAGCAGGTTTACTAAGAAAGGCAAGCAGAGCTAACCACGAGGGACAATTTGCTCCAGGTGGGTATTCTAAGTAGGCCCTAGTGAGCGCTTCCTCTTTAATTGCCAGACAAACAGGAAGAGTTCCAGGTCACCCCCTGGGGTGCTGAGAATTGGGAAGAGGAAGGAGCAATCCTAGAGGGTGCTGGCATGCCAGCTCCTTGGTGGACAGCTGTGAGCCGTGCTGTGTGCTGCCCAGAGGCCTGTGATGGCTGACTGCAGCCCTGACCGTGTTTGGTCTTCCCCGCTGAGCCCAGATTGAGTGCATATAGATGGCTAATTAAACTCTGAACTGACAAACACACATGCTGGAGAGGCTCCCCTTTGAAGAGCAGGAGATCACAGGGACAATTTCCTGTTTGCCAATGTGCAACCTCAATCTCATCAGTTTGGGACTGTAAGTTTAAGGCGTGCTGATAGCCCTCAACACCATTCACCTGTTGCAAGAAGTGCTAAGCCTGGATTGGTGTTGATCTCTTCTGCCCCCACCCCCTAACGCCCCATTTCACTTTCAGGTGTGTGTGCTTTGAAGTGGGAGGAGAGATGTTAGACCAGTAAAGCTTTAAGGTCTCAGTTAACCTAGAGTCTTTTTGTATGACTCTCTTGAGGGAATAAGTAGATATCCTTCTGCCCATGTGTGTATATTCGCACATGTATCCAGATTTCCAAATGTATTTGACAGGTAAATGCAAATACCTGTCAGTGCAAATACAAATAGAGTCAACAATGAAATTAGTTTGGTTTGAGACCTTTGTGTGATCCATTCCGCTTCTGAGTGACCAGTTAGTTCCGAAACTGTGTTGAGTAATGATGTTTCTTCTCACCAGCAACTAAGACCAAATTCTTATTTTGAATAACATATGTTACATATGGTAGAGATTTAATAAAGATCAGTGTTTCAGATTCTGTGATCACTTTATTTGCTTTGGAGCTCTAAGAAAGATGCATAAGTTCAAATTGTGGATTTGCCCTGTATTGAACTGCTGAGAAGACATTTGTCAATGTGTGAGTGGTGTTATTGAGGCAGAGAAGGAGCAGAGATAAATTTAGCCGAAAGGGGTATGAAGTTGCATACAGTTGCTGATGTAAGGTACCAATCATGTAAGGTCGAAAGATAAACAATGGCTCTTACAAAAGAGAAGTATTAAACAACATCACATCTTCATCTACTATTTTTCTACTCTTCATGGTTGCCAGGATGTGCTGAACCAATTAAATGGCAAGTTGTGATAACTCTTAATCTTTTGGTTCTGATGCGGTCATTCCTACAATTCTACCACAGGATTCAGGTAGGTAGGTAGAGAAAGAGAGAGACACACACACACATAGAGACAGGTACTTTTCAAAATCCAGGCATTGGGGTGGGAAGAATAGGAATCAGAGAGTAAATAGACAAACATCCAACCCTTGAGGAGTTTACAATTTAGTTGGTGGAGGTGGCTTTGTGTGTTATTTTTTAAAGAAGCTATCTCATTACTCTTCTGAAAGTAAGTAAGGCATATTTTAAAAAATTACTCCAACATAATCGTAACTGGGCCTTTGGCCAGCAACTTAAACAGGAAACTCTGTAGGTTAAAAAACACAATCAAAGCATAATATATGAGCCGTGTGTCTTCAATGTCTGTGAGTTGCATTGGTGGGAAAATAGAAAAAGTTGAAGGCTTTAGACTTGGCATAGAAAGCAGGGGTTTGTTTGGCGTGGCTTCCACATGGCTTCTACTCGAGGATTGTATTGCTGGCATGTCTACGGCCTGTGGAGTCCCTGCTAAGGACACTTACTGCATGTCCCTACACCTCTCCGAGTTGTTTTCCTTATCTGCAGAATGTGCTAATAATAAGGATCTCAGAATTGTTTGTGTTAAATGGGATAACGAATAGGCACAATGTCGCTAAATGTTATGCTGTGGGGGGGTCTGGAGTCAGGCTGACCTGGTTTCAAATGCTGGCTCAGCAACAACCCAGCTGTGTGGGCCCGGGCAAATCACTTAGCCCCTCTGTGCTTTGGTCTTCTCAAATGAAGAACTGGGCTGCTAATACCGTCTCAGTGTTGCTGTGAAGAGTAAGTGAGACGGTGTATGTAAGAGCAAAGCACAGGGTCTGGCCTGGGATAAATTTTTTAAATACATTCGGGGGTTATTCCCTGCTTTGAATATAATTTGCTCTGTCCAACCTCCTACTGCCATTGTGAATTGCTGCCGGGACTCATGCCTTCCTCTAGCTGTCTGCTTAAGAGGACCATGTGCTGCTCAATGGAAGATCTTCTGGAGGCTTCTGGGACCTTCTCAGAGCAAGCCCTGCAGCCTAGCATCCCCTTCTCCTCGGGGGCCCTGAGGGAAGAAGACTCTAAAACATCCGGTTGCTCCAAAACATGCCATAAAAACCCCAGGAGGAAAGGGCCCCATTAGCACCTGCACATTTGGGGACCCTTGTCAGCAAAATGGCCAGGAGTTTCCTGCTGAAACCCCAGGGCATGGCAGGTTTACGGAGACCCTTCATTAAGATGAATTATGAACCTGTGGGTCTCTCTGGTTCCATTTGGCCCAGGCTGGGAGGCAGAGGCCCAGCTGCCCCGCTGGCTGCACTGCATGAAACCTCCTTCCTCTCCTCTTCCCAGGCTCCTTCCCACCCTGCTGTGTACCCCCTACCCTTGTTTAATGAAAGAGAAAAGCACTGCACCCCTCCAGGGGGCCCCAGAGCGGGAGGCAGAGTTCAACCTGAGAAAATTGTTTTCTTGTAAGTGGCAGGCACCTGGTGGGCCAGGCCTGACCCAGGCCTTTCGTGATTGTGCAGAGTTGGCTCCTGTCCTTCCCTGTTCCCCCAGGCCATAAACAAGTCCTGGAGCTGGAGCGGGGAGCCCTGGGGAAGGGGGGCGGGGGCAGCCACAGTGCTCTCTGTGCATTTGTTCCTATCTCATGTGACAGCTCAGGGGTTATCCTGTTGGCTTCTCCAGGGTACCTGGTTTTTTACATTTTTTTTTCTTTTTTCTTTAAAACCATGAAATATGATCAATGGTTGTTCAGAGAAGCCAAGCACAAATGCTCTCCAGAGCAGTGGTTCTTAGGGTCAACATGCTTTTAAATTGCCTGGGTATCCAGGCATAGCAGGAAAAGCACTACAGTGCAGAAAGGCAGCCAGCTGAGGACGTAACTGCAGCATGCAGGATAGAAGTTAAACAGTCAGTCAGGTCAGCCCCGGCCACAGAGTTGGCTGTATGGTAGAGTGGCTGATGGTTTGGGGAAGAGGCCAGGTTTGCAAAAAAAACAGCTTCCTCAGAGGTGTTAAGGAGGAGACCCATATTTACTAGGCATCTACCACGTGCTTTATAGCTCTCACCTCGGAGGCCCTAGAACACAGCTGGTGCCGGCAGGCTCTGGAACCAGACTCCCTGGGATCAAATCCCCTGCTCACAGGATGTGGGCAAGTCAAATCATGTCTCCCAGCCGCAGACTCCTTGCCTTGGCCGTGGAGGAGATCATAGTACCCACCTCCCCAGATTACCTTACTGTGGGTTAAATGAGATCTATGCAAAAGTCCCTAGCACAGTGCTTGGCACATAAAGGCTCAATACCTGCTAAATGCTATTATTTTTATTATCACCGACAAACACGCTCTCCTTAGCCAAACTTGAGTCAGGCTCCTCTGAGGCCTCTTTTTGACTAGGCCCTGACTTTGGGCCCTGACTTTGGCCTAGTTAGTCCAGTTTTAGCAAGAAGCCTGTTGAGTGGGTCTGGCTAGTATCCCCCTAGCCTTGATGTTTCCTCCTAGTAATTTTCCTTCCACCAGACTCCTACCTGCTCCTTAGCTATACATGTCCACTTGTCCTTATATTGGAGTTGAGCCCATCTCTCTCCCCTATGCAAACCCCCGTTGCAGTAGCCCCCCTTAAATAAAGTCTTTCTTACCAATTTTAACAAGTGTCGTGCATAATCTCCTCCTCTTCTTCCTTCTCCCTCTTCTCTCTCTTCCCTTTGCCATTCCTCTTCCTCCTCTTCTTCTTCACTCTTCCCTTTGCTCTTCCTCCTCCTCCACCTTTCCTCCTCCCTCCCTCCTCCTCCTCCCTCCCTCCTCCTCCTCCCTCCTCCTCTTCCCCTTCCCTCTTCCTCCCTCCTCCTCCTCTTCCCCTTCCCTCTTCTTCCCTCTTCCTCCTCTTCTCTCCTCCTCTTCCCTCCTCCTCCTCCTCTTCCCTCCTCCTCCTCTTCCCTCCTCCTCCTCTTCCCTCCTCCTCCTCTTCCCTCCTCCTCCTCTTCCCTCCTCCTCCTCTTCCCTCCTCCTCTTCTCTCCTCCTTCCTCCTCCTCCTCCCTCCTCCTCCTCCCCTTCTCTCCTCCTCCTTCCTCCTCCTCCTTCTTCCTCCTTCTTCCTCCTCCTCCTTCCTCCTCCCTCTCCTCCTTCCTCCTCCTCCCTCCCCCCCTCCTCCCCCACCCTTTCTCCATCTTCCACCTCAAAGTTTGGGATCCCATCCCTGACCCTGGTCTCTTAGCCTGGACAGTGGGAGTTTTCGTTTCAGCTGATGAACTTGACATTTTCTCTGCCTGGAGACCAAGGATGAGAAGGAGAACTTCTTTGTTTAGCTAGAACTATAAGATCTGAAAACAAAAGAGAGCTGAAAGCAGGCAGGTGTGGAACAACAGCCTCATCCCTTTGATTCTGTGGGTTACACACCACCTGGACAAACCCTGGCCTGAAAACTTGGGGCTCCTTAAAGCATTTTTTCTCCCAGATAGAAAAGGAAAGAATTCATCAGTGATTCATTGCCTTGAGATACGGCAGGATGAGTAGCCAAGGATCTGCTTTTCTGTCTCTGTCACTGTCTCTGTCTCGCCTTCTCTTCTTTCTTGTTTAGGGAGCTAAAGGCAGAGACTGAATTTTAGGAAGCAATTTTTTTTTCCAATCTCCTCCAGAATTCTGTGCCATGAGAAAGCTTAAAATCCAGTGTGATAAAGGATTTTGAGTTTGAACTATGGCATTTAAAAAACTAATTAATTCCTCCAAGTCTTAGTTTATTTCTTTTTGAAAACAAATAATAGGAATATTTCCTAGACTACAGCTCCTTGAGGACAGGAATTGGGTTTGTTTTCCTTATTTCACTTGGCGTGTCTGGTATGATATCTGCCACACCATCAGTGTTCAATAAATATTGGAATGAATACATATCACCTACCACACTGAGTAGCTGAAATTATGTATTGAGATATTGTGTGCAAAAGCTCCTAGCACAGTTATTTTCATTAGTGCTCATTTTTTCTGATTTTAGACATATTTCTTAGAAGGATGAAGATGAAGGGTAAAGAAAGGAAGGTGATAGGAGGGAGAAGCTGGAGAGTAACAAGGAAAACAAGGAAATGAGTGAAGTTGGTGAAGTAGGAAGGGTGCTGGGTTTGCGGGAGACTGGCCTTTTATTCCCCACCGGGTCTGTGATTTCTGCTTGGTCATTTGACTACTCTGAACCTCAGGTTCCTCTTCAGTAAGATGGGAATACAAATCTTCACTTTATCGGTGGTGGGTATCCAAGGAGAAATATATTTGTGAAGGCAGCCCCCAGAGTTCCTGACATGCCTTAGGTACAAAACGACATGAAACCTGAAGGTGGAGAGGAAACCAGAAACAGAGCGTAGAAAGGAGAATAGGAAGCCAGGGAATCTTTTGGCTGGTTTGCGTTGGACTTGGGCCTGGGGAGACATTGCATTTGGACATAAGCCCCTTATCGATGAACCCTGTATTTGTAACCTGATGTGTTGAAATTGAAGCAGTGGGTGGTTGAGGTCAGGAGTGGGTAGGCACAGCATGTGATCCCTGTGGGTGAAGCAAAATGAACACAAGGCCCCAGATCATGCCCCTAGAAAGTAAAGCAAGGTTTCCTAGGATTCTCCAATGCACAGACTCAAGCTGAATCTTGATCCTGTATGGGTTGGAGATTGTGGTTGTCAATGAACTTGGCAAGGCAGGCAACAAACTGGCTGTGTGTAGAGACACAGCCTTAAAAAAGGAAACTTAAAAAGTGTTGCTATTTTTTAAAATAATATTTTTTTACAATGACACTTTTTTTTTTTTTTTTTAGTAATTGAAGAAGTTGTGGACATTTATTCTGGAAATTTTGGAAAATGTAGAAAACACATATAAGCCCATCAAGTGATAACCCATCTCTCCGTGACATTTTGATATACATTGACCCTTGAACAACACAGGGGTTTGGGGTGGTGACCCCCCACACAGTCAAAAATCTCTGTTTAACTTTTGACTCCCCGAAAACTTAGCTACTAATAGCCTAATGTTGATCAGAAGCCTTACTGATAACATAAACAGTTAATGAACAGATATTTTATATGTATTACTGTTTTTTGTTTTTTGTTTTTTGTTTTTTTGAGACGGGGTCTCACTCTGTCACCCAGGCTGGAGTGCAGTGGTGTGATCTCGGCTCACTGCAACCTCCGCCCTCTGAGTTCAAGTGATTCTCCTGCCTCAGCTTCCCAAGTAGCTGGGATTACAGGCACCAGCCACTGCACCAGGCTAATTTTTTGTATTTTTTCAGTAGAGACGGGTTTTCACCATCTTGGCCAGGCTGGTCTTGAACTCCTGACCTTGTGATCCGCCCGCCTCAGCCTCCCAAAGTGCTGGGATTACAGGTGTGAGCCACCGCGCCCGGCCTACATACTGTATTCTTACAATAAACTAGAGAAAAGAAAATTATTAGGAAAAACACAAGGAAGAGAAAATATACTTACAATTCATTAAATGGAAATGGATCACCATAAAGGTCTTCATCCTTGTCCTCCTCACATGGAGTAGGCTAGAGAGGAGGAAGAAGAGGAGAGTTTGTTCTTGCTGTCTCAGGGGGACAGAAGCAGAAGAAAATCCACATACAAGTGATCCCAGGTAGTTCAAACCTGTGTTGTTCAAGGGTCAACTGTTTATCCCTCTAGGGTGTGTGTGTGTGTATGTGTGTGTGTGCGTGTGTGTATGAGAGAGAGGGATTTTTGTGTGTGTGAGAGTTGTATAAAATTGGGGCATATTTTTATTATATCCTAAGTACTTAGTTGTCCCAAGTCTCATCAACTGAGTAGCACTTGATTGACTGTCAAGTCCTGTACTCGATGAATTGAACTAGATTCTATTTCTGCTTAGCTCAAGTCTTTAAATTTAAAAAGAATATTCTTGGGAAAGGTTATATTCACCCACATCCTACAACCAGTTCTAGAGTTTTCAAGGACTAGAATTTCCAAAAACTGAGTTATAAAATGTTCCCTGTCTCTCTCAGGCTCTCAAGACAAATTTCTTCCACCCTCTCTCTCCTCTTAAAGTAAGTATGAGATCAGAAAAAAAAGAAATCCATTTTGACAATTTCTTTCCTGTTCTATAAAAAGAAGTTTTAGCAAGCTAGAGAGAGAGAGGTAGGGAGAAGGGGGAAAGGAGAGAGAAATGAGGGTAGAGACAAGGCAAAGATAGTGGAAGAAAGGAGGCAGGGAGATGGAGAGGGAAGCTCTAGTGCTGCTTTTCTTGCTGTGAAACTTGGGGAAGTCACTCATTTTACTAATATTTACTGAATGCCCATTACATAGCAGCCCTGGGTTATAATCACAGCCTCCTGAACAATCTCTAGTGCTAATATATGGTCTCTCTGATCTCTTTTAAGTCTGAAAAGGCCCTCAATTCCTTGGCTTTTGAATAGCACTCTTTATGAACTACTGGGGAAAAGTCAATGCATCTTCCTTCCTGTGATCCCCCAGCAACTCACTTTGGCCAGTGCCAGACCAAGGACAGGAGTCACCACCAGGCCCATCTTCTCCAGAATGAAACCCCCCTGAGGGTCCTGCCCTTGGTGGGCCACCTTCACTCTCATACAGAGAACAGAGGGGCTCAGCTTGTTAAGGAAACTTCCCTTAACACCTCTCACCACATTGCAGATTCTCAAAGAGACTGGGAATTGAGCTTATCACCCCTCCCCAAGATGTAGATTCTGTCCCCCAACTCTTCTGGCAGGTATTGGCTTTATTTAAGCCTGCAGAGACAAACTAGGTTGGTAGGTAAGTAGATAGACAGACAGACAAACTATGTAGATAGATAGACAGAAGGTCTGCCTTTACTAGCATGGCTGGAGAAAGTACTAGATGAAATCCGAAAGAGAAGCACAGAAGAGCCAGATCATGTAGGATTTTGCATGAAAGGCAATGGGAATTCTCTGAAGAGTGTGCTGTGGTTCATCATTTTCTTTTCTCCATTGTTCTATCTGCATATAAGAAGCCAAGTCTCTCTTTTGCTTCCACCTAGAATGTTGCTGGGCTTGAACCAGGCTCAGGCAACCCATCACAAATTTCCTTGAAGAAAGCTCTTATACAGCCCACTCCAGCATAGCTAAAATTTAGGTAAACACTTTCCTCACTCTGAGTTTTAGAAGCAAGTGTTTCTTAACAAAATGCCTTCAACTTCACGATATTTTCGAATACAGCTTTTATTCCAGGATTTAGAGACACAGACACCACAGCACCAAAACACACCAGCAGAGAAAGCTCCAGGTCCTCACTCAGTCCTGATGCAGACACTTTATTTCCCTACGTATGTACTTTATTGTTGTTGCTTCAGGAAAAATACATGCAAAAATCCTGGCATCAACAGATCCCCTCTTTCCTCCCCTTCTTACCCTAGTCACGATTACTTAGACTTTCTTGTAGAATAAGAAAAGATGACTAAAATGTCAAACCCCACCATCATCCCAAAATGTCTGGTCCAAAATTAGAACAAGGAGAAGACAATCAATCACTCCCAGGTTACGAATCATGACCCAGCCATAAGCAGAGTCTCTCGGTGATGTATTATGTTTATATCTGACTCTCCTTCTTGACAGTTGGCCTTCTGTGATCAGTTTCCTGCATTGTAAAACTACTCCAGATGTGAGAACAGCTCAATAGCAGAGCTCTCAGCCTAATTAATTCAATCACAGGATGGTGATTAAGAGGTCAGCGGTGACATTTCCAGAGTGCACCTTCTGTCTTCCCAGCAGTTAGCTTGTCCTAAGGCTCCAAAGCCCTCAGGTGGCTCTGGAGCCACAGGAGCCCTTGGGGGCCTTGTCCCACCCTCAGGTCTTGCTTCAGCTGTTTGCAACAAGGCTGACCAAGAAACAAGGCCACGGCCACAGTTTGGTCCTGCTGGGAAGTGTAAATGTTTCCCCGTAAAAATGTTCACCCTAGATCCAAACACAAAGGAGCCAGAGTTATGAGTCCCTGGTATGCTGACTTTAATTTTGAAATCCATACTTAAGTCTGCATCTTAGGAGGCAGCAGAAGGAAAAGGTGAAACTTGAGACCTTCAGAAAGGTACTCACCTCTCCGAGCTTTTACTCCCTCAACTGTAAAATTGGGTTTCTGATGGTTACTTCATAGGATGTGTTTTAGGAATACATGAGTTATTAATTGAAAAACTTTTGGGACAGTGCATAGAAGGTAGAAACACTCCATAATGCTAGCTATCATCATCATTATTATTACTACTACTGTTATTATTAATGTCATTTATACCTGAGTTGTATCACTCAGGATACACACTCAAGCCACAGAATCTGACTTAGCTGATTTAAGCAGAAAAGGAATGCGTTAAAAATGATATTGGGTGACCTACAGAATTTCTCTGAGAGCTGGAAAATGAGACCTGGAGACCACCCAGCTAGCAACAATACCCAAAATACAGTGGAGACTTGCCCTGTGAGGGTAACACTGTTGCCCCTACCCAGCTCCAGAGATTATAGGGTACATGTTAGACATCATCCACCTGGGGCTCTGAAAACTACTGCTCCCTCCATCCACCACTGCCCCAGAACTTAATCTTGTTCAACCAGCTGCTGTCTCTAGAAAGGATTTTTCCAAATCCCCACTTCTTTGAGGAATTCACTCCTTATTCCCTTGCGGTACTATTCTGTCTGATTGATAAAATATCAATGGTGTGTCCCTCCCCTTACTGCAAGAGAGTCTGGGAAAGCACACATCTGTCTGTATTGTCCAGCTGCATTGCACTAAAGGAATTCCTGAGGTTAGGAAATAAAAGAGGTTTATTTTTGTGCACAGTTCTGCAGGCTGTACAGGAAGTGTGGTGCAAGCATCTGCTTTTGGTGAGGGCCTCAGGGAGTTTACAATCATTGCAGAAGGTGAAGGGGGAGCCTTCACATCACATGGCAAGAGAAGAAGCAAGGTTGTGGGGAGGTGCCAGGCTCTTTTAAACCGCCAGCTCTCAGGTAAACTCAGGGCAAGAACTCACCCATTACCATGGGAATAGCACCAAGACATTCATGAGGGATCAACCTCCATGACCCAAACGCCTCCCACTAGGCCCCACCTCCAACATTGGAGATCACATTCAACATGAGATTTGGAGGGGACAAACATCCAAATCACATCACTGACATTGTCTGATTCTACTGTAGAAGACGACTTTGCCTCCCACCAAGACCCAGAGAATGGAGAATTCCCCAAATGTTGGAAGAAGGAGGTGCAGTACCAAAGATGAGAACGAATGACAGAGGAGGCTGTTGATGAGGATGAGGGCTTGTGTAAGATTGAACCTTGTGCAGCATGGTGTGATTATTGTATATCCAAGGCCCAACTGACCAACTGGACCACCAGGTGTTCATCCTGCGGGGCTAAGGATTGTCCTCTTACTCTTTTAATGTGCTAATGCCTCTGGAAGTACATGAGAATTAGGATATTAAGGTCTCTCCCCTCCCTTGTTACATGGAGAAACCAAGTAACAGGAAGGCACTGGGAAAAGAGAGGTGGCGGTGTATGAAAAGGAGCCTTCAAAGAAAAGCATCACAAGGGACCTGAAGGATCTGGCCTGAAGGATTCACGATTTGCACTCTCCCTGCGTTGTGTGAGCACTTACCAATAAATATTAAATGAATGTGCTGTAATTATTGGATGAGTCTCTGGCCACCTGAAGCTACCCACATATTTGAGGTAGGCTGGGATCTGCTGTGGAGGCTGCTGGTATTTCAGCAAGTGGCGGGCAACCTTTACAGCAACAGTTGGGTCTCCTGCAGAGTCAAATGCTGCTTTGCAAGAAGGAAGGTGTTGGAGACTGAGAGTGACTAAAGGTGGCAGGAAGAGCTCCCAGATGCTCAGACCAGGATTTGGCATAAGGCTGCCCAAAGGATTACTCTGGCCAGTGCCTCCAGCCGTGCAGAAGATCTGGTATGGCTTCTGTCTTCCGTGGCTGGGCCCCTACTGTTCTATGCTGACCCTGCCCAGCTGAAGTCTAGAAACATCCCTAACCTCCTCCATGGGTGGCTATGTCAAAATGATGATAAAATGTGTTCAGGCAGGCTAGATCCAGTACTTGCATGGTGGCTCTGTTTGATCCACCTGAGACTCTTCAGCCTTGAATAAGTCACATCTTCATTTGTACTAACCCTTCCTCACAGTCCCTTTGGAGCTGGAGAGACCTGGAATGAATAATGTGAGAGTTGCCTTTGTGCAGAGTCATCCATGCCTGAAGTCATTTGCTCCTCTCCACCCATTGGGGAAGGACTAGCAGATATTTATTTGCCTCATTTGACAGATGAGGCATCTAGGGTTCAGAAAGCTTATGTGACTTCTCTAAGGTCACAAAGTAGTACATTGAAGATAAATCTCAAGTCTCCTGTCTCCCAGTCTGATGCCAGTGCATTTTCAAGTTTTTCAAGCTTATCATTATTCTCTGCTGCTCCCTGGAACACTCTTACATGCATGGACACTACCACCATCACCACCATACCCCCATACCTCCATCACTGCAGGAAGACCCCTCTATTTGATGCAATACTTGCATGTGGGGACCATCTTCCTCTCCCCCTAACTGGTTTTGGAATCTGGATGTGGTCATTCTCATACATAAAGGATGCTTTGGCTATTTGGGGATCAAAGCTGAGCTATTGTTCTAGTTCCAACTCAAGCCAACTTACATCCAAGCAACATCAAAGGGAGCTTTTGTTACCTTCTACTGTCTCTCTGTGACGTTCCAAGAGTCTTGAACCTATCCTTTCTCCCCTTCTTCCTCTAACCAAAATGACCCAATCCCTCTGCCCTGCCCACTCATCCCACCCTCCTAACCACTCGCACAAGGAATTGATAAGGCAAGAGTGGCTATTTCCTGAACAAGAGGCCAAGCAGTCATTGTGGTAACTCAAGAACACAAGGTCTATGTGGTGGAAAGGGACCGCCAGGCAGTTTCCATTGCAACCACGACTTGGATTCTACACTTGCACACAGTAAAGATTCCATGTCAAAGGACTGCCACAAAAACTCCCCTGAAGTGGAGGCTGGCATTGCTGGGAGGAAATATGGAGCACAGCTTCATTAGAGGGGCTGAAACCAGGAAAGAAACTTCCAGAGTGAGAAAAAGCTCTCATAATACATTTTTCCACTATAGTCATTTATCGCTCTGGGTGCCCTCCACCACAGTAATCAGTGTTTTATGAACTACCTTTCCCTCAAACGCTCTTTCTCCTCTTTATTTTGCCCAAAATAAGAGTTTAATTAAACTCTAGATTTCTCCTGCTGCTACTTCTTAGAGAAATATAGTTGAAGGCACTAGGCTGTGGAGAAATGATTTTATTGGTTGCTTCTGTTTATAAAGAAGAAGAAAAACAAGCATAGTCCCTGGTTTTGTGTTCATTACATGAGCCCCATTCAGGGACTGAAGCCAACATGGCACTTTCTGGGGGATTAAGTGTAAAAAGGTGTTTTGATCGTGATAACCCCACTTATCAAAAACTAACCACAAATCACAGCCTGTAACAAGCACAGTCTCAAGACTCAGGGCATATAGCCTCTTAATTATGTTACCTGTGAAGTAAGTTCTCTTACATTTTACAGATGGGAAAACTGAGGCAGGTTTGAGTACCTGCCCAAGGTCCCACAGCTAGGAGGTGGGGAAGCCAGGATTCAAAGTCAGTATTCTGTCTCCAAGGACCAAGTAGCTAACCTCTATGGATGCTTCCTTTTAAGGTTAAAGGTTGATGACGGTTAAAGTGGCTCAGCAACATGTGATTCTAAATGTTTTTTTAAGGTTAATTTGGAAGTTAGGGCTTCAGGCTTTTGTTTTTTGTTTTTGTTTTTTGTTTCTTTTTTTTTTTTTTTTTTGAGGAAAATGTAGAGAGCAAGTCTAGGCAAATGTTGGTAGACAGCACTATGGAATTCAACACCCATAGATTTGGGAACTCAAGTGGTGAATCTGGCCTTTGCATCTTTAAATACCTTGGAAGGTCAGATTAGCACAGAAACCCTGATGCTGAACCGAACACTTGGTCCTCCCAGTTGGCAAACATTAGCTGGTTGAAATACTTCCTGATGGAAATACCGATAACACGCTGACAAAAGTTCAAACTTGTTTCTAAAGGTCATCTCGACTGGCAGAGTAATTAGTTCAAGTTTGCCTTTTGCTTTTCCCTGGTGAGAGTTTTAGCTGAAACCTCAGATTTTAGCCCTCTTTGCAACATACAGTCAGTGACAAGAGACAGCCTGAGATTCTACCCAATACAGAGTGTGTGGTCATCAAAAAGTTTCTCTTCATCTGGGCCAGAACTGGAGTTAGACATTTACACTGGAACTTAATGATAGCAGCAGCCTCTCCAGAGGAAATCTCCACCCAGTCCATTACTTGGATTCCCCAGGATGCCCCTTCAATCCCAGAAACATCCAGTTACTTCAAGGACACATCACTCGAACATACTGCAAACCCCACAATACCACCTGTTGAAGTCCCCTGAGTCCCCCTTTCTCTGTATTGCCTGTCACCTTTCAGCCAGCTCCCTAGGATTCTGCTCAACCTTCCCTTTTACCCAAAATCTAATCAGACCAATCCTACCTTCCAAATATCACTTTTCATTTCCTTTTCTCTTCCCACTGCTGTCACCTTGTGCATGGGCTATTACAGCTGTCCTATCTGCATCCCACCATCCTCTGCACTGCACGTGGAGTAACCTTTCTGAAACCTCCATTGGAGCTTGACTTGACTCCACTTAACATCTGAAGATCTTTCCGAGGGTTCCCCACTACCCAGACTCTCATCATTGCATGTGTTCCTCTGTGGTCTGGTCTGGTGCCTGCCTGCTTCTCTGTTCTCATGGTGTACACACTCACCACACTCCATTTGCTTCATATTCACTCTGTCTGTCTGTCTGTCTGTCCACCTCCCTACCTCCCCTCTCTCCCTCCCCTACTTCCTCTCCTCATACCAAACCTCTTGGTGATCCCCAGTGGGTCATGATGTATAAACATTTGCACATAATATTGCCTCTACCTGTCATAACCTTGTGATAACCTTACCGCACATAGAGTGTGCTAAGTGTCCAGTGCTCCCAGAGACCCCTGGGCATGCCTCTAGGGGACCACTCCTATAGGTCTGAGTTCCCTCGGCACCCAGGGTAGGGCCCTCTCTCTCTAGTGAATTGCAGAGGGCCTGCACATGGGAAGTGCTCACAGCCTGCCTGCCTCCCTGCCTGTGGAACAAATGGGATTGAACTCTGACCCTAAAAGGACTGTGACGGTGATCTCCTGGGACATGCATTCTAGGGCCCTCCAAGGCAGTTCCTCTTCCTCATATTTCACCTGTCGTGTGCATGTCACTCCTCTCTCGACTGTGAAATGGGAGCACCTGGAAGGTGGTACCCAGCAGCAATGGACGGTCTCTGGAGTCAGACTGGCACTCCAGACCCCTCTCAGGCACTGAGGAGTTGTGTGCCCCCTTAATATGTGCCAAACTCACTTTCCTCAACTGTAAATTGGGGGTGGTCATTGTTATCACCTCTAAGGATTGTTGCAAGGATTAACTGAGATAATTTGCATAAAGCACATAGTCTACATCTTTGCTCTTCAATAAAGGGCAGCCATTGCTTTGTTATTTCCTAGCTGTACCTTCTACTTGATTGTGGTAGGGTTCATGCCTATCCACTTATTTATTCTATGTGTTGTAAAGACCTAAAAGAAACACCCAATAAATATATTAATTGAAATTTAATTGCCACTAAGTCACCACTACTTTAGAAGGTAAACTTTTCCTATGGGATCATAATAAAAGGATTCTGCATTTTTTTTTTGAGGCTTTTAAAATGTGGATATTTAAGAGGGTTTTTCCCGTAATGAGTATGATAAAGGCACTGTGGCAGAGCTTCTCCAGCTGGGTGGGTTGTGTTGTGTGTGCTTAGTGCATGCTTGAGCCCAGAGATGTCACAAGAAGCCATCCTGAAACTTGCTGGGGGTTGGCCTACATGCATTGTTGGGAACATTGTCCTTTTCAGGATTCACTGAAGAATTTTCTGTCAACCCTGAGTTGCCAGAAAGGATTATATTTCTATAAAATGAGTGCTATGTTTGGAAATTTTCTCTCTTTGCTTTGGCCACTAGGAAGCTGAGTATAATATGCAGCCCATCTTAAACGAAACCCTCTGGTGATCAACATGGTGTTCTGACTTGGCCCCAGGCTTCGTCTTAGTGATCTACATTATTCTCCTATACTTAGTCTCTTTACCTCAGCACCTAGCTCGATACCTGGCTAACGGGTGAAAAATTCTTAACCAGTCTATTTCCCAAAGTCTATTTACCAACAGACTGCTCTTCATACATTTTTCTATACTTGTTTCATATATTTTTTGGAAAATGGCGAGATATAAGTGAAGAAATGTTATATTAACATTTTTTTCTTTCTCTTCCTCTCTTTTTTCTTCCCTCATCTGTCTTCTTAAAACATAGTGAGAGTTCCCTTACAGCAGATTTATTGTACTTTTACAACTGAGAGGGGAATAGTGCTTATCAGCTTGACTGGTGGAAAATTTCCAAGCTGCACAGTTCACTAGTTTATATTACCTAATAGAGAGATAAATAAGCCATGATTCTTCTTAAGGACTGGCTTTTAATTAGATTTTTAATGGATCCTCTTTGACTTTCCCAAGCATAAGTACTGCTGTATTAGTTCATTATTGTGATTAAAAGCAGCTAATAATTATCATAACTAAATAATTTTCCTCAAGTGTGCCAGCCCAGTTTGATGCCCTGAGCGTTAGCAGCCGCTGGCCTAAGCCTGTCTCTTTTTCTTTGCTGTGCATAGCAGAGCAGCTATTTTGAGTTGGAGGCTGGGAAGCCTGCAGACATAGGAAGGCACAAGGGACAGAAAGTGCCAGCTGTCAGAGCCTGTGTCTTGATGCTCTGTGTGGTGCTGCTTGAAACACCCTCCATTTCACTCCTCTGATGTCTCAAATTTTAACCCAACTGGAATATCTCCCCAAGTATCTTTAGGTCACTAGTCACGGCATAAGTCAGGATGCCCAAGTAGCAGGAGGTTTATGAGCTGCAAAAGGCTCATTCAGAGGCTCCGCAACATCAGCATTGGACTGAGAATCAAACTTGCAGCATCCACTTCTCAGCCTCCCAGCCTTTTGCCGTGGAGGCACAGAGATGGATGGATTGTCCCAGGAACCACACTGCCTATGTGGGGTAATTATTCTTCATTCTTTTTTGTTGTTGTTTTATTTTTTTTTGAGGTGGAGTCTCGCTGAGATGGCCAGGCTGAAGTGCAATGGTGTGATCTCTGCTCACTGCAACTTCTGCTTCCCAGGTTCAAGCAATTCTCCTGCCTCAGCCTCCTGAGTAGCTGGGACTACAGTTGTGTGCCACCATGCCTAATTTTTGTATTTTTAGTAGAGACAGGGTTTTAACATGTTAGCCAGGCTGGTCCCAAACTCCTGACCTCAGGTGATCCACCCACCTCAGCCTCCCAAAGTGCTGGGATTACAAACATGAGCCACTGTACCCGGCCAATTCGTCCGTCATTCTTTACCTTTTTAAGAATATAAGAATAAACAAAGATGTCATGGTGGAAATTTTTGAAAATGACTAACAGGAAGCGAATAATAATCACAATTAGTTTTATTACCAATATTGTGTGTTTGTTCTTCTTGTCTTTAGGCATGTATGTCTTGTCTTTTTTTTTTTTTTTTTTTTCAGGAAAGGGATCATGGTGTTGCCTTAGCAATATATCATGAATGTTTTTCCATGTCATTAAATTGTCTTCCACAAAATCATTTCTTAAGTTCAGCCAAGTAGGTCATTATATAAATGTACCATAACTTATTAATCTCTGCCTTTTGTTGGACAATTCAGATGATTTTAAGACTTGTATTATATTGTAAGCAACATTTCAATTAATATCCTTTTTAAAAAAATATTTGAGTATACCATGATGATTTCCTTGGGCGAAAACTTTACATGCCGGTCAAAGGGAGTGGAGAATGTTAATGCTTTTGCTATATAGTACCAAATTGCCTTCTAGAAAAATGGAGCAAAGTAAACTTCCACTAGCAGGGTATGAGGATTGATTACTTCTTCATATGTTGTCCAACACTGGGAATTATCATTGTTATCATTAATTATTTTCCTAGGTTTCAAGGCACAGGGAATGGTGGTTGATTTAATTTGCACTTTTTTTGGTCTTGTAAGTTGAGCGTTTTTTCATGCATATGTTGGCCATTTGAATTTCTTATTTTGCAGATTGCCTCCTCTTGTTCTTTGCCCATTTTGGGCTGTGATGTTAATTTTGGTGTGATTATCTTTTGAAGGATTCAGATGGTCCTACTTTACCAAAAATAATTTTCCCCACTTACTGTCTGTATTACCTCATACTAAAGGGGAAGATAGGATTGACCCTGGGCTTGGGACTGGAGAAATGTAATGGTAGCACTGCAATGGTACCACTGCAGTCAGAATATAATTTAACAAATTCCAGACTGCTCAAAAATAGTTTTTACATTTTAGTGCCAGCTATGGTTGTATTTGCATTATTTTAGTTAGACTGTGTTTGAGTCCTGGATTTGCCATTTACTAGCTTTGTGAGCTTGGGCCAGGTTACCGCACCTCTCTGAGGCTCAGTTTCTTCATCTGTCAACTGGAATGACACCTGCCTTGCACACTTTTTGCTAGTAACAAATGTGATGAAGTTCATGAAACATAGTACCTGGCACAAGGATGGCAGCCATTAAGAGATATTTAAGAGACTATATGTATGATACCTAATTTTCTACTCAAACGTGTTACTTTAAAGTAGCCTTGATGGAATCATAAAGGTCTCCCTCACCCTCTGTTCCTCCCTCTTTGCTGAAGGGACAGAGAAGCAGGGGTGCATGCTATGTTGGGAAGAAGCCTTCCAGCTCCTATGGAATGGGCTATCCGGGAGGATTTGCAGAGATCTTGCCCTCGTTGCCCCACAGTGGCATGGGAATAGCAGTGCTCCCAGGACCCAAGGATGCCTTTGGGAGGGTGACAGGGCCTTCACATTCCTTAGCAATGAGCAGGATGTCTGATGTGACGAAGACAAAGGTCAAGTTTAAAAGAGGACTGTCTTGATGGCCAGGCTCCTCCCATTCATTCCCCAGAGAGACAAGTATAGAACTTCTGGGGACACCAGGACGTGGGCTCAACTCTACAAACACTTCAGAGGGGCCGCCCAAGTGGAGGGGAATGGATTTACAAGGACTTTGACATGGACCTTGGGCTCTGCTCTGTGTGATGGCTTCCATATTAACCATTTGGCATCAAATGGGGAATATTTCTTCTATCATTCTTTTTTTTATTCTAGCAGGCTGTGTGATACACTAGACGGTAGCTGCCACCAAGGTGAATACTGAATGTTCATCAGACAGTTGGAGGGCAGCAGTGACTGCGTTTGAAGCAGGTTTGAAAAGGGCACTGGTCTTACTTTATATGCACATCTAAGATTCTCTAAGGAATCCTCTGAGCATTTTAGGTGGTATCTGCAGGTTTCGCTTTGCACCTTTCCACTAATATGACATATGACTGTTTAACCATATGAACTTGTCTCCTCTGTGCTTCTGGTTCTTCAAGGACCATACTAATAATTTCCATACCTTCCTCAAAGGCAAAGTTTTGAGGATAAAATTAAATAGTGGGAATGAAAGGTCAGAACTCTTTGTGTCAAGGCAAGCAATTAGGCTGGGTTCTAGTTTCGAAACTGCCAGGGAAAAGTCCTCTGAAGCTCTTATTTCCGTTTCATTAAAATGAGGAGGTCGGGCTGGAAAATCTCTTTGGTCCCTCATAGGTGTAACGTTCTGGGAGTCTATATGAAATATTCAAAAGGATTCATCAACAGCAAATCCCTAGAACATAGTGCTCCTAGAATTGAATCAATATTGAAGGAAATCCAGTGTCTCGGGACAGAAGATGCACAGAGAAGAGCCGGACTGACCTTTCTTGTAGCTGCAGTCACAAGAGACTTATGGCACGGGAAGCCGTAACACTCATCATACAGCCAGTTATTGCATGTGAAGTGTGTGAAATTTGGCAGCAGAAGAACCTGGGTTCAAATTTTGGCTCTGTTAGTTTCCAGCTATGTAACCTAAAACAAGTCATTTTACATCCCTGGCCTCAGTTTCCATCTCTGTGAGGAAAAAAGAAAAAGGACAATACTCATGCTGGGTCTTGTGAGTGGCAAATAAGATCATATCTAAAAATACTGGCATATTATAGGGCCTCACACATAGTGGGCATTCACCAATGTGACCGCCATTGCTTTTATTGGACTAAATCAGAGAAGACAAGTTTCCATTTCAACCACCCAAAGAATTAAGAGGCAGTGGCTCGGAGCCAAGAATACTTCAAGCAGGCAAAGAATGTTTGTTCTGTCCCTTGCCTCCCCTCCCGACTTCAGTTAGAGTCCTTTCAGGAAGTCAGAGGTGGGTCACAGGGTTTTAATAATTCCAGAAAGAGCATCTGTTTATCTGTTTAAAGGAGAGCAACAGAATCCAATTTTCTGGCACCAAGCAGAATGGAAAGGTGTTCATTTGTAATGGGCTGGTTTCAGGCCTTAAGCCCTTCCCTTTTGAAAATAATTTACCCTGCTAATTACATCATATTAACCAACTACTCCCGGTATAGATTAAAGGACTGCTTTTTCAAATCATTCTATAAATTAAAAGCAGTCCTCCCAGATACATGATTTCATGCATAAATACGGCATTTGTGTTGTCAGAATTTATGTTGAGAGGAAATGGAGGAAATGTATCCTTAAGGAAATATTTTGCAGTAGTTGTTAACACCTTCCACTCCTTCTGCTCAGTGCTTCTCGTACCATAATATAAATGTGCAAGCTGTTAGCGCGAGATGAACATTCCGGAGCTTCAGGGGCCACCTGCCTGTGTGGCTGACTTGTTATTTAAATTCCCTTTGCATTTCACAGATTTAAATACTGCCAGGGTCCTGATTTATGGTGTCCGCATCACACACATAAAACTTTCACTAGGATCTCCCTGTTTCTCACTCACGCACACGGGAGGAAGTCAATTGTGGCCACAGGTGGAATAGATTGTGGAGCAAGTAATCCCCAGCAGGGTGTAAAGACCAGAGGGGTGTGCCCCCGAGGCGGGTCAGAAAGCAGCAGGGCTTGGGAGCCTCAGTTCCAGGAAATCTGTCCCTACCCTTCCTGTCAGCCACAAGAGAATCGAGGGAATGTGGGAAGGATTGAAGGGGTAGAGACATTTAAGAGAAGGAATGCTGAATGGGATCATCTGGTCCTGGTAGGAAGGAAACTTCCAGCCCCTCCTTCCAGCGCTGGGTCTCATGGCTATCAAGGGGCAAGCCTGTAAGAAGCAATCAAAGCAAATAACTGACGAATTCAGGACTGACCCTGAAAGTCTGCCCTGAATCATGCACTGACCCTCATGCAGCCGGCATTAAGGCCAGTCATGGTCCTCTGTGCAGGGCTGGCACGGGGGCTCAATTGGCACTTATGATTACAAACTTCGTCCCTCTAGGTATTTACAGCTGACAATGTGCTAATTTATCCAAGCTTCGTGGTTAAGCTTGGCAGACCAGCAAATGCACCCAAATGCACCAACAGGTACATTTCGAAAACAGTTCAAACAAGAACAGTTTATATTACAAAATGTGAGAAACATCTTAGAAAAGGCTTGATTTTGAACAGGTTTATACACACTTGCACACACAGCCTCTTGCTGGTGCTGTTCACCTTCCTGGACATTCCTGTCATTCTTGGTTAAAGGTCTTTTTCTTCCCCAGCTACTTTGAGAATTTCTCCATATGGGAAAGGCAGGGAAGGAACATGAAGGGGGAAATGATGGTCACAACAACTTACTGGACCCAACTCTGAGCCAGGGGGACTCATGGGTAAAGAAACCTAACAGGCAGAATCTGTGCTCTTATGGAATTTACACTGTTTTGAGGAGAGAGACCATACAAACCAAACACATGAGTAAATGAAATAGTTTCCACAAAGTGTAAAATAGGAAGACAATGCAATAGGATGATACACTAGTATCTAACGGCAGGAGCAAGAAGATAGGACAGGCGTGGAAAGTGGAAGGGACAGAAAGTCACCTGGAGCACAGTGAGTGAGGGCAGAGGAAGTGGACAGATAAAATCAGAGAAGAAGGCAGAGGCCAGGCCTTCTAGGGCCAAGGCAGGAACTCAAAGATGATGAGTCCTTGCCTACACTATGAAGGTAAGGAGAAGGATTAAGTCGTTACCAGGTCTATTCCTGGGTGTCTATGTAGCATTCATGTGGCACCCAAAGCCTTAATAAGCACTAAACAAATGGGGTAGATTTATCTTATGTCACTAGAGATTCTGCTTAGAAGGGTGAGTGGTGAATGCCTGTCAAATTAACTGTCTAGAGTTCTTTCTGGGATGGTATAAATTCTTTATTTTTTATTTATGTATTTATTTTTTTGCTGAGACAGAGTCTCGCTCTGTCGCCCAGGCTGGAGTGCAGTGGCGTGATCTCGGCTCACTGCCAGCTCTGCCTCCTGGGTTCACACCATTCTCCTGTCTCAGCCTCCCGAGTAGCTGGGACTGCAGGCACCCACCACCACGCCCGTCTAATTTTTTGTGTTTTTAGTAGAGACGGGGTTTCACCATGTTAGCCAGGATGGTCTCGATCTCCTGACCTCACGATTGGGGTGGCGTAAATTCTAACTGTCCCCAAGGCAGTGGGATAGACTCAGTCTCTCTGGTTCCCTTTCTGGCCCCAGAGGGTAGGGAGTGGGGTGGGGAATGATTCTATCATCATGATCTTCACCTCCAGCTGGAGGGGAGGGGATTGTTTCTGAGGGTATCCGTCATGATCTGAGATGAATGATGATCCAGCATTTTCCCAGGAAGGGCTGGAAGCATCCCAGCGATGCTGGCTTCATCGTTGTCCTAGTCCAGGCCCTCATGCATCCTTGCGCTGCATCGTGCATGGCTTATACAACAGAAACAAAGCTAGCCTGGACCTTCCCTGCATCTAACTGGGCATGGCTCAGTTAGAGCCCTTGTAGTAAGGTCAGGTAGAGATGGGCCAGGCATTAGGTGCCACGCAGATGTGTCTCTCCACCAGTCCTCGCCTTGGGTGATAACAAGATGCTTTGCGATCAGAACCATGGGTGGATTGTAGGGAGCCGAGGGGCAGCTATTGGGCCTCTGCCTAAGAATAGCGTTCATAGTTATGGCTGATTGAGGGGAGAATTATGAAGAGTGAATACAGACCTGAGGGGCAAGCAAACCTGGGTTCTGGTCCAGGGAAGGCCTCTAGTCAACATCCAGCCACCTGCACAGCATCTTCCAGCACAGAGAGACATCGGTCAGAGCTTCACTCTCCCTGGTCCCTTGGACCAAACTGCTGAAGAGAGCCCAGTGACACCATAGTAAAGGGTCATTTTCCACCCTGGCTAAGTTGAAAATCCCTCTAAGTCAGCCAGGAAGAAAACATTCATGGGAAAATGTAAGTATTGCTTCTGTTTATTAAATATTTATTCTAGAACCGTGCTAGTGGATTATTTAATTGAACACCCACAGCATCCCAACAAGGTAGATTCTATTTATATTCATGCTTTGCAATAAGGAAACCGGGGTGCAGGGAGGTGACAAAGTTGCTCAAAAACACCCAGCTTAGGAAGCAACTGCACAGGACTTGAGTCCTGTTGACTCTGACCCCACAGCCCCTGTGGATACCACTAAAGGTCCCATTTAGATTGGAAAAGAGATTCAGCATGAGCAGACAGCTAGAGGGGCCATGATTTTCCCAGAGGCACTTGGACAGCCATTCATTTTTCTAAACCCAGCTTCAAGTGGACTCAGACCCGGTATGGACACTGCTCCACTCAGCCCAATGAGCATTCTCTCATCCTGTTGTTCATAGAACTTCTCTGCCTGAGCTCTGCTCCTGGTCAGCCTTAGGCTGAAATTCCCCCAGGAGCAGGGGCTAACCCTGTGTCACTTGGTGCAATAGAGAAGAGGAGACATAGAGCCTGATGCAGACTCCCAGCTAATGACGCTCACACCCCAGTTGCAGCTCATCTCCAGGGAAGTGGTGACATAAAGCAATACACAAGATTAGAAAACTCACATGCCCACAGTGCTGTGCAGGTTACCTGAGTGACTGAAGCAGCTGTCTTAGTCCATTTGGGCTGATATAGACTGGGTAGTTCATAAGCAACAAAATTTATTTCTCAGTGTTTTTTGTTTGTTTGTTTGTTTGTTTGTTTGAGATGGAGTCTTGCTCTGTCACCCAGGCTGGAGTACAATGGTGCGATCTTGGCTCACTGCAACCTCTACCTCCTGGGTTCAAGTGATTCTCCTGCCTCAGCCTCCCAAGTAGCTGGGACTACAGGTGTGTGTGCCACCACACCCAGCTAATCTTTGTATTTTTAGTAGAGACAGGGTTTCACCGTGTTGACCAAGCTGGTCTTGAGCTCCTGACTTCAGATGATTCACCGGCCTTGGCCTCCCAAAGGGCTGGGATTACAGCCATGAGCCGCTGCGCGTGGCCTATTTCAAACAGTTCTAGACACTGGAAGTTCCAGATCAGGATGCCAGTGTGGTCAGGTTCTGGGGAGGGCCATTATTCTGGGCTGCAGATGGCTGGCTTCTTTCTGTGTCCTCACATGGCCAAAAAAGGATGAAAGAGCTCTCTAGGGTCTCTTTTTATAAGGGCACTAATCTCATTCAAAAAGGCTCTGCCTCATGACCTAATCATCTCCCAAAGGCCCTGCCTCTTAACATATCACTTTGGGCATTAGAATTTCAATATATGAATTTGAGGGGAACTCAAACATTCAGACCATAGCCCCAGCCAAATGGAGTCTGTTCCCCTTCAAAGGGCAGCTCCTCCTCAGCCTTCAACCTGCTGGGCCTCGTGGCAACGTGGGACTGGTAGACTCAGGCCTTTTCATTTTATTTTAAGCCAAGTCAGACATTTAGTTTTTAAAGGTGAAATCTCACATCTTTAAAATGTTGGCAACCATTTTAAAAATTTGTTTTTAATGTTGTGCTGGGCATGCTAATTACATGTGTGGGCTGGAAGAGGCCCGTTTGAGGCTTCTACAGTGTAGACATGGATAAGGGGCTTTGGGACCGAGAGCATTGGGTTCAAATCACTGCCCTTCTACTTTCTGGCAGTGCAACTCAGGTAAACGACTTGATGTCTGGATAAAGTGGGGATCCTACTCCCACCTGGCAGGCTGTGCTGTAGGATTGAATGGGTAAGGCTTACAAAGAGCCTGGGACAGTGCCTGGTGCTTAAAGAATGCGGCTTTTGTTGTTATCCTCATTCTGGAGTATGTGTGAACGGTGAGCTCCCTGTCTCTGCCCCACTTTGCTCCTAGAGGGGGGACAGTGCCTTTTTTCACTTGGTGTCTTCCATAGAATCTCTGTGGTCTTCTCTTTTGGTCTTCACAGCCAAAGAAATTGCAGGCTTCTGTTTGTCAGGAGGATTCTGACAGTGACTCTACCAAGAAGTCAAAGGATGCCTAGAGCTGGCGATTAGCTCCCTTGGCACCAGCTGAAGGATGAAAGCAAGTGTTCTTGGAGCTCATGCTTGAAAATAAACCCTCCAATTCAGGGCTTCTCAGCTCCCTTGGCAAACTCTCCAGCATTTGGGTCCCTGGCTTTGGACACTGCAACGTCCTTACTATGTTTGGTTTGTGCAAAGGTGCCCAACATGGTGGCTTCCTGGCCTGGAATATTCTGTTGCTCTTCCTTGATACTCTCTAGAGCAACAGGAAGTCCTTCTCCTGAGAGATGCATTTTCCAAACCTGAGGCATCTTATTCTTTCTTCTGATCTCAGCCTTCCATTTAGATTTCATCAAAGGAGAAAGAAGTAGAGGACTTACTTACCAAGGTGTGGTATATCCAGAGTAGGAAACAGATTAGAAATGAATGCAATCCATAGAAAGCCAAACTGCTTCACATCCTGTCCCCTCACAGGAAAGCATTCAGACAGAACCACAGACCAGCAGCCACAAGGAATGCTTTTGACACTGTGACATGATCTCAATATTTAAAACAGCTTCTCAAAACTTAAAGTGCAGGATTTCATTCATAAAACACAACAAGCTTTCTCTGAATTTTTTCTATATCTCATATATCAGGCAGCAGGCCCCTGTTCCCCAGCTTCTCCCAAATATCCCTCCAAATGTGTCCTGAGCCGCTCTTGCCTCCTTGACCTGCGTTCTTACCTTTCAGATCTAGTTTCTTTCTAACTAAGCCTTTCCAATGGAAACCATACTCACCTTCCTGGCTTCCCTTGTTTGGTGGCCCTCCCGGAACCCTAAGCAGCACAGTAAGCAAGCAGGTGGACAAAGAATCGGTGTTGGAATACTAGTGGGGAGAAAGGCTGTGATGGTATTTGCATCTGCACTTTGCCGCATGGCATTAACACAGTGGATGTCACAAGGCTCGGGGAGAAGCGGTCTGATGGTAGCTTTTAATAGGCAGAACATCTGAGAAGTCACGTGAGAAGACCTTCCGTGCAAGAACACAGCAGTCCCTGCATCTGCAATAGCGCTCGTCTCATTTGACACTGTAGGAAATTCCATGCTTTATACCTTACAGGGTGGGGTCGATGGTTTAATAACTCACTACATGCTGGGGCAAGCAACCAGGGTCCCTGGGTATTTTCTATAGCTGATTTCATCTTGATCTTAAGCCTCTATCAGCCAAAAGAGAAGGGAGAAAACTCTACACCTTCCCCATAAAAGAAAGCTGTGTCTTTTTGCTTAAGTGGCCTTTTTGGGGTGAATGCTCAGCATTTCAGGGGCACTCCTCATTTTCTTAACCAAGAAGTCACAGAGGTCGCCCCACATAGCAGGGTGGAGTGTGGAGTGTGAGCCTTATCATGTGCTGGTGCATCCTTTCTCACCCCAGTCTATGGCTGAGGGTGCTGTGGTCCCTTCTTCTGGCACCGTGGGGAGTCATGATAACCCTACTCCACCTTCTGCCCTTCCACATTCGGCCAGTGCCGTGTCCAGACCCCAGCATATCCCTTTCTCTGCTTCTACTGAGAGGTCCTCGCACGCCTGCTTCCTAGTAGAGCCTCTGACTCCCTATTCTTAGCCACCCTCTACATCCCCCTCTGGGAGCTTATGGGCACTTTCAGACGCTGCTTTTGCACTCTATTTCTGGATTCTCTCTGCTTAACCTCACCATACCAGCATTTCTGGGCTCACCTGGCTGCCCCATGCTGGTGCCAGGCCACTAAGCAAAGCGGGCTTCCAGAAAAGGGAAGGGACTTTGTACAGCCTCTTCCCAGTTTCTTTGACCCATCTTTCCAGACCTCAGCTCAGGGTTGTGGGGGAACTGGACATCTTCCCCTCTCCCCTAAGTCTCATCCACTCTGAATTTCTCCCCTGTGGTTCAGAAGAGCATGCTTTTCCCTTCTTGTTTAAGATAACTTATCACTATGTTAGACCCTCCTTCTCAACTTCCCTAGGTCACATGTGGGAGCTACCTACCCATTCCTTTCTTGGAATATCAAACCTCAATGTGGCCTTAATGGCAGATAGGACATAGATGGAAGATCTTGCTTACCACAAAAAGTGAAATATATCAGAAAATATATTGACACCATTTATTTCACTTACAACATGCCTGCTCTTGTCATTATGGAGACAGGTAAGGCAGATAGCATTTTCTTACTTTACAGCTGAGAAAATGAGGCTCAGAGAGGTTAAGAGACCCAGCAAGGTCACACAGCTTGTGGGGGGCATAGTCAAGAAGAACATGTGAGCGTTTGGACTCTGTAAGAGTATTCTTTCTGTGGCCCTGGGCCACCTCCCCTGCTAGGGCTCTCTTTTCCTCCATGGGACTGTGAAGTCAGCCACAGGGCACCGTCAGCTCCGCCAATCTGCTCCCTTGTCTCTTAAAGTGATTATAAAGTAGAAACGATGAAATCCACAGCTGCAGGAACAGTAGGAATTCTGCCTCAAATAGGCATGAATCCTGGAAGCCAGCATTTAATGCTGAAGTCACTACGAACTTCATTTAATCTTTTTTTTTTTTTAAGAGATCGCCAGCTATGAATGTCTGGAAGGTGGCCAACGATCCATTATAAGCACTAAATAATTTGTAAGTCAAACCTATCGATGGCAATGTGGTGTCAAAATCACTCAACAGTGTTCATTGAAAAGACAAATCAGTTATGCCTGGGCCTCTGCAAAGGTGGTTTGGGAAGGCAGCAGATGGTCATGTAAGTATGCGTAAACATATATATTTAATGGACTGCAGAAGGAACAAAAACTGGCATAATAATTGAGGAATCTTTTGGACTCTACAATTTTTCTTGCTGGGAAACCTGCCCAGCCAAGAATCCACAAGGCCTGTGAATCAAGTCGGCACCCTGTCCTCATCCACTGAGCTTATGAAAAAATGAGGGTTTGACTGCTGATAGCAAAGGTTCCAAACCTACTGAGACCTCCCTTCTGCATAATGCTTTTACCTGAGAGGAGAAGATTTTATACCCCCACTCCACTGCCTCCTCCGAGCCCCTTCATCTTGTTCCTGGACTTCTACAAAACCTGCCTAACCAGACTCCCAGACTCCACTCTGCCCCTCTATAATCTATATTCAAGGACAAGCCAGGGTGGTCTTTTGAGAACCAAAGTCAGATCATGTTATGCCTCTTGCTCAAGCCTGTCTTCTCTGGTTTACCATTGTATGTAGAATAAAATTCTTAATTTCGTATGATGGCCAACACAGCCCTCCCTGTTTTGAACACTGTCTACTTCTCCAACTTCCTTCTTTTTCTTTTTTCTTTTTTTTTTTTCCTCCGAGACAGAGTTTCACTCTGTCGCCAGGCTGGAGTGCAGTGGTGCAATCTTGGCTCACTGCAACCACCGCCTCCCGGGTTCAAACCATTCTCTGCCTCAGCCTCCCGAGTAGCTGGCACTACAGCTACCACACCCAGCTAATTTTTGTATTTTTAGTAGAGATGGGGTTTCACCATGTTGGCCAGGATGGTCTCGATCTCTTGACCTATGATCCACCCGCCTTGGCCTCCCAAAGTGCTGGGATTACAGGCGTGAGCCACTGCGCCCGACCTTCTCCAACTTCTTTCATACCTTTGCCCAACTCTCTCCCTAAGCCTTGACCTCTTCCTGGCCTTTTTGCTGTTACTTGAATAGGTCAAGATGTCCCTGCCTCCGGCCCTTTGCTCAAGCTTGGCCTGAGTGTCCCGCTTTCAACTTTGCACATCATTCAACTCTAATCTCAAATGTCACCTCCCAGAGAGGCCTTTCCTAACCAGTCATTCTCTGTTGTATTACTGTGTTTTGTTTCTATTACCGCGTAACTCCTAAAATATTTACATGATTACTATCCATCTTTCTAATCTACAATAGAAAGTTCCAGAAAGCAGGGACTTGGTCTTATTCACAGCTATATCAATGGTACCTAGAGGGTCACTTGTCTCATGGCTGGCATCCTCATGAAACTTGTTTATTGACTGGGCTACTCCTTTCTTCCCCAAAACTGATGGTCTCCTTTACCAGTTGAGCAACAACCATATTGAAGTTTACCAGTGATCCAATCATTTGTTTTTGTAAAGTCATCTGTTTAACAAGAATTTACTAATTTCCTACCATTTTCCAGCCCATATGCTAGGCATGAGGGCCACAGAGCAGCCTCTGACCACCAAGAATTCAAGATCTGGAAAAGTCCATGATACCTGTTCAATGTGGGAAGAACCAGAACAAATGTGTGCATTGTGTACTCAGATAATGGGACCCCCTAGGCCAGGGGTTTCCAGGGAGGCCTTCAGAAGGAGATAGACCTTGAGCTGTACCTTGGAGGATGTGTAGGAGTTAGGCAAACAGGGGCTTGAAGTATTCTAAGCGTAGGAAAAGCAAATATTCAGAGCCCAAGAGAGGCTGGCAGACGTCGTTCCGCATGCCTGGGGTAAAGGATTCCCTGTAGGAGAGGCAGACGGGTTGGAGTGGGACTGGCCTTTGTAATATTAAGGAGCTTGGACTTTACTTTGAAATAATTATAAACTCGTAAGAAGGGGAGGGACTTAGGGTTGCGTTTTGGGAAGATCACTTTGGCCATGAGGGAGAGGATGTATCGGAGGAGAAAACAAAGGAGACAGAGACCTGAATTGCCTGGACAAGAGGGGTGTAATAGTTTCCTAGGGCTGCAGAAACAAATCACCACAAAGTGGGTGGTTAAAAGCAATGGAAATGTATTCTCTCACAGTTCTGCAGGATAGAAGTCCAAAATCCAGGTGTGGACAGGGCCAGGCTCTCTCCAAAGCCTCTAGGGAAGGATCTTTCCTTGCCTCTCCCAGCTTCTGGTAGCCCGCCCCCAGTATTCTTTGGTTTGTGGCCGCATCATCCCAATCTCCGCTTCTATCTTCACATTGCCACCTTTTTTTTTTTTTTTTTTTTAGTGTCTCTCTCTTCATATGGCATTTTCCTCCTCTTATTGGAACACCAGTCATGTTGGATTAAGGCCCACACTAATAGCCTCAATTTGACTTCATCTGCATAGACCCTATTTTTTTTTCTTTTCTTGAGAGAGAGTCTCACTCTGTCAACCAGGCTGGAGTGCAGTGGCATGATGTTGGCTCACTGCAACCTCTGCCTCCCGGGTTCAAGAGATTCTCCTGCCTCAGCTTCCCGAGTAGCTGGGATTACAGGCGTGCGCCACCAGGCCTGGCTAACTTTTGTATTTTTTTTAGTAGAGATGGGGTTTCACCATGTTGGCCAGGCTGGTCTAAAACTCCTGACCTGAGGTGATCTGCCCACCTCAGCCTCCCAAAGTGCAGAGATTATAGGCATGAGCCACTGCACCTGTTCCCTATTTTGAAATAAGGTCACATTCACAGGAACCAGGGCTTTGGGCCACAACATAATCTTTTGGGGGGACATAATTCACCTGTAACAGGGAGTGAATGAAAAGAAGGGGGCGGGGAATTCCAGAGTTGAATAGAGTTGGATTCAGTGAGTGGTGGAAACTAAACAGATGTAAATGCTTAAAGGAGAGAGGGTAATCTAGAAAGATTCCCAGATTTTCGGTTTGTGCAATCCGGTGGAGGGTGAAACTATTCATTGAAATATAGACTATATCATATAAGACAGAACCCAAGGTCCCTGTTTCTTTTCTACAAATACTTAGCACATTATTCAAAGCAATCTTAGTAGCCCAAAGAACTCCCCTAGAGAGGAAGAAATGGAAGAAATGGCAAAACAAAAAAAGGCAACTGCATGAGCAAAGCAAGAGGGAACGTTAGCTTCCTCCAAGTTTAGACCAGAAGCAGAAATGAAAATTGAGTTACTGAACTCAATTCATGTCTTAAAAGTTAGAGCCACAGACACAATCAGAGTTTTCCTTGTGGAAGAAAGGAAAGGAAACCTGTTTTCCCAGCCTCATCTATTGACCCTTCATTCATTCTGGAGCCAGGTTGGAATCAATAGTGTCTTGTTTGGTTTGAAATCCTTAGAAAAGGGAATCCAACTCCCAACTGTAGCTACAGAGCTTATTTCAGAAGAGCATTAGCATGCGCAGGAAGCAGCAGACCCTACAGGTATAACACCTTCTTCTTTGGCCCTCATAATCCAGGTCTTGTTCTGATGTGGTTCATCCGGTGCCGATAGCTCAACCTCTTTGATGTCCAGACCAAATGTGGCCCACTTTCCTTTGGGCATCGGTGCCTTTCAGCCTGTTTACCTGGAGGCGGTGGTTCTCTGCAACATCTGCCTATCCTTTGAAACAGAGTGGGGTGAGGGAGGGTGGGTGCTCCCCAGGAAAAGGCCGATTGAATTTGCAGGCACCAGACAGAGGTGATGATGCAGTATTTCAGCAGTGGTCTGAGAGGTAGCTTGGGTAGCGTGGAGTGAAATCCACCTTCCTACCACTTAAAACCCAGTTCAACCTCAGAGGACCGCAATAGAATGATAGCTTATTGGGACTGAGACATTGTCAGGGACAAGGCCAAAGAGGATGTGACCTACCACATGTTACACATTGTTGACAGACAGGCTTACTGGTGCTCACACTCCATATTCTTTTTGACATTCTCCTTCCCTCCTGTTCTTCTGACAGTTGGGAAGTCTTACGTGGCCTCGCTGCCTTTAACAAGCTTTCTGTTGCCTGAGGGGGAAAACCACCTCTGCTCTTAACCTGACCCAGCTAATTGGCCCTGGGGAAGTAAATTATGTAGAAAGAAGAGCCCTCCCTGACTCTTGCCACAAATATCTCCTAACTATAGGAGACACTGAGAGTGACCACAGCCTTCTTATAAATCTGTTGTGGCCTCATGACCTCTGAGCAATAATAAATAGTACTTTCACAGGCCGTCCTGTAGATATGAAGATGTTTTGTGAGAACATCTGGCATTCATTGACTCAGGAAAAGAAAGAAAAAAATCACAAGCCTTGGGACAGAATTTCATTTTCTTTTCATGTTTCCATGTGGGTGAAGGAGCCCTCTCTGTCTTTAACCAAATGTGGGATGGGGGTATATGAGCTCCCTTTCAAGTTTTAAAGGGGAAATAAAAATGCACACGCATTTCTGTGAAGAAGTTCTCTGGCTGGAGGGGGGCATCTTTCTGAAGGGGGCTGGGGATGTCCGGTTATTGTAACTAGCCTTCAGTACATCGCCTTTCCTTCTGGTCCTGTGAAGTTTTCTCTGTGCTGCCCTCTGGGAAGACCTGGGTTGCAGATGATGGATTCTGTAGGTTGGTTTGGGGACACCAAGGCGTGCAAGCTTGAAATGGATGAGAGCCGACAGTGCTAGTGTTCTCTCTGCCTCTCCCTCTTTCACTCTCTTCCTTTCTTTCTGTCTCTCCCCCTCTCTCCAGTGCTGTAGAACGACCTGGCTCATAAGCCCTAACAACCACAGATTTAGGCTCTCCTTGGAATGCAGTGGAAACTCAAAGCTCATTTCTGCAGGGTGGATTTTCCACTTTCCCACAGGATGAGCATAACTCTTTGCCCATACAAAAGCTGGCTGCTCTGTGATCAGTGAGTTTAAATCAGAATAGGTCTTAGGTAGCCAAAGTGGCTTAAAATGTTAGCAAACAGTGGGATCCCTTTTAATTTTTAAAGGGAACTCTAATTCTACCCTTTATGACTTGGTTAATTATCCTGGGCCCCTGAACAGCTGTCTATTGATTCCAATTAACATGATTGACATCTCCTCTGGAAGGTAAAAGCTAATCAACTACAGCATCTCCCACTGAGAATTCATTTCCTTCTTGGAGTCACTCCTGGGCAGGAGGAAACTTAAATATGAGAATCAAGATTCAGCACCCACAGCTCTGATTTACTCTTTTATATACAGCCTCACAGTATCTTGTAGAGGGGAAAAAAAAAAAGGCTAGAAATGTTTAAAAATGGCAGTGTATTTTTGAACCAAACTAGAGTTAATTCAGTTGGCTTTCACTTTCCTTCCTATTTTTCGTGAATCTAAATTGATCCCTTGAATGTTTGATTTCCTTTTCCTTTCCGGTTCTGAAGGACCCACAAAGTCTACTTTTATTGCTTCTGACAACAAGTTTAGAAGTTGACATGAACTTCCTGGTGCAGCCAACCTTCAATTTTTCATCTCCGTTTTGCAGTGATTTAGATGCAGATCTTGATGGTTTGCTAGTGACGTTTTCAGATAAAACAAAAGCCAGTAAGAGAGAAGTTATGTCAGATAACCAACCAGGGTCCATAAGACAGCAGAGCGCTGGAAGGCTGCTGAATCTAAATGCGAAACATAAATAGTGCCAACAAATTCATTCAACACATATTTCTGCCTATTGTGTGCCAGGTACATGGAAATTTCTGGAAGGGTGGAATGTGATCTCGCCGTGATACCTATGGCGTCTTTCCATGTGTATTCTTCCTCTTCAGAAAGGAAATCTACACGTTACAGTTGGCAGCAAGCTCAACGTGAAGTGTTATATGGTCGCCAAAAAAAAAAAAGTGCTATTATAGGCTGCGTAGTATCCAGTTCAAAGGGGGCAGTGGTTAAACAAATCCTAACATTAATTGGCATTTTATTTGACTATAAATTTCATAAGGGCAGACACAACGTTGGTCTTGCTGCTCACCACATTCCAATAACCTAGCTCAGGGCTTGGCACACCATGGACACTGAATAGATATTTGATGAATGAACCAATTATCTGGGCACAGACCCAATCGTGGCAAAGAAACAGAGGCCAACTTTGTGCTGGGTAAGCTGGTCAGATAGGATAATTATGGGATGGATGGGTGGATAGACTGGGTAAAGTGACATCAGAGGAAGTGAGATGAGATTTTGTTTTGGACAAATAAGATGGGGATAACTGATAATGGGCAAATAAAACTCAAGGTTCACTCTCAAGAAAGAGCTCACAGGCTTTGGGGATTTGTGCATGAGGAGATACAGTGCTGCATTCCTAACTGTCGAGTGACTCTGCTTTAATTAGGTTTGGGCAGTAAGTAGGAAGAACAGTAAGAGACTCCTTAACATCAGACAGTGTGGCCCAGCAAACGGCCTGCTGGATGTGTCTATTCTGTTCTGTTGCTGACTGTAGAAAACGCACCCCTCTTCCTACACACCTCTTCTTTTATCTCTCTTTCTGGAGCCATCACATTTACTTAGAGGAGAAATGGGGAGGAGGGGAAGCAGCCAGGAAAAAAAATAGATGGCTCAACTATACCCAGAAACCAGTGTCCAAGTCTCATGTTGCAAGGCCAGCACCTCCCTAGTAAAGATCAAATGCTTATAGTGGCATTTCTTGGCCAAGATAGAGCCAACAACAGCAAATAAAAACAATACCACAAACCCACCCTGGGAACTACAGAACTCTTGTATTTTGTTTCTCTTCTGCCCACTTTAGAGTTTAGGTTTCTGTCTAGCAGATTTAAGTGTGTTGCCTATCATTCGTCAACCCCAAATGCCAGTTTATGTATCTTAATGTCACTTGTCCTTACCGCTACAATAGATCTTCAGACAATTAGAAGCCGCCCGGCATCCTGCAGGGAGTCTAGGGCCCTAGGCTGGACTTCGTGGAAAGAAACTAGAGAATTTCTGATGTTCTGTTCCTGACTATTTGAAAAATTACAGCGCTCTCTACATTTCAGATAATTCTTTCCAGTTCTCCACTGCTGTCACTGGTTGGTCTTTCTTGTTTATGTAGCTTTGCTGTGTTGGGGGAAGGTGGGCAGGAGAGACGTTAACGGCATAACCTAAGAGAACAAAAGTTAAGCAAAGCAACATCGAATTCCAGTAAATATGTAGGTTGATTCCTGCTGACTTCCTCTGGTTACCTTAGCACCTGTCAAAGCCCCGAGACCTCTTATTTTGGAGGAACCCCCTCCCCCACCACGTCGAACATAGTGAATTACACTTAGATCACACATTAGATGTAGCATACAGAAAAATAGAAACAATTATTATTTTGTTTCTTGTAATTTTAACTTTATACTTTTTGTATACTGGGGCCAGTGTAATTTTTTCCAACTCTACACGTTTGTATTTGCCCCCAAAAAGCTCATGTGACATAGGTCTTGACTAACATGGGTAATGGCCCTGCCTGCCGTAGCCCTGGCGCCCTCACAGGCTATTGACTTTTCTCGAAGAAACTGCCCGACTATTCTCTCCATTCAGTCAACCAGGATTTTCAGTCATCCACTGAATGTCCAATACTATGCTGGTTGTGGCGTCACTCTCAACTTCTAAGGGCCTCTCCCAAAGCTCTGGCCTGGTCATTGCTTAGCCTACTCTGAAACTCCATATTTCAAGAAGAGTATCTTAATTAAGTGGGGAATTTTTCCAAGCAGCTGAACCAATGGGGCAAGGGGTCTGGGTTTGCTTTCCCAGACTGTGATTCGTTCCAGAAGAATCCTATACCACCTCCAGAGATGAGATAGAGGCAATGTCTGTAACAACTTAATACGGCTGTTATTATCCGAGGCAAAAATGCTGTGTGGCATTTAATGTGTATTACTGTACTGGGACTTGGGTATGATGTTGCTTTTTATACTCAAAAAGGACAAGCTATTTTGAGTACTTGGTAGCAACACTGGAAGAAGTCTGTAAGGCAAACTAGGTAACTACTGTGTGAATGGCTACGCCGCCGGTGATGCCTGACTTCTGTTGTGGCTGGTTTAAGGAAATCCATGTTCTTTATTGTCATACCTGATCTGTCACCCTAACCAAATTACCAGCTTCACCAGGGCAGAGATTATCTTAGAGCTTGAGGACTCTATTCAGTAAAAGGTCATAAAAATGGTAATAAGAAACAATAACAAAAGTTAGCATTTCTGGAATGCTTCCGTTATGCCTGGTTTGTTATGAGAATGTTTTACACCTCATCCCACTGGTCAGATATTATAGCTCTATGTAGATGAGCTTATGATTCTCCGTTTAAGGATGAGGAAATCTGAGGCTTGGAGGGGTTCAAGAAGCCATCCAAGACCACCCATCGTCAGAGAGTGTGTTTTCAAACCTTGCTTGTCTGCTGCTAAGCCTGTGCTTTCAGCCTCATCAGTTTCTCCTTTCTAGCTTGAATTTTAGTCAAGGGGCATCAGAAGAAAGAAATTGAGGTTTGGGGGCAATTAGTGGATCTTGAGAGCAGTGACAGAGCAGAGTTTGACATAGTTTCTTCCATTTGGTTTTCTCTTTTTTTCCCCCTCCTTCCTCCTGCTTTCTTCCTTCCACAAGCATCTAATCGATGCTTGTGGCACCATGCTAAGTTGCTGTGAGACAGAGATGACTGTCACCTAGTTCCTGCTCTGGAGCTGCTCAGGACCTAGAAGAGGATATGACGATGCATCTTTTCAGGAAAACGGGCTAAGGACCCTCATAGACCTACAGCTACATCCTGGTCTGCCAGAGCACAGCGGGAAGAGCAGCTGGGGAAGTGAGGGGAACAAGTATCCCAGCCAAAAAAAGAAAAAAGACAGCATTGTATATGAAGGCCCCCAGAATGAAAGCACATAACCTATTCAGGGAGTGACAGTGTAGTCGGGGGAGTTTGGTCAGCCCAGCTGGACTGAAGGAGTGATCATGGGAGATGATGGACATAAGGCTAGATGGAAGGGTAGGCTCCATCTAGGTCTCCAGATGGAAGGGTAGGTTCCATCTAGGTCTCCAGATGGAAGGGTAGGTTCCATCTAGGTCTCCAGATGGAACCTCCAGTCTGCCGTGAAGACCTCTGGAGACTACTGAAGGCAGAGACCCCAATAAAGATGGGAATAAGGGCCTGTGTTAGGACAGCGGGTAGCAGAGATGGGATGAATGGTTAGATTCAAAAGGCATTTCAGCTGTAAAATCAGCAGAGCTTGGAGACAGATTTGAAAGCGGGAGAAGAGGTCAAGGGGAAAATGAATATGAGGGTTTTAGCTGAAGCGGTAGGGTAGATGAGGGACATTGTTCACCAGGATAAGGAGGATGGTTGCAGGAGGATCCAGAGGAGGCTCGAGAAGGTGGTTAACCAGGGAGGAGTCAGTGAGTGCACTTTTGGGCCCGTTGAGTTGGGGGCGTCTGCAGGACATCCAGGTGGGGAAGTATGTTTTTTCAGCTATGCATTGTTGTGGGGTTTTTTTAGGTTTTGGTTTTGCTTCTCCAGTCTACGAATAGAACTTGAATCCTCCTTAAATTCATGAACTTGACAGTAACAATAATGTCAGAATTAGTATGTCTTTACTGCGGCCAGAGTAGACACCCTGTAGCAAGCGCCTAGAATATAGAAAGCAAATGGTGTTTTTGGCAGTCTGATACAGGCACCCAGCTGCTGAGTAGGGGCACAGGCCTGGAGAGAGGGCTCTGGAGCAGAGGGGTGCTGGGGAAGGGTGCAGAAAAGGGAGGAGAAGAATTATCTCTAAGAAGAAATCACTTTTGATTTTAATTTTACACACATGGGGCTCATAATACTCTCAAGAACATGCTCAGCAATGAAGGAAGATAGAGAGATAAGAGCAAGCCTCCCTTTATGGTAGGCTGGGGGACACTGTTGCTTTCTGCGGAGCAGTCTCCAGCGCCCAAAAGGAATGTGTTTTTGGTGCAAGGCAAGGAGAAAGTGATTCTCAACCCTTGCATGGCTTTCTTCGTGCCTTCCTAAATGTGCAGTTTACCTCTCAGTTCTGATCTGCTCCAAGTGTAGGGATAGGATTATGGATCCGGAGACATTTTAAATATCCAAAGAGAATGTTGCTCTCTCTCTTGCATTTTATTCTTATTTACTTAGCTACTGACTTGCTTTTAAAGCAATGTCAAAGGGAATCTATATGTTCTGCAGTGTATCTGATTCTGGAGTCTCACCTCCTTTCTTGTGTTAATTTAGGAATGTTTCATTTCTGCAAAACTAGTGCTGCGATCTTTGCTTTTCTATGCATGCCTTTCATCTGGTGCTCACAATGTGCTGTACAGATGTTTCACTGCCAGACCCTACTGCCCCCTAATTTGCTTTGTGATTCCTGGCTAGTTACAGTCCCTCTAGGCAATACCACCTCTTTACCTATACCAAAGCACAAAAATAAGGCACCTTTTGGGGGGTAGGGAAGGGGTCTCCCTCCATACACTGTCTCCTACTTCTTTGTCCATCATCAAATCCTTCTCATACTCTGGCTTCCCTGTTCAGTCTGTGTGACTCCCATTCATCAAGTGATAAATTCAATCATTAATTCAATATGTCCGTAGTGAGTGATATATTATACTAAGAACTGTGCCTGTTGTATCCCTAGAGATATAGCAATGCACAAAACACAGTCAGTTACTGCGTCTAAGTGCTCACTAAATGTAGTGGGTGAAATGAATGAAAAGTGAGCACAAACTTAACAATCTGACTCGGTGTATGGTAAAATCGGAGGACTCACCAGGTGCTATGGGAACATGAAGTGTAGGCCACAAACTCTTCTTAATTAGGCAGAGAATGCTTCCTGTAGGATGGAAGAGCTTGCTGTGGTTTGGCTCCTGGGTCTGCAGTTTACAAGCTGTTTGACTTTGGGCAAGTCACTGTACACCTCTGTGCATTTAAAATGTGATAATGATGTAAAAACTTAGTACAGCACCTATCACATAGTAAATACTCATATACACATATTCATTCACTCCTTCTTTCAGTAAAAATCATCTATTGAATACCTACCGTGTGTCAGGCAATGCCCTGGAAAGTGTGGATGGTGCACCCAGGTCTTGAAATACTAATATTTCCAGGAAATAAACTACATCATCTCAGTTCTTTTTTTTTTTTTTTTTCCTGCATGGACTACACTTGGAAGAAGTCTTTGAAGTAACAATAGTAGAAGTTCTTTTTTGCTGTCTGTTGAAGCAGCAACTCAGAGGATTTTCCTAGGTGTGAGGGAAAGCCCGGGCAGTGAGGAAGTAGCAAGTGAAGCTGTGCCCAAGTTGCACGTTTAGGGTTTTCATCTCACCAGCAGCTCCAGCCTACAGGAGTCACCCCTCCCAACCCCCATCCCTGTCTCAAATTAAGGTCTGCTTCACATAGCAGGGCACAACAGGAATGCATTGTCGTCTTCTGTTGCTGTCACAAGTGGTCTGAAAACCTTTAAGCTGTGCAATCCCCCACTGCTGCTGAATACTTGAAGTTCTTCTATGAAACCTTAGCATGACCCCGCATCTCTGGTGCTGCTTCATCTCGCAGAAACCTGTGAACCATGGAGGAGTTCTTCTCATCCCGTGATGGACAGAAGGCTGCTTCTTCAGAGAGAGAAGTATGAGCAGTGGGAAGCTAAGGAAGCTTACACTGTTGTTGATGATCAAAAAATGCAGCAATAAGCACTATCCTTCTCCAGGCCCAGAAACAGAGCTGGGGTCTACAGGCCAGTTGAATTAAAAAGGGGAAGCCCCACTGTTTAGAGACATTCTCTTTCTAGCAACCCTGGCCCTTTCTTTTTTCCTTCTTTTTTTCTTGAGATATAGTTTAACATAAGATTCACCATCTTAAATTATATCATTCAGTGCTTTTTAGTCTATGCACTATGTTGTGTGACCATCACCACTGTCTAATTCCAGAGCATCCCATCACCCCAAAGAGAAATCTGGTACCCATTAACAATTTCTCCCCATCCCCCCCCCCACCTTCCTCCAGCCCCCAGCAAATACTAATCTACTTTTTGTCTCTATGGATTTGCCTATTCTGGGTATTTCATAAAAATGGAATCCTGCAGTATGTGGCCTTTTATGTCTGACTTCTATCATTTAGCATGTTTTCAAGATTCATCTGTAATGCAGCATGTATCGATACTTCATTTCTTTTTATGGCTGAATAATATTCCATTGCATGTTCCACCTTTTGGCTATCATGAATAATGCTGCTGTGAACAATGATATGCAAGTTTCTGTGTGCATGTATGTTTTCAGTTGTATTAGGTATATACATAGGAGCAGGATTACTGGGTCACATGGTAATTCTATATTTAACTTTCTGAGGAACTGCCAAACTGTTTTCCACAATGGCCACGCCATTTATATTCATACCAGCAATGTATGCATGTTTCAGTTGGTCCACATCCTTGCCAACACTTGTTATTGTCCTTTTCATTTTTAGCATAGACATCCTGGTGGGTGTGAGGTGGTGCCCTTGCTTCTGTGCATTGATTTGGCCACTTTAGCCTTTATCTACTACTTCTCTCTACTCAGGGTAGTCTCCTATCAGAATAAGTTTCTCTGATCTGGGATCCAGAGTATTTCCTAAATGGAAAGGAAGATATGAACAGTTTTTAACATGTTCTGTCGTAGTTATGTCATTCTTACTGTTGACTTGACCAGAGTCTGCATCATCCCAATCTTGAGCTCCCAGTTCGGATGACTCTCACTGCTGTTTGCTAATTATAAGGCCTACCTTTGGTAAGGCAGAGATAGCTGTTCCCTCTTAAATCAGCCACTCTTCTTGCCCAGACAACTGGAGTGGGGAATGGAGAAACTCATTGCTTTCTCTCACAGTCTCTTGCTTCTCTTTATTGCTAAGCCAAGGGGTTAATGAAATATACAAAGAGCTCTTGTTTGAAAGAAATTAAAATCAGAGCATAATCACATCAAGGCCTGCTACTCAAAAATTCGTGATCCCTTGAACATAGCTCATATAAAGTGTTTTCAAAAGAGAGTTTGATAGGCAAGTTATCAAGTTATACTTAACCAACTTAAGGGAACAAAGTATTTTCATGCATTTTAGTTGGGTGTTTCTATTGCCTTTATACAGTGGGGTTAAGACTTATAATTATTCTTATCATTGAAGGAAGTCCTGAAGGATCTGCATCAAACAGTGAAACTACCAACTCATTATGTGTACTTGTGGGTAATCTGTGGATATGTTGTAATTCAAACTTTTCTAGCAAATTTAAACTATAATGTGTCTCAACCAGCCCAAATTAATGAGGCTTTGGAGTATGACCATTGAATCTAATTACTAACAAGACCTAAATGAAGTGCAAAGCAAAACTGACTTTGGCTTTGAATTCCAGGTCTGCGCTGGCTGTATGACCTCGGGCAAGTCATTTTTTTTCTCTAGTATAAAATGAGATTCTGATATGTAGGTTACAGGGCTGTTTTGAGAAGTAAATGAGATTACTTATATAAAGTGTCAGTACAGAGACAGTCACATAAATAGGAGGCATTCAATAAAGGAAGCCATTAGTAGTAGTACAAAAGATGTCTCATTCTATAAATAATGGATGTATTTCAAAAATGTTGCCAGTAAACACCCTTTTGTTTTATGGATAATGAAACATTAACTAGATTAGGGAGCTGATTTTTAAGGAAGCCGATAGTAAGCCCTCTTTTGTAAATGGACAGATCGTTTCCAGTTTTTCTTGTTTTTATAGCTCATTTTTGAATAACAGGATTTCTTAAAATGGAACACACCTGTTCAGAATCCCAAGCCCAGCACCCTCATCTCTTACCTCTACTTAAAAAACAGTTTGATTCTCGGGTTGGCAATGTTGGTGTAACAAACAAACAACAAAATGCCCCTTTGATGTGACTGTAATATATAAGGGAGCTCCAAGGTCTCTGAGTCAAAGGAGCTAGTGGCTCCTGGGAGAACAGGGCTGATTTCACTAATCTCATTCTTCATCAGGCTTTGAAGGGAAATCTCACAAAAACATTTAGGTTAAAATGAAAGCAAAAGTGCTCTCGCTGTAATAAGGATCTCAATTATAACCCTAGGAGAGCAGAGGGGCACCGGATTTGATAGAAAGAACCCTTTTAGCACATCCGTCTTTGATAACATCTAATGCAAAGAGTGAAGCCTTTGAAATTAGTTGGTCAGTCCAAAGCAGTTTTTAAATAATGCAACTGAGGACTTTTTGTTATATAGAACAGTCCTTACTGGTGCTGACTTTGAGGGTTGAATTAATTTTTCATGAGATCTTGGAACTCCAGGCTACCTTTCCAGCCTCTTCTGGTTTCTCAGGACTTTTTTCTAATGTGTAGGGTGATTAAAGTGTTTCTGTATGAAGGTATTGAGGGGCTCTGTTTGTCACTGTCTGGAAGTGTGATTCTGGAGAGTCTGAGAATTCTCCAGTAGGCCCTTATGAACTGGACCGTTCTACGATATCCATTCTTCATCTTCCATTTTCCTTGCCTATGCCCTGTGTACAGCACTATACATGCAATCATCAAACCAAGAAGACAGGTGGGAGAAGTATACTTCACTCTTGCAGAGAAGTGCCTTTTTTAGAACTGCAAGATTTAAATGAGGGAAGAGATCAATAGCTTATTTTTTCCTATTCATTTCCAGGAAGGGATCTTGGCACCCTATACCTATCCACTTGGGTTCCTAAGAGGAACTATCTTTCATGCGTCTGATTGCTGGAAATAGGGTCTTGTCTAACAGAAGTGGAAAGTACTGACTTCATTGTTAGCCTTAGAGAGTAAACTCAGCTGCTTTATTTTCTGAAGCATCTCCCAAATATTCTAATCTACCCAGATTGCTTCTGTTCTTCAAACTCCTATAATATATATTTGTAGCAGAAAAAAAGTAGAAAATAGCTTTAAGCCTGCCTTTCTTTCCCAACATTTCATTATAAGAATTGAAGAATATCTGACATTTACTTATATAACTGCATTGGGGAAAGAAGGAAGGACAGGCACTGTAGGACTAATTATTCTATGGAAGCTTTAGTGTAAGTGCTGAGAGCGCTGTAAATGTAATGGACAAGAGGAAAAACTCTGAATGCCTTCTGAACAGCCCTCCCTGCTGTCTCCCTCTCAAATCAAATCCATGATAGATGCCACTCTGCTGTACTCCCATGGTATCCAGTACTCGGCTCCATCCGGCACTCATCATACTCTGTTGTGATTACCTGTGTGCATGTTTGTCACCTCCACTAGACTGAGATCCACGAGAACAAGGACTGTGTCTCATTCACATCTTTATCCCCAGTGCTCAGCATACAGCCTATGTGCTCGGTATATGTTTGTCGAATAAATGATTGAGCAAATGAGTGAGAGAGCCATGTGAAGTAGTTGGGGCCACGTCTCAAAAGAAGTGTTACTGAAGAAATATTAGGTGAATATTCCAGATATCAGAATTGATTTGAATGATATTGTACTTCTGAAACCTACCAGAGTTTGGGCATATGATACTAGGAATCATGGAAACAGTGACAAATGTGGAATATTCATCCAGTAAACAAATTGTGGGTAGCTGAACATTTTTGCAACTCTCTTCATATTGTATTGACAGTACACCTATGAATCACTCCCTTCTTCAGAGTTTATCAGTCTCACATTAATGCATCAATCATCATTTGCAGAGGTGGGGAGTAGGAGAAATGAGCCAGCTCTAAGAAAGATTGCCGCTGTTTATGGGTAGCCAATCGGCAATGGGCCGATGCCTATTGGTAGGATTCTTCAGGTCATAATGTACATGCACAAGACCTTTTTTTCCTTTCGAAAAGGGATAATTGATTGAGGTGAGAAGATTGGAGAGTCCTAGGAGATTTTTAATCCAGTGCCATCACGCAAAGCTTACTACATCGGTAAGACAGTTCCATAGGGGAATGGAGGAGTAATTGAGATGCCACACCAGCTGGAATCCAGATGAAGATACATTTGGAAGCTTAATCACAATCATGTTCTACACTAAATATTCATCCGTCTGTCTCCCAAAGAGGAGAGGAAATTAAGTTGTCAAGGGCAGGATGGGGATGAGGGTTTAGCTGAAAGAAGAAACCCACACCATATCCTTAATCTCTAAATATGCAAGACTGTCTTAAATGGTTGAAGCAAGGGCTCTTCTTTCCAGTTTTATTTCCTGAGAAATATTTGAGCTGTTTATACACAATTTTGTCAGCTTTACAGTTACCAAAATGGACTGTTAAGATAACTTAGCCTCCTCTCTGTGGGATAAATACAGATGAGCAATGCCATCTCAAAGGAAAAAATGCTTTATTGAGCCAATATAGAAAAGTATTAAAGTTGTGTAAACATGCAGGAAGAAGCAAGGGAATTCCTAACAGAGCTGACGGGCTGTGATTGCACATGCCTTGATATACTCTGTCCCAAAAGTTGAATGAAACCCTGGATGTGGTCGATAGGAATTAGATTACGTGTTGTGAGGGCTTTTTTTATTTCCAAGTTAAACTGTTTATATCTCATCTAAATGGTCTCATGGCATCTAAATTTTATTTCAAATCATGATTTCAAAAATATTTGTTGCTGCTATATGGTTGCTGCTATACACTAAATGATAGGGTCCTTTGAAATTCTGACTCAACAATGTGAATCAAACATTGGCTTTTGTTAAAAGGGATAGTGAAGTTCAGTATTGTATTGTGCCCTGAGGCGCTTGCATTAGGTAGGGTGCCTTTGGCTGCAAGTAACAGAACAATCCCTGTTTGAATTCGTTTTAATAAGGCATTGTACTGTATCACGTGATAAGGAGTCGTTTGATAGGGGTTGCTCCAGCTGTAAGATGTCCTGATTACACGGGACATCATGTCATATGTCAAGTCAGTGTTGGGACTCCATCCTGATACTTTGATTAGTGGTGGTGGAAGGAAAGGGTATATTGTTTTTCTATTTCAAGACAAAGAACTTAACTCCTGGCCGGGTGAAGTGGCTCAAGCCTGTAATCCCAGCACTTTGGGAGGCTGAGGAAGGTGGATCACGAGGTCAGGAGATTGAGACCATCCCGGCTAACATGGTGAAACCCCGTCTCTACTAAAAAATACAAAAAATTAGCCAGACGTGGTGGCAGGCGCCTATAGTCCTAGCTACTCAGGAGGCTGAGGCAGGAGAATGGCATGAACCCGGGAAGTGGAGCTTGCAGTGAGCTGAGATGGCGCCACTGCACTCCAGCCTGGGCGACAGAACAAGACTGCATCTCAAAAAAAAAAAAAAAAACACAAAAAAAAACTTAACTCTTACGGAGCACTGTTTGGTTATGCCGAAGCCTGAAAGTAGCCTTCTCTCTCTTTAAATGCAAAGCCTGTACCCCCTCAGGGTAATGTACTTCCTCTGTTTCTTTGTGGTTATCTTGGTGTGCTGCCTTTCCCAGTGTGCAACACCATCCTCAAACTGGGTCTACAATATGGCACATGTATACATATGTAACTAACCTGCACGTTGTGCACACATACCCTAAAACTTAAAGTATAATCAAAAAAAAAGATGACTGAGGGATGTCCTGGCCATCCTATCCCGATGTTTCAATCCCCAGCAGAAGAAGGGGGTCATCTTTTCTCCATGCTTTTTTCTTAGGAGGGAGTAAACTTTTCCTAGAAGTTCATCAGTTGGACTTCTTCTCACTCAAAACCTACCCAGGCCAGCCCCTTGTGATTATTTTATGGTGGTCTTTGCTTGGAGGTGGAGGTAGGAACACAGCCATTCTCTTTGTACTGTGTGTCATATGAACAAAGCATAGCTCCCTGTGACACCACTGAACAATGTGGTGCCATAGAACGCAGGCTGTGGAGCCGGACAGTCCTGTACCTGAATCCCATCTCCATCACTAAATAGCAGCGTGACCTTGGCAAATCGCGTAGCCTCAGTGAGCTTCACTGCCTCTTGGGTAAATATGGGTGTGAACACCAGTCCCACACAGAGCTTGGAGAATTACAGCATGGAGCACAGGAGAAGCACTGCTCAGTCATTCTTCCTCATCCACCTATACCTTTCCATAGAGAGCGTCATGGTGCCAACTCGTTACCTAATGCACTTTTTTAAAAACCTAAGTATAGGTCTTCCTTTTGTAAACCCCATCTTCTTATTTACACATATGTTATGGTATAAAGTATAATTTGATTGAACGTATGTGCATATACCAGTATTTGGTGTGAATGTATTCCATATGTGTACATTGTAATATGTGTATATATGTTATAATTCATACACATATTCAATCAGCAGTTCCATATTGAGAAGATATTCTTTGCTCCCTATTGTACCAGGCATTCTAGTTGTTCTGGTTTAATGATAATCAAATGAGGTCCACAGACCCGTGCCAGTTAGCAAACTGTGTGTTACTGGTCTATGACAAGAAATTTACATTAAGCATTTAGACACATTTATAGTCATTTGACACTACTAAGGCATCCTAGTCCATGTTCATTTTTCTAATCATTTTGATTATACAAAAGTATTGGCACATGAGAGGTTGGAAATTTTTAAAAAAAACGAAAAATTCTGTATCATTTGAGAAGCTTACTAGGATAGACACATACTGAAGATACTCTTGGCCTTCCAGGCACTAAGGTTTATTTGGAGTGAAAAGAGATTGTTATACAAAGTTGTTAAACAATAGTGTAAACACAGTCGTGAAAAAGAATATCATGAGGCAGCTGTAAATGGCCCAGTGCGCCACATCAGTGGCTGCGGTAACACTTGCCACAGATGTCCGGAGGACGAGGTCACAGTGCGGCAGTCTCCTTAAGCAGGTGGACTTGTTTTGATTTCCCCTGCGTCCCAGGCCTCCCGTCAGGGCCTACTCTGTCCCCTCTCACTCAGCAGCCTGGCGGGTTAATCTCCCGGTGAGCGAGAGCCTGTGAATGAAGCTGGATGGAGTTATATGTCAGACTGCAACAGGCATGCACTAAACATCTCGCTCCATCATCCTTGACGAGGCTTTGATGTTAGCGTGAAACACGTCCAATTACACGAGACATCATGTCATGTGTCAAGTCAGTGTCGGGGCTCCATCCTGACACTTTAATTAGTGGAGGTGGAGGGAAAGGGTGTATTATTTTTCTATTTCAAGGCAAAGAACCTGACTCCCACTGAGCACTGTTTGGTTATGCCCAAGCCTGAAAGTAGCTTTCTCTCCCTTTAAAAACAGAGCCTGTGCTGCTTAGGGTAATGGCCATTGTCTCCACTAACGAATAAAGCTATGGGCCAGTAAACCTAGTCTACCAGGAGCTGCTTTGTGAGCTACCCAAGCTGCCAAGTGTTCTCATCTTCAGCAACATAAATGCTTAGTAATTATGGACTTTGTTTCTTGACATTAAAAAGTGACTACTAATGCTCTTGTGTATCTCACAGGAGTATTAGTTGTTGAAGTTGAAGTAGTGCCCCTGGCAATGCCTTAGAGGCACGAATGAGACTACATGAATAGGCACGATGGAGGTGGGGGCTGAGTGGAGAGAGAGGGTGCAGTTAGGGACCTCTGCTCAGAAGAGCCCTTGGTCAATTAGCAGTGGTTTGTCCCACACCTGAAAACATCTTGTTTTGCTTGTCCCACTATGAGCAGGTGTTAAGTGTTGTGGTTCAGGGATATATTCCACCTAGAAAAGTGTCTAGGCATGAACACAGCTCTTTGCCATTTGTGAAGATGGCCCTGGGTAATGAGAAACCAGCGCTTTGCTCTCTGGTCCCGGAAGAAGGTCGTCCAACTTAATACCGAGTGAAATCTCTGAACGTCAATAAGCTGCATTCATTTTGACATCTAGACTCCTGTGTAATTAAGATCTCAGGTCTGGCGTTTGGTTTATCGAGCATGTGTCAATTCTCATTTACATAAGACTTTGGTTTTTCCCACATCTCTGCACAGACGCCGCCAAAAAAAAATTACTATTAACAAGGAGAGGGCTGAGGATAGAGTTACACAGCCCATCGTGTCTCTAATCCCTGCTTAACATTTCCCTTAAAAAGAACATTGCCCTATTCGGAAATTAAATGCTGTGCGTTTAGATGTTCTTTATGGAGGGAGAGGGGAGGTAGGTTTTCCACTGCTTTATATTGAGCTTGAAAAACATCCGATTTCATGCCCCTTATTCAACTGTGAAGCAGAATTTGATGCATAATTGGAGGGTGGTTTCTTTATCTCGCTCTTAGAAAACAACTGGCTGAAGCTTCTCTCACCTCCCTGTAGCTGGATGTTAAAAGCTGAGGCTGGCCTCACAGATTCCCTAGGTGTATTCATCTAGTTCTGTTTATTCAAACTGAAGTCTGCTGGGTGTAACTGGATCCCACGAAGGAGGAAAGGCACTTCAGGGACTGCTGGAAACCATCCTTCCCTCTATTTGGAGCTTCCTCCAAGGCAAGGGCGATGCGGACCCAACACTTTGGATGCCTCTTCTTCTTTCCATGTTAATGGCTACAAAGCAGATGGGTTTATTTTTGCAACTCAAATGAGAAAAAACATATTTGAAAGAAGTTAGGGCACTTTCACAGGACCACACATGGAGTTGGTTATATGACCTGGGAAATAGGACAGTCTTTATAAGTCTTCATTTTCACATCAATAAAATGTGCTCGTCTGTAAAATTAGGGATGGGGAAAGAAGTCTAATAAAAAGGCTCAGAGAAAGGAGATGCTGGAGTTGATGTAACAGGATTCAAGACTCTACGATATTAACTGTTTCAAGTAGAAAACCATCAAGAAAGGATAGAAATTTAGGATTGCTTTCAAGGAGCCTCTCATTCCAGATTTACTACTTAGTACTGTGTGACCTTGGGCAAGTGACTGTACCTCTCTGGGCCTCAGATGCCTCATCTTGGAAATAGATTATCGTGGTACTCACTTTGTAGTCTTGTTGTGAAGAGTAAATGAGGTAATTCTTTTTTTTTTTTTTTTTTTTCCAGATGCAGTCTCACTGTCACCCAGGCTGGAGTGCAGTGGTGCGATCTTGGCTCACTGCAAGCTCCACCTCCTGGGTTCATGCCATTCTCCTGCCTCAGCCTCCCGAGCAGCTGGGACTACAGGTGCCCGCCACCACGCCTGGCTAATTTTTTGTGTTTTTAGTAGAGACGTGGTTTCACCGTGTGAGCCAGGATGGTCTCGATCTCCTGACCTCATGATCCACCTGCCTCGGCCTCCCAAAGTTTTGGGATTACAGGCGTGAGCCACTGTGCCTGGCCTAAATGAAGTAATTCTTATAAAGCACTTGGAAGAATACTGACATAAAGTTGGCCTTCAATGTTGCCATCAGTAGTAGCAGTATTACTCTTACTACTACTGTTAATATTATTGATCAAGATGACCCTCTCCTCTGGATAACATAACAGTGATTGTCTCCACTATGGCCAGGTTCTTCTCTTACAGTCTATCCACAATATTTGTCTAATCCTAGAAGTTCTAGAAGGCATCCAAGAATCTAAGTTAGTGGTTCTAAGTCTCAGTTCACATAAAAATTATCTTAAGGATGCTGGGCACTAGTGGCTCACACCTGTAATCCCAGCACTTTGGGAGGCCAAGGTGGGCAGATCGCTTGAGCTCAGGAGTTCAAGACCAGCCTGGGCAACATGACAAAACCCCGTCTCTACCAAAACACACACACACACACACACACACACACACACACACACACACACACTAGCTGGGCGTGGTGGCTTGTACCTGCAGTCCCAGCTACTTAAGGGGCTGAGGTGGGAGGATCTCCTGAGCATGGAGAGGTCAAGGCTGCAGTAAGCAGTGATTGCAAGCCACTGCACTCCAGTCTGGGTGACAGAGCAAGACTCTGTCTCAAAAAAAAAAAAAAATCATAGGAAATGTTTAAAAATCCTGAGGCTTGGGTCCCATGAACTGAGATTTTTATTTATTTGATCTAGCGTCTAGCTGGGCCTTATGACTTTTAGAAACACTCCAGGTGATTCCAAGGCACCACTTGGCCAGTGGAAGGCCATGTTAATTTTATATTGAAAAAGACCTAGAATATAAATGGTTTACTAGTCAACTAATTTTCCACAAGGGCACCAAGAGGACACAATGGGAAAAGGATAGTCTGTTCAATAAATGGTGCTGAGAAAACTGAATTTCCACATGTAAAAGAACGAAATTGGACCCTTAACTTATACCACTCACAAAAAATAGACTCAAAATGGATAAAAGACCTACATGTAAGATCTGAAACCATAAAACTCCTAGAAGAGAACACGGGGAAAAAGCTCCTGGACAATTGATTGGCCTTGACAGGTTTTTTTTGGATATTGCACCAAAGGCTCAGGACACAAAAGCAAAAGCAAATAAATGAGAGCACATCAAACTAAAAAGTGTCTGCATAGCAAAGGAAATAATCAACAAAATGAAACAGCTTATGGGTTGGGAAAAAAATATTTACAAGCCATATATATGGTAAAGGGTTAATATCCCAAATTCATAAAGAACTCATACAAAAGGCTGGGTGTGGTGGCTCACGCCTGTAATCCCAGCACTTTGGGAGGCTGAGGCAGGTGGATCACAAGGTCAAGAGATCAAGACCATCCTGGCCAACATGGTGAAAACCCGTCTCTACTAAAAATACAAAAAATTAGCCGGGCGTGGTGGTGGACACCTGTAGTCCCAGCTACTCGGGAGGCTGAGGCAGGAGAATCACTTGAACCCGGGAGGTGGAGGTTGCAGTGAGCCGAGATTGTGCCACTGCACTCCAGCCTGGTGACAGAGTGAGACTCCATCTCAAAAAAAAAAAAAAAAAAAAATCATACAATAGTGGAAAAACCACATAACCCAATTTAAAAATGGGCAAAAGACCTGAATAGGCATTTCTACAGAGAATATGCAAAAATGGCCCACAGGTATATGAAAAGGTGCTCAACATCATTCATCATTAATTAATTATTAATCAAAACCAGATGAGATACCACCTTACACCCATTTGGATGGCAACTATCAAGTCACAAGATAACAAATGTTGGTGAGGGTATGAAGAAAAGAGAACCCTTGTACATTGTTGCTGGGAATGTAGATTGGTCCAGCTGTTATGTAAAATAGTATGGATATTCCTAAGGAAATTAAAAATAAAATTACCAGATGACCTAACAATCTCTCTTCTGGGCACATACCCAAAGGAAATGAAATCACCGCCTCATAAAGAGACCTGCATGCCTGTGTTCACTGCAGCGTTGTGACAGTGAACATAGGCAACAACCTAAGTGTCCGGTGACAGACAAATGAATACACTGTGGTATATGTCTAGATTGGAATATTATTCAGCCCTAAAAAAGATCTTGCCTTTGCCACAACATAGACGAGCCTGGAGTGCACTGTGTTAAGTGAAATAAACCAGACAAAGAAAGAAAAAGATTGCATTGTTTCAAGTATATGTGGAATCTAAAAACAAACAAACAAACAAAAACCCAACTGTACAGAAATAGAGAACAAAACAGTGATTACCAGGCAGGGGATAGCTAGGGAGGAGATGGGAGATGGAGGTCTGTATTAAGTAGGGAGGGTGGCCAGGTCTGGAGACCTAATGTACAACCGGAAGACTATGGGTAAGAAAACTGTGCTATATTTGGGATTCATGCTACAGGAGTAGATTTCAGCTGCTCTTGCCACCAAAAAAAAAAAAAAAAAAAAAAAAAAAATCAAGGAAAAATGGATACTTATGAGATGATGGCTATGTTAATTTGCTTCACTGTGGTATCTTTTTTACTATGTGTTTGTATCCCATATCATGTTGTTCCTTCAATATACACAATAAAATTCATTTTACAAAATGAGTAGAATAAGCTTTTGTTTCCCAAGCATAGTATTCATGAGTGTTATATGAGGTCCTGTTAGATAGTTTAGATTATATGTTAACAGTCCTCCAACTATTTTCATGTGAATTAGGACAAAAAAAAAAATAACTAGCAGATCGACTCCATGACTTCACATGTAGTATTCTTTACACTGAAAAAAAAAAAAACGAAACTAAAACATGGAGGGGAATCTATATAAGTTCAACTTAAGTAAAACATCAAGTTACTATTTACACATATATGGTAAAAAAAAAAAATGACTGGCACATAAGTGAGTAAGGCTTAGAAGACATGGTATGAACTAAATATGACTATTTTTATAATTCTGAGCAAATGTGATTGTTCTAAAGATTAAAGTGATTTTTATTCATCAATTGTAAAGTTTCTAGCATAAAAAAGGTAGATTTATGAAATACAAATCCAAACTTCTAACCTAAGGACACAAAAGTCTTGGTTTCCAGTAACTTATTTTCAGGACACAGAGATAAAAAAAATGTTCTTTCATATTTACTCAGAGCTGTAATTATAATTACTTTGTATATATGGACATGGTTAATGATAATGACATCCTGTATTTTCATAGTACCTTCCCATTTACAGTCGACTTTCACTGACATGAATTAGGCATCCTAATAACCCGCTGAGTTTGGATTATTAGCCCCTTGTCACAAATGGGGAAAATGAGGGCCAGAGGGGTTGGTTATGTGGCCTGTCCTACGTTACACATCCAGGACATGGAGGTGCAGGATTGGAACCACATCACCTAATCCAAAGTAGTGCTTTTTATTTTCTACCATGCTTACTCTTCTAAGTCTTGTCCATGCTGTCTGCTCTCTCTTCCACATTCAATTAAAAAATCCCTCAAGGGCACCTCTAACTGTGTAACAAAGGAAAACCACCTAATCATCTCCTCCCAGCTCTTTTGTTTATGCTTTTGACCAACTCCAATTTGTTCTCCAGACAATAGCCGAAGTCATCATGATAGTCAATCAATCATGATACCTCTTACTTAAGTCCCTGCAATGACTACCCAACTTGCTGTGTATGAATTCGATGCCCTGCTCCTCCTGACCCCGTCTCCCATCTCCTACTACTCTGTTCTTGCTCACTGGGCCCCAGCCAGCTGTGTCTCCTCTGGATTTCTCAACCAGGACAAACACTTGCTGCATCATGCCAGACGGTGCTGTTCCATGCAGCAGGTGTGCCCTCCCAAGAAAATCTAGCTTCGGTGTAACCTCCATGAACTGTAATTCCCTGACCTCCTGTTTGGGTGAGACCCCACTCCTTGCTCTTTCATGCAACAAACAGATCTTTCCTGCATAGCTTTTATTACGATTTGGAATTATTTATTGGTAAGATTATCTGTTTCAGATCTATCAGAAGGCATCTTCTATGAGGGTAGAGGTGAAATCACCTCCATATTTTTTTTCTACCCCTCTAGTCCCAGACGCAAACACAGTACTTAGCACATAGTAACTCAACAAATATTTGTTGAATTAATGAACAGAATATGAAATGGCTGAGGGGTAACTTTCCTACTCTGAGGACAAAGTGCAGTTTTCACTGCCTACACTGATCACAAGCCAGGGAGTCTGAAATGCTTGCAAAAACTTCAAGGCTTCCCAGGGCCATCTGCAAGGATATTATCCTGAAGCCACTGCTTACACCTGACTAGTACGACTACTATGCTGGATACTCAAGACAGGAAATGAGGACCTGTCAGGGGCTTCTAAGTTGCTATTCAGGAGAGGAAAGCTTTTAGTTAAACCAGTGGTAGAATACCCTGAGCCCTGTCTGCCTCGCCTTTCCAAGAAGAAGCATGCAAGAGCCCGAGGGTCACAATTTTAAAACCACATATCTAATAGATAAATACAGAACCAGAAATTAGAAAGCCGTATTCTATTCCCAACCATACCACGTTCTACTTCCGAGCCAATAAGTTGCTTTTATTGGCCAAACTTCAGTTTTCTTACCATTAAATAGATGTAATATTGTTTATCCTCCTTAACTCATATGATTGTTTTGTGGATAAAATAAGACAAAGATGAAAATATTTTGAATAGGTAGAAGTACTTTACAGTATTATTTGAGCCTGAGTTACACAGATAGGGTTTCTTCTCCTTAGAGGCTTCAAAATTAAGGAAGATGCACTGATTTCCATAGATACAAAAACATTCCAAAGACATAAACACAGTGAAAGGACAAATGCATTATTCATTGGCATTATGGATTTAGGTGGGTGGTCAGAAAGAAACAGTGTTCTATAATAGATCTCCGCCTGCGGATCAGGAGTCCTGGGTTTGAACCTACCTTGTCATCCATTTACTAGCTGTGCCAGTTTGGTAGGTCACAAAATCTCTGAAAGCCTCAGTGGCCCCCATCTGTAAATTGAAGAGGGAGGGTGAGAGTGGGTGGGAAGTGGAGAAATAGTAATGATATTATGATAGTTTGGAGGATCAAATGAAAAGTGGACTAGGAAAGGCCTTTGGAAACAGTGAAGTGACTTAGCAATGCAAGGCATTAGTATTATCCAAGCATTTGTGTGTTTAGCCAAGGGGCAGTCAGAAAGTCGTCAGGGAAGGCTGCCCAGAATAGCAAAGAAGTATCAAGAATGACTTAAATAATAGCAGGGAGAGGGCAGGTCTAGTCAAAGAACAAGTTTCAGGGGAGGGTGCAGCCTAGGAGAGGGCAGGTTTCCAAGGGGCTGGCAGGACCCAGCCAAGGTGGTGGGTAGCTCCCCTCTTTCCAAAAGCTGAAGTGGTTCCTAAAAGCCCTGGATTACAAGGCAGAGGACAGCATTCAGGTGGGGAGAATGTGTTAAAAGGATCTCAAGTACACTCAAGGATGTTTGTTTTTGATTAGAAGATGAGGATTAACTGGATTAATGGAGCCTCATGAATGGAGAATGTGCAGATGCTAATTGCCCCTAAATTACAGTGGATTCCATTGGAATTGTGTATTCCTCTCCACAAACCCAACCACTGCCTGCCTGCTCTCTCCTTCCCTCCCTCCCCACACAATGCTAAAATGAATGTGTCATTGTAACTGAGATGAAAGGCCTTGAAATTGATTTTCTACTTCCTTCCAAGATCTCTTGTTTGCAAAACACAGGAAGATGTAAGTTACTAATCGAGTTCCAGTTTATTTCAAACAAACAAACAAAAAATGTATTCTAGGGATTCAGTTGCTGGAAGGCTTTTTCAAGCCCTCATTTCTTGCTTAGTTTCTCTGCCACACCAATTAACTTAGTGGTTCTCAAAGTTGAGTGCACACCAGAATTACCTGGAAACCCTGTTAAAACAGATTGCTGGGCCCCACCCCACAGTCTCTGATGCAGTAGGTCCGAGGAGAGGACCCAAAATTTGCATTTCTAACAAGTTCCCCCAATGACAGCTATAGTGCTGGCCCAGGGCCACCCTTTGAGAACAAATGAACTAGGAAAATATCAGAGTATTTTAAGGAATCTGGCTAACAAAAAGAGTGCAAACCTCAAAGTCCTGTGGCTATGTCTTCTCGGAGAAAGTGGTGCAATCACTCAGAATTCAACAAATACCTACTGTTTCCTAAGTCAGCTATGCATAGATTCTCTTGGATTTGGTGAAGCTTACGGATAGCTTATGGGATCAACTTGCTTTGCTATTGCATGGGAAATGCAGAAGAATTTGCAACTGGGGTGTTTTCTTCCTGGAGTCCCCACCCATTCCTCCTCCTATCTGGTTTGCACACCCCCTCTTCTGTTGATTATACATGTCAAGTGGTGTTTTCACAGCTCCACAGCCATCACACACCTCCAGACCCCTGAACACTCCCTTTGCCTTGAAGCCACCAATATATGTCCAGGCCTATTCTACATTTATTTATAGGTCACTTTTGTGCAAGGCCTGGGCTGCTTTTGCTAGTGTTGCCAAAATTTTGGAAAGCAGTGGAATCAACACATTTTGGGTTCTAGCTCTCACCTTGCCTCTAGGTTACCATGTGATTGTCGAAAAAATACTTAAACCTCTGGGTAGGATTTTACTCATCAATTAAAGAAGTTATTAGTCTAGCTAGCTTAGTGGTTCTTCTCCTTTTGGGGGAAATGAAAATGAAATGTATGGACCTCTTCCTAGGAAAGTGGACATGTGCAAATAAATGCAAAATATTGCTCACAATTGTTAGACTGCCTGAATAATAATATAGTAATAACAAGCAATGATGATTATAGCATTTATTAAGTGCCAACTATGTGCCAGGCACTGTACAAGGCACTTTACATGTGTTATATTTAATCCTTGCAAGAATCCTAGGAGGTCACAATGCCCAGTTTCTAGATGAGAAAACCGTGGCAAAGACAAGAGAATTCATCTCAGTTCACCCAGCTGGTAAGCGCACAATGGGATTTGTGGGAGCCTACACAGCCCTGAAGCTGACCAATGGTCCTCTGGGACATGTATGACCCTGAGTTAAGAGTAGACGCAGTTCTAGGTGATAGTTCAAGTCCCCCTGAGCTCTGAAGTACATAATTCACAGATTTTTTTTTTTTCCCATCACTAATAACCAAACATTTGGAGAAATAACCCCTGGCATTCTTAAGGCTTCTGTGCATCAGAGGTGGTCACAAGGTTTACAATTTAAAGAATATTTGGGGATTAAACTCAGAAAACCAAGCCACCACAGTGCCACACTTCTGTCTTTTGTGGGTGTCTTAAAAATGAATGCTTTCTTATCGTAGTTTCTGACCAGAGGCAGCTTCCTTTAAAGGCTAAAGGAAGCAGCCCGTCTCAGCTCCAGCAGGTCAGTAATGTGACGAGATAAAGGGCAGTTCCTTAATGAAAACCACTCTCCCTCCTGCCAGTAAAGGAGTTTTCTTAGTGCATTTCAAGTCCTCTAACACCTCTTCCCAGATCAATGGCTTTTCATAAATGCACCAGGAGATCTTTGAACCACTAATGCTTCAGGGGCTGTTTAGGTTTGGAGTCAAACTGTTTAATATAACTCTCCTCCAAGTCTGGCTCTATTGAAAGGTCTCAGGAAACAAGGCAGGAGGAATGTATAAAAAGCAGAACCGCTGCGGCCAAGTGACGTCCCTCGCCTGCCTCGGCCTTCTGTTTATACAAGCAAATTGGACCAGGCTTATTACATTCAGGAGGGGGAAGGAGGAATAAAGTGGCATATGGGTCACGGCGGAGAGTTGAGTGAAAAGGAATCAGATTAAAGGTGCCTTTTGATTGGAGTGGAGCAAGTCATTTGCTTAGGAAGCGGGGAAAGCCATTGATTGACTTCATCAACAGATTAAGCACTACAATAAAAACTGCATTGTGCTGGAGAAGTGTGGGCCAGACTTCTGCATGTTCCTGGGAAAATGAGTGCCATTTAATTTAAATACTTGTTTAAACACTTACGCTAGAGGAAGTGTCTTTTCAAAAGGGACATGACTATGAGCATCAAGAAATATTATAACAAAGGCTAGTCTTTTCTATCTAAAGCTGTTCCCACACTTGCTTTCTCCAAGCCCTTGGTAGGAATGATAAAATAATCAGAAAGGTGGGCATTTCCTAAATGTAGCCTGTGCAGCACTGTGCTATGTGCTTTACCTCATCTACTGTTACTAACTCTACTTTCAGATGGGAAAACTGAACCCCAGGGCACATGAGCAACTTGAGCAATATTATACCAATCTGGGATGGGCACCTCAATTTTCTTTTACTCAACCACCATCCTAAGTCTGTCTACCCATGGAAACATGATCCACTGTCATCTAATGTTTCATTCTTTTACTCCTAAAGATCTATGACTTACTGGTAAATTTCATGTTGTTCCACACAATATCCCCTCATTCAGACTTCAAGCCTCCTGAGGGCAGGGACCATGTAGTTTTAAAATTTTGCCTTCCACCACAGTGCCTGGTACAGTAGAGACCTGGTCCCTATCCTTTATTCTTGAAAAGTCAATCTAAAAGTAGCTCTAGAGTTTTGGGGTGGGTTTTTTTTTTCTGATGATAGTATTCATAGAAGCTCACTGCATAAAATATTGTTTTAGGCGCTAAAATTATATAAAAATTAAAAAAGCCAGCAGAGGTAACAGTCATTAACATTTCAGTATATAGCCTTCTACTCTTTTCCTTATATACATACACATGTAAAGATATATTTTAAATAGGATTATGCTATGCATGTTGTTTTGTAGGCTGATTTTTTTTGCTAACAATACATCATGGGCATCTTTCCATATCAATAACTCTAGATCTTCAGCAGTCTGTATATCATAATCCTGCACGGTGTTCCATTGTGTGGTTGTGTCATGATTCACTTAGTTCACAATGAATGGACTTGGGTGGTCCCTGATATTTGCTTGTCTCTGCAAAGATGGAGCAGACATTCCTGAACTTACAAATTGATGCTCCTCTTTCAGTCCTTGTTCTTGACCCAACTTCTTGAAAGCTTCACACCCACCACATTTGCTTGGATTGCAGTTCTCCTAGAAATGGCAAAACAACATACTTTGTCTATTTCAGGAAGCCTTCTTACAATTTCATTTTTAATATTAAAATTAGGCTGTGGCATTTCCCTTCGAACAGAAGGAAGTCACAGGTGCCCATTTCTGATGCAGTTCTCAGAATATCCTAATCTCCTCTCCTGCTGAACAGTCTCTGCCAGGGAGTCACCACACCCAGGAGCTTAAGAGTCATTTTCATAAATTCCCCATCTATGAAATTGCTGTGGACAGTTAATAAACCCAGAGTCAAAGGCTAATGGATGCCAGCAAGAGCATGGGGAGAGGAGACAGGCTGGTGATTGGGGGATTTGGGAAATTAGCCACTCACCTTTTAAGCATCCTGGGAAATCGCAGGTGGCTATAGCTATGCTAGGGCCAAGCCAGGTATAAAGGCGGAACTAGGGGAGAGTTCAGGCTGGTAGTAACAGATAATACAAAGTGCAGGCCCTGGGAGCCTTATTTATTATTTTCCATCAGCCAAGTGAAGGCAATTTTTAGATTTAGACTTTTTTTTGATGAACTATCACCATGGTGATGGAATTGGAAATTCTTTTCCTGACAACATTGCTGTTAAACCATTTGTTTAATTATTTGCATACCATGACTCTAGGAGGCCCCTAGAGCTGTATGCTTCTCTCTGTACAAAAGAGAGTTAATCTCAGGCATCTCTTAGTTTCCTTACAGCACAGAGATCCAAGTTTTCTATATGCCTCGTCTTTACCAGGTATGGATTGAGGCTCCTGGGGGTTCCACAGAATTCATCTTGCAAAAGATGTTCATGAAAGAACAAGATTGAAGAAAAGAAAGAAGAGCAAGGAATGTACCATCTGTTCTGGGAAAAATGGTTTTGAGCCTCTCTACTTCTTCTCTGGACCCAACAGATTTGGTTTCTGGCACATCACATCTACAGAATCACCTATAGGCCAGAGATGTTGGAAGGAGACTTTCAGTAAGTACCTTCTGGTACGAGCTGGGAACTCTGGAGTCTAAGTTACCTTTTCTATTATGGGGCTGGAGCCATTTCTGAATTCATCCCTTTCCTTCCTTGAATAATAGTGTCTTTAAAATTCCAGATGGATTCAAGATATATTTATGTATTTTAATCCCCTCTCTTAACTCTGCAGCTGACTCCAGAACCATATCCAGAAAGGTCTCTTCTAAACATCCCTCCCTGATTTGGGTCGTGCTTATTAGCGAAAGAGAATGAGCTTGCTTCCTGAGTCTTCCTATACTTTGCCCTGACCCACACTTCCATTCAGACCTGGTCTCTGAAAAATTACTAGCCCCAATTATAATGAACAGTTTCCCCATGAGAAGTAATTTAATTTTGCAAATTGTTGTCCAAGTCATAAGGGTTGGAGGTGTCTGGAGACTTTGGGAGCGGCAGTTGTTCTCTAATCCTGTGGCCCTGTGGGGATACTGTGTACATCAGGGTAGGAATTTCTTCAAGCTGAACCAATGTCTCCTCTTTCTGCCTTTTTCCTTATTTTGTCTCTTTCTTGCATCACTGCTATTCTTCCTTAAAGACAGGCAAGGGGTTGGTGGATTCCAGGCTGTTACCACCCCGCTTCTGGAGGATGTGGTGCGTGTGACAGCTTGGGCAAGGCACAGAGCCCAGGCTGTGTGTGTCACACTCCGTTCCCACCGACAAACACTGCTGCTCGCCTCCCTGTCCAAATCTGATACCACGTATGTTCTCCCGATCCTGTGCTGTTGCTCTGGAAACCAAGGAAGCAGCAGGATCTGGAGTAGGTTCATGGCCGAGTCAACCTTAAAAGTCTCCCAGACGTTTCAGCAACTTCCGGCAGGAAAAATGTACCTGCACCCCCTGCCCAGTGAGAAGTTTTTGACTGATAGCTCTCTCCCCCGTGGAAAAGTTTGCCTCCTGAAGTTAGAGAATGTCTGTCTTCCCACGGCTCATGTTGTGGGCAGGGTAGTATATTGGATGAAGATTCAAACTTCAGGATCTCAGGCAAATTCCAGCCCTGCTGCCTACCAGGTCATGCACATAACAAATAAATAAGAACGTCATCTTATCCCCTTCAAATGCCACTCTGCTTCCTCCCGGGGTGGACTGGCCATCTTGCAGTCTCCACATTGCTGAGTTCCGGTACTGTGTTCACGCTCAATAATCTGCTCTTGGGATTAAGTTCCTGGCTCAGAGGCTTAGCAGCTGGGTGACTGGCATGTTCTTCACCTTTCTGGTCCATCTACTGGTTATTCACCAAAAGGGAGTAATTATGCCTACCTCGAAGCTATGTTTTGAGAAAGAGAATTGCATACATGAGGTCCATAGGTCAGGACACAGCCCCAATATGACCAGCTGGCAGAATCACATTCTCCAATTGTAGCATGCGAATGTTTCCACTGGGAAGAAAAAAATTTCTTTCCCTTTTCCCAGCCTCAGTCTTTCATTCCTTTCGAAAGATGCATCTGACTTCATAATACCAGCTCACCTCTGTCTTTAGAGATAGGTAAAACAGAGTTATAAAACTCAACCCCTGACCCTGTGCCCCACTCCCACCCACACACAGCCATCCCAGCATTATTACCTTTGCTGGCACCAGACAGGTAAGCCCTTCAATATGGTGGAATGTAGGTGGGGGAGCCTAGGAGTTTAGGGCAAAGAAGATGGGTTGAAGATAACAGAAGAGTGAGAGCAGGTAGCTGTGGTGGGAAAAAAAAAAGAACAGAGGGTAGAAATACAAGAGGAATGAGGAAGAGAGCAAGCAAGGAGAATGACCCTATGAAGTCAGCAGCCTCCTAGGTCCACAGAAGTCTGGGGAGAGTTTACTGTAGGCCTCTTCTCAATGCACATATCCTACAACCCAGAGGCCTAGAGCTGTTTCGAAAACAGATGACAGAGCTTTAGTCTTACAATTATCCTTTTAATGAAAATTCCACCCCTCTTTTTTCTTTGAATACAGTCCTAAAAAAATTTCTACACACAGACAAAATAGCTATTTTTCAAGTAACAGAGGAAAACAAACCCCAAACCCACCCATACAACCATGCTCACTCCTCTGCATAGCAGCACTAGGTCCTCACAGAGGAGCTCATACCAAAGCCTGAGTGTTCAGGATCTTCAGTGTGTTGGCATTGTACCTAGTTATATGCATGTACACACTCATGCAATTCCTAAAAAAGACATCCAAAATGATGAAAATATGGCTGGTGTAATAATAACCTGATTAAGAAAGATAGCATGCTTGGATAAGGGAAGTTAGAGCTTCCGTTTCCTCAGGCAACATCATATACACAGAACACATCATGTTAGAGTGGGTGGCACTAGAAGTACAAACAATACTGGACTCTTAGTGAAATGGTGATATATTTTTTTTCTTATTACCTGTTCACCTTTTGCCCATTTTCTTGTGGAACAAAGCAGGGCTGTAAGCTGGGGTGGGTGTGTCCTTTTTGGGTGTACTTAACATGTTTGAGCTTAGAGCGCTCACTCTCTTGTTTCTTGGCTTGGCTTTTGCTCCCCTCGGGAGGATGTCAGGGCACACACTGGACAATGCCACCACTTGTTCTCACGCAGAGTTTCATCTAAAACCATGAGGGGCCTGAAACTTCTTCCTGCCTTTGCTTGTTACCCCCCGCAAAAACCATCACATTTAGTAAGATGCTTTTAGGTGTGAGAAACACACATCTCTGGCTCAACCTTTCTTGAGTTTTCAGTCTCATTGTTTTTAGCTACAGGATCATTTTTGTACAAGGCAAACATAGGAAATACATAGTGGGTGAAAACTCAGTCTACAAGTGTCTGTATCCAAGAAAGGTGACTTTTATTGTTTGTAACAGTTTCTCACTGATGTTCACTTTTCCCTGTTCACAAAAACTAAATAGCAGGCACTTGCAAATAATCCCTCTGCCTCCTTTCCAGGACTGTGTCCAAGTTTCAGAGAGTATAGCGGTGCCCAGCCTAAGGGAGGAGGTAGTGGGCATCTAGTTCATGGAACCTAAGTCTGTCCACCTTGGTGTCCAATGAAATAACCCTTTCTCACTCAATATGCTTCTTCCCTACAATTCTCGAGGGCACAAAAAATCATCCTTTTACTTACTGCCTTGCTCCTCAGCGGCTCTGGGAGACTCTCGAAGGCTGTCTTTCAGGCGATGCCGCTCATTGCCATCATGAAGCCATTCCTCCTTGAATGCTCCTGCAGTGGCATGGAGGCAAGGGAATTCTCAGAGGCTTGCCCCCTGATGTTTTCCCCAGCTGGAGGAATCTTTGGTGGAGGGAGACTCCTAATTCTGACTGATCAAGTATACTCTGAGCACACTTAGGGTTTAGATCTACAATATCCAATAGAACTTTCTGTGATGATGGGTGTGTTCTATATGTGTACTTCCATTACAGTAGCCACAGTCACACGTGTCTAGTATGACCAATGAACTGAATGTTTCATTTTAATTGACCTCAAATAGCTCCATGTGGATAGAGGCTGCCATGGTGAGCAACGCAGGTCTAGAATTTTGAAACTGAGAGACGAAGAATTAATGTCTTTATTCTCTATGCTATCCTGGGACAATTGGTCCTTAAGGCAAAGGTGAATTATATCTGGTCTGCCTAGATACAAGGGAGTATGAGTGTCTTGGAAGGGGCAGCAACACATAGGTTACTATTTTAAAATACTATCTTGGCTGGGCACGGTAGCTCATGCCTGTAATCCCAGCACACTGGGAGGCCGAGGCAGGTCGATCACCAGAGGTCAGGAGTTCGAGACCAGCCTGGCCAACATGGTGAAACCCCGTCTCTACTAAAAATACAAAAATTAGCCAGGCATGGTGGCTGGTGCCTGTAATCCCAGCAACTCTGGAGGCTGAGGCAGGAGAATCACTTGAACTGGGGAGGAGGAGGTTGCAGTGAGCCGAGATCATATCACTGCACTCCAGCCTGGGTGACAGAGCAAGAGACTCCATCTCAAAAAAAAAGAAAAAAGAATACTATCTCACCATAAATACATAAAAATTCATGTTGCTCAAGTTGAATTTGTGGGCAGCCCAGAACCTGCCCCTTGCCCATCCCTTAAGATACTGAGGCACCTCTGACAGATCACAGGCATTCTTGGAAGCTGCTTTGGAAACCTCTGAGCTAGTTATAGCTAAAATCCAGTCTGGTGCTGACATTCCAGGGTGTAGACATCTATATATCTATAGACAGAAGAACTACATCTTCTAGATGAGGAAGTCCTGGCTTCCAAGGTGTAGTGACTTGCCTTAAGCACATAGCTCATTTCTAGAAGGTTCTGAAAGCCAGGTCTGTCACACTCTATTCAGAACACTTTCCTCCCTACTTCATAGTCTTCTATAGGACTCTAACCCTGACACTTCACTGTTCCGTCTCCCCTGGAAATAATGATTTCCTGGAGGAAGGGTTATCTTGCTCTAGCACTGTGTGTGGCAGGGCATCTACTGGTCAGTGATGGGGAAGACAAATTCATTATGTGGGTATTTTAGAAAGTGAGCAGAGACTTCAGGCAAAAGTAGTTTCCGCGACCACTGTCCTCTCTGGTTCTGCGTGTTTCTCTTTCCCCTTTACATAGGTAGCAATCCCTTTACCCACCATCCATGCTTTTGCAGATGGTAAATGTGTTCTGAATGAGAAGATTTCATTCCTTAACTCTAAGTTCTAACCTAAGGAAGGAGGCTCTGTGTTTAAGTTAAATTAATTCAGCTGCTGTAACAAATGAATTTAATACAATGTATAATGACTCAAATTGATTGAGGTTTATTTCTCTCTCAGATAAAGACCAAAATGGCTTTTCTTAATGAGTAGGTGGCTTCCTTCCAAGTAATGATTAAGAGACCCAGATTCCCAAACTCCTTTACTCAATTCATGATTAAGAGTAATCATTAAGAACTCTGCCACTTTCAGCAGTAGGTTCAATGCTAGGTTTGTCAACATCGTGGGGGATCAAACTCAGGGAAGTTTCACGGACCAAGCCAGGCCAATTTCCTCTCCTTGAATGGAACTCAGTCACATGATCAGGACCAACTGCAAAGGAGACTGGGAGATGTAGTCCTAGTTATGTAGCCAGGAAGACAAGGAAATATGTTTGTTCAACTGCCAGCCAGTCTCACTACCCTTCTAAACCAACATTTGGCAAACTTTCTGTAAAAGGCCAGATAGTAAAATATTTTAGGCTTTGTAGGTCATACTGTTTCTCTCTTAACCACTCACCTCTGCCATGATACTATGAAAGTAACCACAGACGATATGTAAAAAAACTAAATGGCAGGACTTCCGATAAAACTTTATTACAAAAACAGGCAGCGGCCAAATTTGTCCTGAGAAATGGCCTTTATTTGTCAGTCTCTGTTGTAGCCCAGGGAAAACACTTATTCCCAAGCAAAACACAGAACAAAGAGCATTTTAAACTATCTGCAAAGAACTGAAAAAGTTATGTCTGTTTTCACTGCTGGAGGCAGTGAAAGAAAATGGATTAAGAGGACATAAAAAGACTCAAACATATTTAATCCTTTATAAAAGAGAAATGTTTTCTGCTGTGCTTTGAAGGAAAAGAGTGATAGCTATAGGAAGAGGACATTTATTTAAAATGTAAATTTCAGGATTCCACCCTTAGTATTTTGGAGTTGGGGCCCAGGAGTCTGCATTTTCCATATGCTCCCCTGCTCATTTTAAGCAAGTGGTAGAGGTAGCAGGTGATCATAATTTGCTAATTGCTGCCAAGCCATCAGTTTTTCTGACATTTGTGGATGTAACTACTTATGAGCCTATGGAATATGTGAGAAATAAGATACCGTGCATATGCAAAGCCGCTGACCTAGGTAAGCCTAACTCTTCTTTTACCTTCAAGGAAGCTATCAAAATACAAGGGAATGTGAGTGATCATACAAGTCTCCCTAATTTATTCTTTTAATGAATTAACTTGGGACTCTAACTTATAACTAGCAACTTGTGCTGTGGTGCAACCCACAATTTAACGCAAAGCAAAGGGCAGAGAGTCAAGACTTCAAACTAGGCTGTGACCCGGAAGGCAGTTTGGCTTCTTTCAGGCATTCCATCACTTGCTTCCCGCCTCTGCAAAGGTCGACCCCCAGGTCTGAGAAGGGACAGTGTTTGCACTGGCAAGAGAGATCTGCAGTCTTGTGGAATGAGTTGACCCAGCTGGAAGATCCCAATTCTGAGTGCCATGTCACTTCCTTTCTCCTTCCCAGGATGCAGCTAAAAGTTCTCCCTTTGCTGTCTATGAAAGATGTAGCCCTGTACAAGGCTTCCTTCCTGTTGCCCAGCAACCCAGAGTGGGGGAGGCAAATTGGCCTGGAGACTCGGGGCGTGACTAGTTGTCAATGCAGGGTGCTAATGGGCACCTCAGCAGAGAGAGGCAAAACTGCATTCCGAGTGACCTTGAGACAGCCACTGCAGGAGTTCCTAGGGAAAGGAGTCCCAGACAGCCGTCAGCGTGTTCCCGTTCCAAAGATGTAGTCAAAACAGAAGGAAAAGGAAAACTGCCATCAGACCCCCTGCATTTCCCTAGAAATAGCCAGTCATCTACCAGAGTTGTCGGAGATATTTTAAATTCCCTTCGCAAGAAGACTGCAAAGCATTGAAGAGTGAAGAGCAAATCAATACAGTGTTTCCACAGTTCACCACCCAACTCGGAGATAAGACAGAGAAAAAAATTACCCAAAGATTTCTTTTTCTGGTAGACGATAGGACTCTTGCGCTCACGCCTGATTTCTCGGCATGGAAATGTGCCCTTAGCTGTGAACAGATCTTCATGTTTCTTGAGTCCCCATGTCTCTGGGACCATGTCCAGCATCCTCCTCTCACCTGTCTGTCTATGAAAATGGGCTGCTAAACCCTCTTTGACTCAGCAGTCTGGCAGTGTCCTGGGCTCAGGTTGATACTCTGGCAACTGAGCAGCTCACCTCCCTGCAAAAAAGAAGGCTTTATTTTTATTTTACTGCCCTTTTCAGATGGGTTTGGTAAAATGTATGAATTCAGAAAATTCAAGCTGGAAGGGGCTTGCGCCGGCTTTGGTTCACTCCCCTAATGCAGACAAGGGACTGCTTCTCGATGACTTCAGTGTAGATAGGAATCACCCCAGGAGCTTGCAAAAAATGTGGGTTTGGGGGCATCCCCGTCCCAGGGATCTGCCTCAGTTTTCTGGGGTGGGGCCTGAGAACTTGTATTTAACATAAACTCTTCAGGTGATTCTGACGCAGACAGTATGAATGTTGCAGGTAACTCTGGAACTAGTATAAATAGGATACATGCAGGCTTCTGGGGGGTGGGTGGAAGATTTGTTTTGTGTCAGAATTCCTTCTTGGAGATGTATGGGTAGAACCATAACCTCGTCAGCAAGAGAATCTAGCAATCTTACCAGCCTGTGTTTCTTTGTCCTGCTGGAATTTTCCTCCTGCTTAAGCCCATTTTTCCTGTCTTTGACTCTTAGTGGCTCCAGATTACTTCTCTGACTCCTCCTTATGAAAGCTAATAAACCAAAGAAGACTTAGGAGATGCTTGGACACACTAAGCTGTTCCTTAAGCTTTTTTTTCTCATAGACAATATTTATTGACAAGCTTCTTCCTTGGACTGCTTATTTACACCCCTTTTGACACCTCTTTAGAATTACTGCTGCAGCATGCACCTTCAAGGTCATCCATTGCTGCAGGAGATTTAGCCCATTGCCATGCAGAGGCTTGTGGGAAGCATCAGTTGACTCAAAGGAGCTGGCTGCAATTTGTCCTGCTCCTTTCAGCCCTGCTGCCAGCGAGGCCTTGCCTAAGTGTTATGAATGTTCCTCAGGCTGCCAAGGTGGCTGCTTTCCTTTCCTTAAGAGCTTCCTTTGGTGAGAGCAGCTAGCATTTCCAAGTCTTGTATCTTTCTAGCCCCATTTCATGCCATGCTCTTTTTAGCTCTTTCGTTAACATTTCCGTATTAGGGACCTTCAGTGCCTGATGTGAGCTGGGCATTGGGAAGGAGTCGAAGGGGATGTCCCAGGAGAGTCCAGAGTGGGGATAGGTGGGGAAGTCAACTATCTGGAATCACAGATGATAACATGCGAAGCAGCCTGATCTCCCTATCTCAAAGTAAAGGCCATAGATGTCTAACTTAAAGGTCTGTCTATGCCACGAATTTGCCTGACCTCTTTCCAGGGCAAAGTGATTTTAACTGAAGATCCATAATGACTTTTAAAGGCGGACTACAGGACAAGTCACACAAAGTGCTGAGTTACTTGAGGATTTAAAGCAGTTGCTTTCAAGAATACTAGAGTTCTGCAGTAATAATTCACTTCACAAGGAACAGCACAGTATGGAGCTTAGAGACGGAGCTGGATTCAAGAGTGGGATTCAAACCCCACTCTTGCTCTGTGACCTGGGATCAGTCTGTTGCTCAGTCTAATGCTCTCTGTTCCTCCCTCAAGTAGCAATATGTGTAAAAATGATACAAACTCCAAAAAATAACATTTATAGAGCATTTACTATGTTCCTAATGTTGTATTAAGTGCTTTACATAATTTTTTAATTGAAAAATCACACCAAGCCTTTGAGGTCTATACTATTATTTGTCCCATTTCATAGATGAAAAAGCTGAGGTGCCAAGGGCAGAATCTCTGAGAGTATTAACATGCCTTTAACACTGTGCTGTCGTTGATCTGTATGTTATTGTGAGGATTAAATGAGATACATATATGAGGAGCTCAGCACAGCTCATAGCATACAGTGCTCAGTAAATAAGAATTACATGTATTATATGTTTTTAATGGATGGATATGTCCCAAATGGAGTGACTTCTCAATAGGAATAGATACACTTAATAATGATAATATCATTTATTAGTTTTTATAAACTTGCATATTATATCCCCATTCCTAGGAAGGCTTTCTGGTTCATAAAAATCACTCCGCCAGTAATCAGCATGATACCTTAGTTGCTGGTCATTTCACCCGTTAGCTGTGTCTTGATTTCTACAGCAGAAGTGTTGCATTTCTGTGAGCACATGTGCTTCTGTATTAGACCAAGTGTCTTGGTGCAGGGGCTGTATTTATTGCTCTGTAGCCCCGGGACTTAACCAGGAGACCTTTGCTTGCAGACTGCCTGGCTTTTCTTACTCAGCACTCAACAGGAGACTTGGGGATTTATCTCACAGCCTGAGAAGCACGTGGGAAAAATAGCTACTCAAAACTTTGTGAAGAAAATTCCTAATTTGCTGGCTTCCCTGGTCTGCGGCTGGGGCTCACTGGCCTTTGTGAGGCAGACGAAGGAGATTTGACAAAGAGAGGAAAGAAGAAAGGCAGAGATGGGACAGGAAGAGCAAGGGGGCAGACAGAAAGTTGTGTGTGTGTGTGTGTGTGTGTGTGTGTGTGTGTGTGTGTGTGTGTGTGTGTGTTTATATTTTTCTGAGTCAGAATCTCATTCTATCAGCCAGGCTGGAGTGCAGTGGCATGATCATAGCTCACTACAGCCTCAAACAATCCTCCCACCTCAGCCTCCCAAGTAGCTGGGACTATAGGCAAGTACCACCACACCTGGCTAATTTTTGGTTTTTGTTTTTGCTGTGTTTTGTTTTTGTACAGACAGGGTCTCACTATGTTGCCCAGGCTGGTCTTGTATTCTCTTGCCTCAGCCTCCCAAAGCACTGAGATTATAAGCATGAATCACCACACCTGGCCAGAGTAATGTTTTCCATAAGATTATAAAAGTTTGAAACCGGGGAGATCCTTAGAGAGTATCTATTCCAAAGTCTTAATTTTATCAATAAGGTTAGAAAGTTCCAGAGAAGTTAATTGTGCAAAGTTACACAGCTATGGATTATGTATCACTTTTGGACAGTTGCAGCGGACACTGCTCCAGCCTGTCCATGCTTGCACAAATGCATGCATATTGGTCAACTCTGGCTTTTGGAACATCATTGCTGAGTGGCTCCTGGAACTGTCCCTAAACAGAGTTCCCCACAGTCATTAACACACACCTGCAGGAGCTTCCCTGCCAGATCCAGGGTCAGCAGAAAGCAGGCCCTCAACCTGCTCTTGCAGGAGGACCCTTTACCTCCTGAGCATAAAATCAGCCCTGTAGGGGAGGGGTGTGAGGGAGGGATGATTATGATGACAAGGGGATGTCCCAGAGCCACTCTTGTTTTGTCCTTTCCTAATACACAGAAAAACCAGGCTGAGCCAAATATATCAACTCATAGATGGTGTTGCTTTGTTTTTTTTTTGTCCAGTTAGTTGGTTTGTAATTCATTTTATATGGATGGATAGCCCTTATCAATGACAAGGTTTTGCTTTTTGCCCTCCTGCAAGTTTGGTTCTGTAATCTACAAGGTCATTATTGCCACCTTCTGAGGTTGCATTTTTATTTTTATTTTTTTGAGATGGAGTCTCGCTCTGTCACCCAGGCTGGAATGCAGTGGCATGATATCAGCTCACTGCAACCTCTGCCTCCCGAGTTCAAGTAATTCTCCTGTCTCAGCCTCCTGAGTAGCTGAGACTACAGGCATGTGCCACCACGCCTAACTAATTTTTGTATTTTTAGTAGAGACAGGGTTTCACCATATTGGTCAGGCTGGTCTCAAACTCCTGACCTCAGATGATCCACCTGCCTTGGCCTCCCAAAGTGCTGGGATTAAAAGAATGAACCACTGCACCAGCATGAGGTTGCTTCTTAATGCTCCTACACTCAGGGCTAGCTCACCTTCTCTGCCCTATTTTCCTTCCTTCTCTTCATTCCTGTGTGCAAAAGGCACTGTTTTCCAGCTCAGAGGAGCGAAGGAAAGTGTGTGTGTCTGTGTGGAGGAAGCCGGCTTGACGTTGGTCTTGACCTGTCTAAGTCTATCCTAGGCTTCAGCCAAAGAAAAGCCCTGGCTGTGGCTATTCTTTCTCTTCTCCACCTCACCATCCTCTCCCCCACCAGTACTTCAGGTTTCCTGGCTCTCATCAAATTTGTACTGACTTTCCACTCCATGGACTTAGGTATTCAGGACCTGGCCAATTTTGGTTCAGAAAATTTTCTGGATATATATAGCTGGAGAGAGAGAATAAGAATACATGTATAATGTATAAAGGCAGGTGATACTACCAGATAAAATTATCTTCTTGAGTGATTCAGTCCCTTTGTATCATGCCACAAAGATTATGTTCACTCCATGAGTGTGTCATAAAGCTTTGAGATATCAAGAGTGAAAACATAACCAACCTGCCTGCCTGCCTGCCTGCCTGCCTGCCTTCCTTCCCACAAAACATTCTGTATTGTGCAAGCTTCTCTGTAATACCAGGCAGGCAGACCTCAAAGTTTTTGCGAGGCATTTTATGACTTTTATCCTTCTCCCTCATCCACTCAGTGCAATAACTATCACACACAGGAACTATAGCATGAACAAGACAGGCAGTCTCTCTTCTCAGGGAACCAACAGCCTAGAGGCCTGCAAGCCAGAGCAAGTATGCAGATCTATAAACCAGGCACTTTAGAGTAAGTGGCATGAGAAAATACGACAATGTGAGGAAGAAGGAAGAGGTAAGTAACTGTAGGTTTGGAGGGCAGGTGAATGAATATTTGAGCAGAGACCTGAAGGAGTAGGAGCCAGGCCTGCTCAAAATACATTTGTCTTTCGAGGAGCTGCATGGGGCCCCGGCTGCCCTGGGCCACCTATTTAGCCCGGGTTTAATTCCACATGAGCCTTCATCTCAGAACGGGCGTAAGAGGCAGAGGTCAAGCAGCTGCTGAAAGTGGAGTAACCCAATCTTGGGCACAAGTTGGCCTTTAATAAGCATCCAGGTAGCCCTTTGAAAAACGAAACCTGTGGTCAGGTCTCTGAGAGCAGAAGGATCGGGTTTCAGTTTTAATTACAAAACCAAAGAGCTGTCCCATTTTGCTCCATTTCGGCTTCCCCCAGAAGAGGTTTTCCTGTCTCCCATCCTGGGGGCCCTGACGTGCTTACCTGACACAGAGATGGGCTGCTCTAGGTGCAGCACACGGAGCTTGAGTTGGCCAGGCTTGCGAAATGGTAGGATGGAAGCAGAGGCCCCAGATGGGATGTGAGAGCGGGTGATGAAAAGCATGTGGGAGGTGAGGACTGGGTTTGGGGGTTGTTGGAGTTCACATTTGTGGGCTATGGCTCAGATTATGACATCACAGAAGGATGGGACAACTTTGAAGCCCAGGAGAATGTGCGTGTCTTTTCTTCTCCCTTGTCCCCTGCACCTGGCAGAACCTCTGCTCAATGGAAGATAAAGCGATAAGATGGGGATGTGGCCAGTGCTAGTAAAAGACCCCTTTTAATCGCTCACATTTTTGGCACTTGCTATGTGCTAGACACTGGATTAAGCAGCTAACCTGCATTATTTTGCTTAACTCGGTCAGTGTTTCATACAGCAGATAGTAGCGCTATTCTCATTTGATAGACGCAGAAAGTGAGCCTCAGAGAGGTTAGATAAGTGGCCCAGGCTCCTCCGTGAGTAGGTAATGGCCGGGGTTCATCCCAGGTCTGACTGAAGAGTCCATATTCTTTACATCTTTGCCTCACTGCCTCTTCATGTAAGCTCTGGACCTGCCATCATAAGACAAATGGGAAGAGGTGTCCTACCTTCCTAAAGGCATTTTCCAAAGTGATTTCTGAAGATATCTGATATGGGCAACTTTCCAGAATTAGTTCAGTTGTTAAAGGTTTCACGGATGAATAAATGGTGTGGGGGATGGGGGTTGAGAAGAGGTCAGAAGGAGAGACAGCGTGGAGAATGATTTCCAAGGCTGGATCTTTTCTTTATTTGATTCTAGTAAATTTTAACGAGGCCCTTAATAAAATCCCAGTGCTTAGCAGAGCCTCCACATTTACAAGTTGCCAGACCTGGGGCGGAAGAAGGGAAGTTGGAATCCTGGCGCTCAGCTTAGTCCTGCTGACCTTTCACAGTTCAGGCGAGCCAGGCTTGTAAGATTGAGCACTGCACTCTGAGCAGAGCACTCCTGCCCAGATCAAGTGGCCAGAATCCTCACCCCAACACAAGGCTGGTCCCATCTCCTTCGAGGTGGCATCCTTCAACGGGCACACCTGAAGTGGATGGCTGCCAGTTGGTGAGACACTGGAAGGAAATACACACAGTTATCACAGGTCAGCAGAGCTTCATGCCATTTTGCTTCAGGATTATTACAAAATAAAGTCTTCTAGGCAATCATCAAAATCCTCATCTCCCAATCTATAAGATGCCCTTTCCTGTACCCCCGAAAAATGGCTTTCATCAACAATGAAGAGTTATCATTTGTATTTGCTATTTAGTAGATAATAAATAATGTTTATAACATATCAAGTTATAAAGAATAAAAAATGACAATAAAAGTGGTTCCTACCTTCTAACACCTAGTTAAACCAAAAAAAAAAAAAAGCAAGAAAGAATATTACTCTGTTTTTGAAGTCCCCTATGTTGAATGAATAAATGATATTTTTATCAAAGTGGGCAGTGCTATACAGGGGGCTTCCCCAGAATCATACTCTTTATTTCCTACAAGATTCATACTTAACAACAACAAAAGTACCAGCTTTTGTAATAGCAAAAACAGCTGCAGCACATTTGCTGACAATAACATCGGGTTACTTTTCAAGTGTGGTTGAGTGTTTTCCCTTCCCTTTGACCTGATGTCCATAAGTAAAGATTTTAGGATGTGTAAAACCCTGAGCTCTGACAGAGCAGGCCCCTCCTCTCCCCCAGCAAATGACTGTCTTGAGTGTGCTGGGCAGTGCATTCCTCAGCCTTCCTCCTCGGGGGTCTACAAGGGACCTCTGATAGTCTGGCCTCATTCTTTGCACGGCTCTCTTCTCCATAAATCACCTCCATAAATCCACACTGTCCTCATTGAGCCGCGGAGGAATGAAGCCATCTTCCTATTTGTAGATGGGTGTCACCTGGCCTGGAAGATGATAAACCAAAGCTTTAGTAGCTAGACCTATTACAATTTTGCCTAGAAGCCACAAGCAGTGGAGACTTACTATGGTCACCTCTCCAAATTAAATCTTTTCATAGTTCTGGCTTTTTTACACACTGGAGAGTGGTAATGTGGAGTCGGACACGCCAAAAACTCCAGGGTTCACAAAGGCTTCTAAGAGCCATTTTGGAACAGAACTCGGTGATGTCATTTCTGGGATGCTGGAGCCTGGGCCAGGCTGGGACTCAGAAGCAATTCAGGGTCCAGGAGCAGAGCTGGACTGGAGGCTGAAGCAGGTGTTGGTTATAGCTTCGGCCCTTATAGACTTAGAGTCTTCAGTGGGCTTAGCTTCCCTGAGCCCTGCTCTTCTTTCTGGAAATAATTAGACCCACATTTCTCATCTCAGTAGGTTATGGGAAGAATCAGATGACATAGTCCATGTGAAGGGGCTTCATACTGTAAAGCACTCTAAAAATAAAAGGCTTTTTTTTTTTTTTTTGGAAACAGAGTCTCACTCTGTCGCCCAGGCTGGAGTGCAGTGGCGCGATCTCGGCTCACTGCACCCTCTGCCTCCGCCTCCTGGGTTCAAGCAATTCTCCTGCCTCAGCCTCCCAAGTAGCTGGGACTGCAGGCATATGCCGCCACGCCTGGCTAATTGTTTTGTATTTTGGTAGTGACGGGGTTTCGCCATGTTGCCCAGGCTGGTCTCGAACTCCTGAGCTCAGGCAGTCTGCCCACCTCAGCCTCCCAAAGTGCTAGGATTACAGGCATGAGCCACCACACCTGACCAAAAGGCATTATTTTCTGATAGGGATGAATCTCATTCCACAGACTGAGTTTTACAAACTCAGGTATGAGTTTTAGTCCACATCATTTTGTCAACTTAATTTCTGTTTCATGATCTATCTAGGGCTGCCAGATTTAGCAAATAAAAATACAGGACACCCAGTACAGGGCATCCTGTAATTCACTGGCAACTTTAGCCTTACCCTTCCAGGCCACCATCCAGGAAACCATGGTCAAAATCGCTTCAGTTCCACCCTCAGTCTGGGCCATAGTTCTAGGGACTTGGGCAACATTAAAATAAAGGAGCAACCAAGCAAGTTAACTCTGGATTGCCCCTTCCCCTTATCGCTGTTCATCTGGCATTGTTAGGGCTAGCAACTCTCTGTGGTCACACTGGGTACCTGAGAAGTTGCTGCCAAATCACCTCTGGTCCTGTGTTTGCCTAAACATTCCACACCGCCACTTTTTTAGGGTCTTGTTCAGACAAAATTCATGACACTAGGTCCCCTTTGCAAAGCACCCAGCTATGCTTTTTCCCACAAACCCTCGTTTGCCTCCTTCCTCCTGTAAAACTCGATTGGTTCACCTCTGGACAACAGCTTTTGGCATTTCAAAGCCAGGGAGTCTTGCATGCTACTTTTCCTTTCTGTTTTACAAGTTATCATCCCTGAGGCAGTGAAGGCAAGGCTGATTGGCTACTTGCTTGAGGAACAAGAACAGAAAATAGATGAAAAATAAATATAAATTAATAGTTCAAAATATGTTCCAGCCATCATTAAAATTATGTTCATCTAGCATGTATTTAATTATACCCTATATTACAGTGTTCCTTTCTCAGTCCTTTCCCGCCCTACATTTATAATTCTGGGAGGGATAAGCATATACTTTATCATGTCTGATGTCTTACCTGAAGTAAGTGCTCAGTGAATGCTCAATGAACTTGTTTTGGTGGCACGCAGCTACTTAACATGACGTTAGGATGTAGCATTAATCAGCTATGAGGCTGTCACTATCTGTAACCTAAGCCCCTTTTAGGAAAGGTAGCTTCTCTCAGTGATAACGACAGACCAAATATGACAACCCTGGTTTACTACAGGTTTGTTCTTCATGGGTGTCTGGGTGGGGCCAGGGGGCCTGGTGCAGACAGTTGACCTGGAAAGAGCTGGTGACTACACAGCGTGCTTGCTTTTCGGCGAGGAGGGAAGAGCCTGTTTGCAAACAGACTCCTACATGTGACATTTGGCATCATTTCTCACTAATGACATCTTTCTGAGAGCCTTGCAGAGATTGTCTGCTGACTCACCCAAGTTACGGTCACCCAGAGACACAGCTATGTGGGATCTGAGAAGCGAATTAGCAGGTTGTTGGTCTCTAAAGGTGCAGGGGAGGACATGGATGTAGAAGGGGAGTTTCAAGAGGAGGAAAACCATCTTCTAGTTTAATAGCTTTCAAGGACCATGTGCACTTGCTTTGTGCTCTAAGATAATTGCTTCCTCCTAATTAACCTTTCCTGGTTTCTCTTTTAAAAAAAAATTGTAATTTTGGCTCATATTGAAATGTTACCTTGGGTGCAGAGAGGTCAAGCTGCCTTGGTTCAAATCCCAGCCCGACCAGCTGTGTGACCTCACACAAATTACTTAATCTCTGAACTCCAGTTTCTTCATCAGTTCAATGCAAATAATGACAGCACATAAATACATTCATCATGAGGTAGTTGGAGGGGTTATGTGAGAAAATGTGCTCAAGTGTTTGCTGCAGTACCTGGAAAATAGTAAGGGCTTAGTGAATGTTTGCTATTATTGCTTTCAGAATAGTTTATCTGTGAGGCAAAGGAAGGGCAGGAATACTTTCCATTTGAAAAAGAGGATGCAAGGCAGGAGGATCACTGGAGTCCAGAAGTTTGAGATCAGCCTGGGCAACATACGGAGACCCTGTCTCTATTTTTATTAAAAAGTTAAAAAAAAACAACAACAGCAGCAGCAACAACAAAACAGATGGTGAGACACAGAGAGACCGTGTGGCTCATCCAGACTCACAAGGGAAGTCAGTAGCTGAGCCGGGAGCCCCTCTTTCTCAATAGAAAGGTGGAGCTAGCCGGGACTGCAGGTCTTATCTCGTCTGGGCCCACCTGCCCAAGAGGTCTGTGGATTTCTCTGGCTCCTTCCTGATGCCAGCTCTAGCTATTGCTATGGCCTCTTCTCCAAACCCCTGTGCTTCTCTTCATGGCTAGGGAAGTCAGGCCCGTCATGGCTAGGGAAGTCAGGCCCTTGTCTTGGAGCCTCCTCCCAGCCTTGCAGCTTCATGGCCACAGATTATGTGGTGACCCAAAGATGACTGCCCACAGGAATCATTTGCTTTTTTTCATGAGTCTAGAGATCCCTTTTCTATGAGACCCAATGTTTTCTCTAACTCACATCCTCCCAGAGATGATTTCTTTTCATTGCAAAGAATTGATCTTATTTTTGCCTTTAATCTTCATCTTTCCTTGTGTGAACTTTACCCAAGAGAAGAATAAAATTATCATTAGTTCACCAAGAGCCACATAGAGCTGGGAGTCTATCTTACATCATGGCAGAACAATGGCCCTCTGCCTGGTAATACCAAAAGAAAGTGTCCGGTTCTCCAGGGATGGGGCTCCACAAAGCTCAGGACCAGACCTCCAGGCAGGCTGGCTGCTTTGCAAGGAGATCTCTGTTTGGTGTCCTATAAGGCAACAGGGAAAAGGAAAATTCACAGGGAAGATTAATGTCTAAATTAATATCTAGCGATAACTTTTTTGGCCCTGAGTGCTTCAGCAAGAGAAGTCATGGGGAGCCCAATTTCAAAAGGCAAAAGGTGTGTATGTGTGTACCTGCATTATAACTGCATTAGTTAAAGGCCATCTTTAGTTCTGATTACTCTCGGGAAGAAACGCTATTAAGAGGGGCTTTCTACTTGGAGAAAGTGAAGATAGTTAAAACTCTAGCAGAGCAAGTCAGTGTATATTCAGTGAAGCAGACAGGCTGCAGTGTATGTAGGCAAACACATGCAGACTATACACCCAAAATACACACTTAACACACACATAGGTATGTGTCATGCAAACTACTTACCTATCCAGAGATTCCTAGACACTTTCAACCTAATCTTATTTTAACATCTATTCGTTTTGGATCAAAAAGCACGTAGAATAAGGTTGGGTCCAAAGGGACTGCCTGATGTTCCACCCCTTCATCCTTGGTGATCAGGGCAGAGCCCCTGGAATTGTCAATGAGTCATGATGACAGACTAGGAAAACATCCAAGATACTGAGACTTGGCAGTATACAGGTTGTATTAGTCTGTTTTCACACTGCTTTAAAGACATACCTGAGACTGGGTCATTTATAAAGGAAAAAAATTTATTTGAGTCACAGTTTCACATGGCTGAGGAGGCCTCAGGAAACTTACAATCATAGCAGAAGGGGAAGCAGGGACCTTCTTCACAAGGTGGCAGGAGAGAGAAGAGCAGGGGAAACTGCCCTATAAAACCATCAGCTTTTGTGAGAACTCACTCACTATCACGAGAACAGCATGGGGTAAACCGCCCCCATGATCCAGTCACCTCCCACCAGGTCCCTCCCTTGACCCCTGGGGATTACAATTTGAAATGAGACTTGGGTGGGGACACGGATCCTAACCACATTACAGGTTGCAGTTGGGGGGTGGGGTGGGCAGGGCTGCGTGATGAGAGTAGCCTGGCTTACCAAGTGCCCAGGGCATGCCTCAGGCACCATGTATGTGTATCCAGACACTCTGCAAAAAGGCCAAGGGGCTCGACTCTCATGTCCAGCAACAGGAACGGTTGGGTGGGAGGCACTCAGGCTTCCTGGTAAAGCAGTCTCTCATTTAGGGAACTTTGGGGAGGAAAAGACAAATGGAGGTGAAGAATTAACTTTTCTTTCTTTGAATTTTCAAATCCTGTTTCTAATAGTAAACACTAGGTTGTTGTCAGCTCTTTGTGCTTGGAGAGTTGTGTGTGTGTGTGTGTGTGTGTGTGAGAGAGAGAGAGAGAGAGAGAGAGAGAAGAGGGGGAAAGAGAGAGAAAATCTTTAAATTTTAATTGGTCTGCAATGGAAGATTTAACTGTTTAAAAAACAAAACCCTCTTGGTCCCAGACCACAACTTGTGTGTAATGTGGGAGGCTGGGGAATAGTGAAGAAAGAGGGAAGGGAGGGGTAGATTCCTCATGGCTCCACAGGGAGTCGTGTTGTTAAGGGATGAAGGAACCAGCCATATGGACAGTAGAATACAATCCAGATCTGCCAACTCTCTCATTGTCGCATCTCTTAGGTGAAGAAGCTAATTTTTTGCTTTTTGTATTATCCTATAAATAAAATAGATGATTAGAGAAGAGAATGCTTTAAGGTTTACCATATACCCAAATTCAGAGGATGGCCAGGCTGGTTGGTAGTTACGCTGCAAGGCCCTGAATTACAGTAAGACAGCAGTGGCCTTGGGGACCAGGCATTACCACTTGGTAGGATGATTTTTTTCTTGTCTGTGTCCCCTTTCACTTAGATTATGAGGCCTTGCAAGGCTGGAACTGGGCCTGCCTTGTCCACCACAAGGACAAGGGCCTAGCACAGTGCCTGGCACTGAGGAATTGCCTGTTGAAGATTCGACAGCAAATACCTGTTGAATTTTCTATGGGCATTTTGGGGAAAGTATAAACTTGAAGTTCCTATGGCCCTGCTGACTTCTATGCACTGCTGTTTGTTTGCAACACCAACCTTGAGCAATAACATAGGTTGCCTTTGAAGCCTTTTGCGCTGCGTTTCCCCCAGAGCTCCAAAGGCGCAGAGTGCCAAAGGCACAAGTACTCACCAGCAAGGCAAGTATGATGTCTGCCCTGCTTGCTGCTGTACCTGAAACTCTAGTATAAAGTGTCTGGAACATAGTAAATATTTGTCGAATGAATGAATATTACAGCTGTGTCCTTTGCTATATCCTGATTATGTAGCTGAAAGATGAAAGTAGGGATATACATACTGGTAATATCATGAGTGTCATTTGCAAATCCTTTCCAAATGGTGTTAAACTGAGTTGAATGTATTGTCTCCATTCTCATTCAACCTTGGCCCAGGTCATCAGGGAAGATGCTGGTGGTGTTGCTGATGATCATAGCAACCACACTGGTTATAATGTTTACCGTTCACCTTGCCATGGGCCAGGAACTCTCCTATACATGTTACATGCATCATCTCTCAAGTGTTTGTAGCCACTCCATAATGCGGACGTTAGATTCTCTGTTTTACAAAAACTGAAGCTCAGAGGCTGTTGTAGTCAGCTCAGGCTACTGTCACAGAATATAGGCCTACCTGGGGGATATTATGGGTTCCATTTCAGACCACTGCAAACAAAGTGAGTATCGCAATAAAGTGAATTACACAAATTTTTTAGTTTCCCAGTTCATATAAAAGTTATGCTTACACTGTTCCATAGTCTATTTTGTAACAGCATTATGTTTTAAAAACAATCTGCATAACTTAATAAAAAATACTTTATTGCTTAAAAATACGGACACAGAAACACGAAGTATTCCTGCTGTTGGAAAACATGACACCAATAGACTTGCTTGATGCAGGTTGCCACAAACCCTCAATTTGTAAAAAAGAAGAAAGCTCAATAAAACAACGTGCGCCTGTACCATAAACTGGGTGGCCTAGACAGCAGACACTTATTTTTCACAGTTCTGGAGACTAGGAGGTTCAAGGTCAGGGTGCCAGCATGATCAGATTCTGGGGAGGGCCTTCTTCCTGGCATGCAGCTGCCTTCTAGCTGTATCGTCACATGGCCTAGAGAAAACAAGCTCTCTGGACCCTTCCTATAAGGGAATTCATCCATCATGAAGATTCCATCTTCATGACCTCATCTATACCTAATTCCTTCCCAAAGGCTCCACCTCCAAATACCATCGTCTTGGTGGTTAGGCTTTCAAACATGAATTTTAGTTGGACACAGACATGCAGTTCATAGCAGAGGGGTTACCTGTAGTCCCAAAGCTACGTAGCTAGGGAGACGCAGAGGCAGAATTTTCACTCAGGTCTGTTGAGCTGAGTCCAAAGCCCCTTCTCTCCTCTCTGCATCACGCTGAGCAGTATCATACTCAGCGCTTGGAGGAAGGCCCAGAGGGCTCAGTAAAAGCAGCTGAAGAAAAACAAATTGGAGGGAGTTTATTATGGTTGATCTTAAAAGCCTTGTAATGACCTTATTTTCTCCAGAGGACATTCTGAAAGCCAGTGATTTACCCTGGCAGCCCAGCTGGGGGAAGATGTCCAGGCAGCCAGTTCCCCCTACCTGTGCCTCTGGGCATGGCAGAACCGAACCCAGCAGGGACTCCCGAAGGAGCCATTCCCATCCACTTTTATTTCTCTGAGATGCACAGAATATCAGCCCTTCGGGTTTCGTGTTGTTCTGTTTTTTGGTGTGTGTGTTTTTTTTTTCCCAAAACAGTCGTGGGCTTCTAGCCAAAAGTCCTTTCAATTAATGGACTAGGAACAGCACCCATGAAGAAAATTAAAAACAGATAAGAAAAGAAGGGCCTTCATGCGCAGAGTAGAGGAAGGGAATAATTCTTGGATTATGCTGATGATTTACCAATGTTTTCCTAACGTGAGAATCAGTCAGCAGGGGCCTGGGTTTTTTATGGAAGAGGAACCTCTTCCAGACAGCTCACTCCACAACAGGCCTGATAAATCCCCACATCCCCACTTCCAGCGAGAACGCTGCCCCCTCCAGAGCCACCATGTCAAAGCCTGTTTAGCTGTTCCTTACTTATCAGCCACAACCCCAACATTAGTTCATGCTTGGAATATGAAGCCATTTCATATTTATTCTTGTTATATCTGGCAAGAAGCCTTAAGGAAAAAAAGAGAGTCCCCTGTTGGTGCTGTTCAGCTCTTATATCTTTATAGTCTCCCAAATTGATTTGACAGGGCAATTGCAGGCCATGGGTGAGACGAAACTCTTCTCTCAGAAAAGTCTGGGAGACTAGGCACAAATACACAGCCCACTCCTTCAGCTTCTGCCCTGAGCCTGTGTTCACGTCTGTGTTCACATCTGTGTTCACGGCCACTCTGGCCCCTGCAGACCAATGCCATAGAGTTTCCTCGTGTCAATTTTCTGGTAGGAGCCTCTGAAAAGAACTAGGGTATCGGAGGAGACGTTAGCAATGGAATTCACCACAGGACATTCTAGAAGCTGAGCAGGGTCAGACTCCCACAGAGGGTACTGCAGACACTCAGTAGGACTTCAAGGCCACATGAGCTTTGGGAAGATGTACTGAGTGCCCTGGTCTGCCCAGAAGCTAGGGCCCATATTCTGCAAGCCTCAGATGGGTCAAAAGAGTTTTAATCCAAGGAATAGTGACAACTTGAAATGATATGCAAAGTTTGTTTGTGCGTGCTCAGACACACTGAGTATTCTAGGAAAAAAGGACTAGATTTTACTGCATACATATGTAGATACATACTGGTAATATCATGAGTGCCATTTGCAAATCCTTTCTAATGGATTTAGTAGGTAAACAAAGGAATCTATGACCCCAGTAAGCTTAAGAACCTGTGAGCGAAGGCAGCCTTCCCCCAAAGAATAAGTGCCCCACTGGTAGTTTGAGATGATTTTAAGTAAGATTCAGACAAACTTCTTCTTTTACTAGGCATATACTTGTTTTCATACAGTTAAAACCTATATGTAACTAATATACCAAGTTTGTAATTTCACAGACATTGCAGATCAAGGTGAGGATAAAACAGATGTTTAAATAAGAGTCATTAATGGATAAGGTAAAACAAGTAAACAGTAGTACAAGTTTTGTGCCTCTATGGCAAAATTAGCTAATAGTGAGAAGAGACTGCTAAAGTTAGGGAAATACTTTGATCAAGGAAGAAAAACACGGAAAAATGTAGTCCTCATCCCCTCTTGTCCCAAATACTGAGATGTTTCTACATTAGAGCCCCTGTTTCTAGTCTCTTCCACTGGTTGCCTGCACACCATTGCCATTCCCATACTCACTCACTCCACGTGACTTTCCTGCTCTAGACTACACAATGGCTCCCTGTGGCCATCACATTCTGTCCACACTCTCTAACTGGGTTTGCAAGTCCATCCTCCCACCTGATGTCATCTCCACTATTTCCTAGTTCTGAAACTCTTCACTTCCCAGACCATTCTTTTCATTGTCTGCTCCAAATCTCCCCATCTGCCCCATCTGTACTCATTGATGCCCCATTGCTTTTTCTTTTTTTCTTTTTTTTTTTTTTTTTTTTTTTTTTTTTTTTTGAGACAGAGTCTCGTTCTGTTGCTCAGGCTGGAGTGCAGTGGAGTGCATCCTGGCTCACTGCAACCTCCACCTCCCAGTTCAAGTGATTCTTCTGCCTTAGCCTCCCTAGTAGCCGGAAGTACAAGCACACACCACCATGCCTGATTAATTTTTAATTTATTTTTATTTTTAGTAGAAATGGGGTTTCACCATGTTCACCAGGCTGTTCCCGAACTCCTGACCTCAGGTGATCTGCCTGCCTCGGCCTCTCAAAGTGCTGTGATTACAGGAGTGAACCACCACACCAGCCACATTGCTTTTTCCTATAATTACCTTCATACCCCCATGCTCCCTATTCCTCTTTTGAGTCCCCTCCTCTCCCTACTCTAAAAACCTACCGTTTGCAGTTCCCACCAATGTCTCCCTTCTCTGGAGTACTGCTGCCCTGCAATTCTGTATGTCAAGGGGAAAAAAAAAGGAGGGAGACTTTGGTTAATTACCACTTCACTTGGCACCAGGAAGGGTAGGCTAAGAGAGGAGCTATAGCCAGGAGTCTAAAACTTTTCTTTTGGCTTGTTTAAATTGTTGACAAAAATGGGATTAGTTTGAGATTAATCACTGAAAAACAAGGGAGATAAACTCCTGGGTTCCAGAGATATTAATTCCTTGGTTCTCATCCCAGCTTAGGTTATCAAAACCAAGAATTGTTCATTTTTCACAGTTTATGAGGTTTATCTTTGGCCTGTCATGAGATGCTGACAGAAAAATGAAATTGGTCTGTTTCTAGTCTATTTCACTTTCTCATTCCCACTCTCATAACAAGTCAAAATGTTCCATTGTAACACTTAAGGAGGGAAAAAAAAGACGTGACCCGCCTATGTGCCTGTACTTCTTGTCATTATTTGGTGTTTTTTTATTCTAAATATTTTTATTGTTCAAGCCGAACTCAAAAGATAGGTGCCTCTCCCTTCATTTCAAGCAGAAAGTGAATTTTAAGTACTTAGTAGGAAAAGTTGATGGCAAATTAATATGTGGGGGTGGTTTGAGAACTTTTCATTTTTCTCAGGATAAGGCAGACAAGACAGGTTCAAAATACGGACAGTGGCGATGAGCTGGAAGTGAGAAGTTTCCTCAGAAAGGGCTGAAAGGGTTGGCTGAGAATTTTTTTTCATTTCATCCTCATCAGATGCTCATTTATAAAAATAGCAAAGCACTTGGATAAATGTGAAAGTGGTTTGAAATGTGAAAAGTACTATGGATTTGCAGAAAGCATCTTTTTCCCATTGAATGGGATTATTTATGTCCCTCTGTCATATCACAACTTTCCTAACAAATAAGATGACAAAGTAATAAACTTCTTCCAGGGGAGCCATTCAGTGCAGAATTCACTAAGAAAGCTTTCCGACGCAACTCAAATAACCGCTTGGCAGGAAAAGTTATTTGAGAGAGATTTTAGAACTGAAAACCCCAAAAAAGAACATCTAGTATAAATTAAATAATGCTTCAAGAATAGGTTGTCGGGTCAGTTGTAATTGAATAGCCAGCCCATCAGTATTTATCAGATGCTTACTGTATGCTCAGAGCTCTAATAACTGTCAGCCGTGTATCTTTCTTTCTGTTGCTGTTTGTGTGAAGGTAATTTCTGACCATTCTTCAGTGAGTTTGATACTGACCAGATCTATCACGTTCAACTCTGTATCATATTATTAACGTCATGCTCTGACTTCTAACACCCTTAAGTTTTTGTTATGAGTTCTTATGTAAAATTTTTGTTTTACATAAGATTATTGTTTTTAGGTTATTGAACACTTTCTGTGAGTTTTTTATTGTTCTTCTCTTTGAGTAATTCTTCATTGTAGGCTTAAGCGTTGATGCAACTGAACTTTCCATTTCAGAAAAGATTACGTTAATATCCTTTACAAATCTTTTTTTTTTTTTTTTTTTTTTTTTGAGATGGAGTTTTGCTTTTGTCACCCAGGCTGGAGTGCAGTGGTGTGATCTCAGCTCACTGCAACCTCTGCCTCCCAGGTTCAAGCGATTCTCCTGCCTCAGCCTTTCGAGTAGCTGGGACTGCAGGCACACACCACCATGCCCAGCTAATTTTTGTATTTTTAGTAGAAACGAGGTTTCACCATGTTGGCCAGAATGGTTTAGATCTCTTGATCTCATGATGCGCCTGCCTCAGCCTCCCAAAGTGCTGGGATTACAGCCACCGCACCCGGCCATAACTTCTTAATAATGATCGCAGCATTTGTTGAGCACTGATTTTTTGTCGTCAATAATGATCGCAGTATTTGTTGAGCACTGATTTTAGCAAGTGATAGGCATTACTTTACTTCTGCTATTTCCTAAGAAGGATGGGGATACCCAGACCCCAAGTGGAAAAAATCATGAAGGGTCTTTGGGTCATCTCCCTACTCCAAGCCATGAGCCACAAGGCCATCGAGCTCAAGAGGAATGACTGAGCAGTCCAGCAGGTCCACTTTTGCATGGGTCTTCCCGTGCAAAAGCTCCCAGGTGGGCGTCCACTCTGTACCTGCAGCCCCAGGGCCGGCCCTCCATGGTGAAGCCAGGGCTGCCTTTGTGAGTCCCGTGGCTGCATATCCTCTGTCCACATTCCTCGGCTTTGACAGTGTGAGGCAGGGACTTGGGCTGTGTGCCTCCTCTGCAGACCTTCACCCTCTCACCCTATAGGGACACTGTCCAAAGTTTGTGGGAGGCAGCACTAGGAAGCCAATGTGAGTGGGGACCAGATCCCTGAGTCCTTCAGAGGAGTTCATCAGCAATGGAGCCCATGTTCTGGTCTCCATCTGCCTGCTTCACATGGGTCTGGAATTGGAAGGGGATGGGGATATGATTAGTTATCACTCAGCACCCCAAAATACCCACACAAGGCTCTATGTAGCTGTGCTGTTTTATTTGATCCAACAACCTTATGGGATGGGGGTAATTATTACTGTTTATCCAATCAGAAAACCAAATTAAGAGAGGTAAAGCCAGCAGCACAAGATGAACTGCTGCAGATCCATGCCTGCAGATCTGGGATTGAAACCTGACTGTATCCCACTCCAGAGCCAGAGGTCTTGAACCCATTACCAGAGGCTCTCATACTTGGAAGTTCATTCATTACCTCCTAAAGGGTGACTCACCTGTAATCCCAGCGCTTTGGGTGGTAGAGGCAGGAAGATACCTTGAGCCCAGGAATTCGACACCAGCCTGGGCAATGTAGTGAGACTCTGTCTCTAAAAAAACAAATTTAAAAATAGCTGGGCATGCTGGTGCACACCTGTAATCCCAGCTACTTGGGAGGCTGAGGTGGGATAATCACTTGAGTCTGGGAGGTTGAGGCTGCAGTGAACCATGATCACTCCACTGCACTCCAGCCTGGGCAAAAGAGCGAGATCCTGTCTCAAAACACACACACACACACACACACACACACACACACAGATTTCTGGGTCCCCTCCCAGAATTTCTGATTCAGTGGGACTGGGGTAGGGCCCAAGAATTCATATTTCTAACACATTCCTAGGTGACAGTGATGCTGCTGGTCTGGGGACCACACTTTGAGGACACATCTTTTCACCCTGTTCAATGGCCTTTTGTTTTGTTTTGTTTTGTTTTGTTTTGTTTTGTTTTGAAATGGAGTCTTGCTCTGTCGCCCAGGCTGGAGTGCAATGGTGCGATCTCGGCTCACTGCAACCTCTGCCTCTCGGGTTCAAGCGATTCTCCTGCCTCGGCCTCCTGAGTAGCTGGGATTACAGGTATGCGCCACCACTCCCAGCTAATTTTTGTATTTTTAGTAGAGACGGGGTTTCACCATATTGGCCAGGCTGGTCTCGAACTCCTGACCTTCTGATCTGCCCGCCTCAGCCTCCCAAAATGCTGGGATTATAGGCCTGAGCCACCGCGCCTGGCCCATTTCTTAGTTCTAACCTTCAAAGTTTACTAGTACATGGGGTGGCATCAAAACATTATAACTAGAAGAGTAACCTTAATTGGATGTTTAACTAAAATACCTACAACCTTGCATACAAGGCAGACCCTTTGGAGGCATTTTGGAGGTGGTGCTGGTTGTCCTTTCTATAGCTGAAAAGAAACAAGGAAGGGATGAAACGGATGTGTTTCATGTGTTTTAAGCCATGACAAAGTATTTCATTCTTCAAATACATTTTCTGGTGGCATTTTATTCTAGAGCCAATCTGGATGACTTTCTTTCTTGTAACTCTGTGAGATCAGCAGCCATCCCTGTGTCCCAAGTGACTCCCACAGTTTATTATTGAGAGCTTCCACCTGGCTTTGAATATGAACAGAGGAGAGAGAGGGAGGGAAGGGGAGAGATGGAGGGAGAGAGAGGGCATGGGGCGGGTAGAGAGAGAGAGCTTGGCCTCAAATTCTGGGAAAGGTTATCACATGAAGAATGGAGCCCTGATCTCTTTATAGACACTACAGATAAAGCCATGCAAGGGTTGCGGTGGATGTGAAGTGCCAAGGACAAACTCAGGTGTGCCAGAAATACCACTCCTTTGAACCTGATGTTGACACTTGAATCCCCATGTCATAGGCTGGTTGGAAATGCCGTGCCAGTTGCTACCTAGGTCTTCTCTCCTGTTTCCCTTCCAGGACCCCTCCCAGCAGAGTTAGGAGTTTGCATGGTGACCGGAAACAAAGGATGGTCATCAGCAGTCCCAGATCACCCAGGCCCACTGAGGTCTCCTGCATGCAGCAGCTCTGCATTTCTGGGCTTGGATGAGAAAGGGAATTTGGGGCAAGGCTTCTAGAAAGCCACGCGGCCATGACTCTGTGGGGTCTTTTGCCTCTCCCAAATCCTTGGGCCCCACGCATACCTCCCTCTACCCCCATCCCTTTCTAGTTTTGGAGAAGACCCTCCCTCTTTCAGTTAATTCTATTCTTTCACAATAGGACTTGATTCCACAAACCCAGAACCCCAAATCCTCTTTCCAGGGGGTACAGAAAAGTAATTGCAGTCTCTCCCTCTAAAGTGGGGGGATGGGGTAGGAAAAACAACAGAGCTCAAATTTGACACAAATTCTCAGTCGAAGTGTTTGCCCCTTCCCAACCCTCCAAATCCCCAGGGAGCCTCTGAGCCCAGCTTTTCCCAGGTCCCAGTGTGACCTCTCAGGAGACCAGCTTCCAGACCCTGTGTCTGGGAAGGTACAGGTGTCGCTCTTAGAGAAGGGGCACGCGATGCGTCACAGTCCCCTAGTGCACCAGGCATAAAACTGAGGGCCACAGGAGACAGGATTATTGATCAATGAGGCGGTTGATCCCTCCCTTTCATCATGATTTCTTGAGAGTGCACTAACCCGGCCTGACAGCTGTGAGGATGACCCACTCACAGAGACCTGCAGCAGTCAAGATGGTCCTGCAGAAGCTGAAAGGATCCTGAATGTAAATAGACCATGAGCCACATTCTCCCACACATCACTCCTCCACTCCACCCGGCTCAGGCCACCCACCTCCTGAGACAGGCCTGAGACTCACTTGCTTTTGCATCCCAGCGGAAGCCGTAAAAATATTGGTAGCTGGGGCCCCTCACCGTCAGGAGCACCACTTCCTATCACCTCACATGGGGATTGGATGGATGACCTGATGCCAAGTCACTGGCCAGCCCAGAGGGACATGACCATGTATGAAGGGCCACTAAAAAATCCGCTGCTGTAACATTCATCAGTGAAATGTCTACAAGCCAAGAGTTGTTGGGGATCGAAATCAATAGCTTCTTACGTGTTTCTGAATTTACTGTGGCATCACGAAGCGCTTGACGTTATATCCAAAGCCCCAGATATATGCAAACAAGCCCAAAGTCACTGGAAGAAGTAGACTATTTCTTTTGCATAGGTTTGGGGCAGGGGGACAGTGTACCTAGGGAAGAATATTTTATTGATGTTCATTAAAAATGAAACTTTAGCTCCATTTTCCCCTCTTCCCTTCCCCCATCCACTGAAAATGGAACCATTTAATGTCACCCTGGTGTGAAATGGGAAAGGATAGTTGGAGCTCAGATGTCCCTCTGTTGACTTCAGCCTAGGTAAATCATGTGTCTCTCGGGAGGAGGCCTGCAGGTCAGGCTTTGCGAGGGCTGTGCTTGCAGACTTAATGCCTCTCTGTTTGTTCTCCCTCTGAAAGGGCAAAGGCCTCCCTTCAAGAAAAGAGCTTCTCCCAGCAACAGAAGTCTCCCCACACCCTTCCCTGTCCCAGCTGCCACCAGCCACACTGAGCTTTGTGGAGCTCCTGCCCTGTGCCTGGCCCCGTGCTAAGTGCTATGGTGGATATCATTGATCTCAGTGTCAGATGTCTCTATAGATGGTCACCAACTGAATGTCCTGGGGTGGGAGGGTGATGGGGTTACTCACGGTTGGTCAAGAGGAACCAGAAAGAATACCAGTGCTTTGGGAATTGGCCACAATTGCCAACCTTCTCAGGGAAATCAAACATGGTGCTGAAGCTTTGTATGAGAACAGAGGCCCAGATGTCCAAGGCTGCTGGCCTTGCCACTGAGGAGTTGGGCTGTGTGCAGGGTTGGGGTCCCAGCTTGGTGCTGGTTTGCCAGGTGAGCAATTACGCCAGAAAGGAGACAGGGAAGCAGAGGGAGCAGGGGAAGCTGCCATCGGAGACCACAAGTTCCCAATCCTTGGAAACTGTTTTCGTCTGACCAATGAAAACCGTTTATTTTGCAAATGTGTCAAGGGGCTCCTTTCAGGAGAAGAACCTTCTTGATACTGATGATTCTCAGTTTTCTGACAGTAGATTACCCAAGGTTTTGGGTTTTTCCCCTCATACCAACGAACACAATTAAAAGCACTTTCTTTCATCACTTAATCATTGAGTACCTGGGGAAGACAAACTAGATTTAGAATTAGCTTGTGCAAGCATGACTAAGGTATTACAATGAGGAATAGATACTAAATGTAATCGTTTATTAAAATCATGTTCTTAATTTGGTGGCAGAATCAAAGTGACTTTTGGCATGTCCATCCTGTTGGATGATCTAAGTGGCTAATTCTTCCCTGTTCTACTCCACACTACCCCCTTTGTAGACCAGCCTTAAACAGCTCCTTTGTGAACATTCTTCTGCTGTGAGTATAGGAAGGCTTTGTTTGCTCTCACACTGGGTCAATTTGCTGGTTGCACAGTGGAGATCTGAAGGTGCAATATGCGTGCTGTGGTTGAGTGACGTACAGAAGATGGGACTCTTAAGTAAGATCACCTGGTATGAGCCCTGCCTATATCCCCTACTGATTGTGTGATCTTAGGCAAGACACCAGATTTCACTGTGCCTCAGTTTCCTTATGGAAAAATAGGCATAATAATAGCTCCTAACTTCATAGGCTTGTTGTAAGCATTATAGGAGACAAGACATGCAAAATAGAATGCCAGGGCTGGGCGCAGTGGCTCATGTCTGTAATCCCAGCACTTTGGGAGGCCAAGGTGGGTGGATCACTTAAAGTCAGGAGTTCAAGACCAGCCTGGCCAACATGCTGAAACCCCGTTTCTAGAAAAATACAAACATTAACTGGGCATGATTGGTGGGTGCATGTAATCCCAGATAGGAGGCTGAGGCGGGAGAATCACTTGAACCTGGGAGGTGGAGGTTGCAGTGAGCTGAGATCACATCATTGCACTCCAGCCTGGGTGACAGAGCAAGACTCAGTCTCAAAAAAAAAAAAAAAAAAAAAAAAAAAAAAAAAAAAAAAAGTAGAATGCCAGACACTGGTACATGTTAGTAGCATTAGATATTATTATTCTGTTTGTAACCACTTTGACCAGCGAATGGCAAAGCTGTTAGCCTTGGAGGTAAGATGGGATTTATGTGGGTGTGAAAACAGATAATTTGGTTGGGAGTAAGAGGGGATTGAGATGGACAGATAACTAAATTCTGGGATGGTACCTTTCGCCTTTATGGGGTATGAGCAAGTTCCAGGTAGGAAAAGTGTGGAAAATAAATGTATAGGACAATGTCAACCTTAGGGCTGGTTTTCTGTAGGATTCCAGAGGATGCCTTTGATTCTCAGTAAACCCCAGAAAGCCCTGAGAGAGGCTCTTCACCAGCTCCAGCAGCAGAGGCTCCTCCCCTATCCCAGCACTGAGGATTCCATTCACCTTGTTTTTCTTTAGGGTCATGACTCTTACCAAGGGGTTGTGGAGTCTTCCGAGGAGCCACCCAGCTGTCCCACTCCAGGGCCTCTAGGACAAGGGTGTCTGCAGACAGCCTGGTAAAGTCTTTTTCTTCTCCACCGTCTCCTCCTACAGCCACACAATGAGCCAATCAGGGGCAAGGTTGCAGCTGGAACCCTGGCTCCCGATGTCTTGTCTGCATCCCTCATACCCATCCTGGGCATCCTGCAATTCCCACTGACTCTAGAAGCCCTCAGTCAGCTGCTGTGAGAAACTGACATTCTGTAAATTCTGTGTTTTGCCTTTGTTTTGTTTGTATTATGTTATAACATCAAGAGAAACCCAAGGGCTTTCCCCAGAATGGGGAAAAAGCGGGATGATTTTGATCACGTGGCTCTACCATTTACTCAGTGGGGAAGAGAAGGTGGCCCCTGACCAGGAACAAGGTGATAGATTTCTGTGCCCGTCTTCACTTTGTGTCTTGTTTCTTTTCTGCCTATCATCATTTAGTCAGGAGTTTTTTTTTTTTTCCTGTGTACTTAGAAAGTATATGAGAAAACAGAAACTCTTTCCATAAATCTTGTTAGGAGAGAGAAGAATCCTGTAGTTACTTAGGATGGAAAATCCTTCTAAGACAAAAGGGCCTTCAGAGCAGGCTGTGGGAGCACATTGAGCCCACAGAGAGAGGTTGACCCCCATGGGGGATTTTGTCTGGCCTTTCACTTCCTAATACCTTGTTGTCCACATCTGTGTAGTGGGTCTCCATCTGTCCTGCCTGCTTCTGAGAGATGACAGAGGGAGTCTCTGAAAAAGCCAGGCGTCAGATCCTGTAGGCGGGGTGCCATGGGCATGGCCTGGACAAGTGAAGCCTGACATGTGGGTGCTCTCCTCCGGACCCGGAGCCCCCCTGAGAGTGCAGAGCCCTGACCCTCACAGCAGCCTGTCAGCAGCGCCTCGAGCACCTGGCTATTCTGCGCTTGGCTGACATCTCGGGATTCCTCAGTCTCTTAGGAGAAGGAGAGGAAATGTGTGTTTTCAGTTTGGGAAGGAAGACACACCTCTAAATGTCAGACCTGAGGCTTCCGATAAGCCCATAGGATATTTTCATTTCGGAACTGAAAAGAGCCGACCCAAACACCTACCTACTGAGGCCCATGAAGCTCACACTCCCAGAGAGGTTCAGGGGTAAATCTTGCGCCGCGTCACCCTTTCCAGTGAAGAGACGGCTTTGAAGCTTGCGCCTCGCTCTGGGCTCATTGTTCTGCGTGTAAAGGGCCTTTGCTAACACCCACTGGCATTTTCTAGTACAAGGGAACACTGTGTCAACCTACATGAAAACGGAAATGCTAATGCACCTGGGATTTGAGACCACAGCGCCCCCTCCATGTTCAGTAATCCTGGAGGCAGCGACTGGAAAATACATTCCATGCAGCACAGATTCATTTAGAGCAATGTCTTTCAGACTCTGTCCCTTGGAACCCTGAGGTTCCACAGAACACATCAGGGACTGGGGCAGGGGGACAGATGGCCGCTGGAAATGGGTGCCCTCCAGGCCTGAGCAGGACCCCAGGCCTTCCTTTCCAACCTGACCAGAGAACTTTTGCTTCCATTTTTATGCTGTGGTTCTGCACACAGCTCCATTCAACAGAAGGTTCCCCTGCTTTAAAAAAGAGTTTGAAGACCCTTGGCCGAGGTAGAGGCTCTATTCAATCTATAATTCTATTTACAAGACAAAAATAAATAACCTATTTATAAATCCAGCTTAATTAGCCCTCGCATAAAGTAAAAGTAAACCTCAGCAGAATTCTACAGGATTCGGTCATCATAATTCTTTCTCCTCCTTCAGATGTAGTTGAGGGTCCTTGCGTCTGTCATTAAGCTCCTCACTCCCCATTCATAAGGCTGCCTTGTACTTTTTGAAGGATTTCCACAGACTCCTTGGCTGGGAGCGTGAGCAACCTCAAAAAACCTTCACCAGCCCGTATGAAGTGTCTGACTAAAACGCAGGAGGTCATTCTCTTTTCTGCCAGGGGCAGCTTCTCAAACACAGAAGGGTGGCTCAGGAGAGGGGGTGGGGCAGGGGCCAAGTCCAATGGCAAAGGCAATGGCTTTGGGCCAAAGGGTAAAAATGCTTGTTTTCAGGAAAATTAGAAAAATTTGCCTGAGGCAGGTCCCACTTACACACTGAGTTCTTATATGGGCCCTTTTATATTGCTGTTTACTTTGCTTTTTAAATTAAAAAATCAGTGCCTGCCAGTCAGGGGGCCTCTCCGGCCCTGAAAGGGTCTGCCGTTGCCCCCACCCCAGCTCCCCACCCCAGGCTCCTGGGTCAGAGACTGATGGGAATTGGGCGTCAAGAGGGAAATGTGTGGGTTAGAGGCGAATGTGGAGTCTGGGCTGTTTTTCTGTATGGTAATGGACAAGCCAGGGTGGCCATTCTGAGACAGGCACTTTCTCCTCTCCAGTCTCTGGGGTAGGCCTTTGAAAACAATTGCCAGCCAGAATGACTGAAAGAATTTTCCTGGGGATCCTGAGCAAAACCTCTGAGAGAAGGGGGAGGCTTTCCCTCGTCCTCCCTGATAGATCCCCAGGGCACTGCATTCCCCAGGCTGGCATTTCCCCACTCCTGCCTACAGGTTTGCTGCTGGGGGTGGTGGGGGCAGTGGGGAGGCCAACATGGGAAGCCACTGTTTGTGATGCCTGTGACTCAGCCCAGCTTCTAGAGGGCTGTGGCCCACACAGCACCTGGGGCTCCCGTGTCCCCTCCCAAGCCTGGGGCTGTAGGCTCTCCACCTGCTTCCCAGCCAGGCAGGTGACTGCCCCATGCTGGTGAGAGCTGAGGCCTTGGAGCAATTCAGACTCTATTCCTACCACTTCCTCCTTTGGAGGCCTCTGAGCCTCAGTGTTCTTAGCTCAAAAATGGGATTACAACTACAATTTGCTTGATAAGGTTTTTGGAAGGACAAAAAAAGAGACAATCTTTATGAAACCCCCCAGTTCAGAGTCCTTGGCACATCATAACCACTCCCCAAAACATTAGCTATTATGAGTTACTATAGTTAGATATTCTTGATGGGAAGCAAGTGCTTCTAGTATAGTATCTAATAAGAGCACCTCCCAGCGGTGCCAGTTGCTAGCTGTGTGATGTCAGATAAATTCCTTTACCTTTCTGACCTTCACTTTCCCCCTTCACAGAATGAAGATGACCATTCCCATCCCACAAGGTGACAGTGGCCCAATGAAAGCAGCAAATGCAAACAAGTACTTAGTGCAGGGTCTGGCACTTGGCAAACAGGCAATAAATGATAGCTGCTGTTACTCGTGGCAGCTGTCGTGTGGCATTCTCCAAGGACAACATAATGTTATTGGGTTTTGTTTTTCTCTAAGACCTCCCTGGAGCGTGTTCTTGCAGACTGACCCAGCAGTCAGCTGAGGGACATTACTAACCCACCCAAGAGGGACAGGACCTGCCTGAGGTCCCTGTACCTGCACACAACTCCATTCGACAGAAGGTTCCCCTGCTTTTAAAAAGAGTTTGAAGACCCCTGGCTGATGTAGAGGCTCTATTCAACCTATAATTCTATTTACAGGACAAAAATAAATAACCTCTCTGGGTCCCCTTCACTCTCCCTTTAGAATGATGCTGTTTTGACACTGGGCTGGGGCAGGGAGATAATTGTTTTAAATTTTTTTATTCTCATCAAGTTTGAGAGAATGCTTTTAAGGCTGTGAGGTGGTCATGAAAGGTAGAGTGAGAGGTGAAGCCCGCCATGTGAAAGTGAAATAGAATTGAGAAGATCTCACGGGATCTGAATCACTTCAAACAAACAAACGTTTAGCATTCAAACAAAGGCTTTCTGTAAAGGTTTTAGAGCTGGGGCTGGAGTTTCTTACCCTGTCCCACCCTCACCCTTCTCTGTGACTCTCTCCTTTGTTGACTGGGGATGCAGGGAAGAGAGGAGAGATTGTGGGAAGAGAAGGTGGCTCGTGGCTATGCTTTGCAAGGCTGCAATTGCCAAGGGTGCAAGATGGACATCCTGATGGACCCTGATGTAGAAATCTTGCCTCAGTTGGACTGTAGTGAGTTCATTAGACAATCCCATCCTCTCTCACATCTTCAGGGGAATGGAACTAGGAATCTGCCAGCTTGGCCTGAGAAGAGGGCCCTGTCCTGAACCCACATGAATAGCAGGATAGGCGGCCGTGGAACTTTGATGGCTGAACCTGGACTTTCTTGTTTACTCAGCTTAACCTCTTGACTATAATGTGCCAACTACATATTTATTCACAGAACTGTTAGAGATAAAAGGGACCTCAGGGGACATTCAACCTGGCCCCTTCACTTTGCAGAAAACGGAAATGAAACTTCAGATGGGTGAATAACTTGTTCAGGTCCCATCCTGGTTTCTGGCATCATTGGGGTGAAAATCCAGATCTCTGAGCTGATTTTCTACGTTTCTTGTTCATTCTCTCTGATCTTCTCGTTTTAGGGTGGCTATGGGAACAGTGACTACCAATTACTTTCCTGGGTCTTTGCCCTGCTTTGCACTAGTTTGTGCCTGCATTTTCCATTCTGGTGGATGTTGGTTACCACTCAGATTTGCCTCACTCTTTTAGGATACAACTAGTTCGCGCTTTAGAACTTTCAGAATTACATTAGATGCAGAGATGTTAGCTGGAACTTGTCACCTCACATTCTCCCTCTGCTCGGGCTCTCCTCCTTACCCCAAAGAGCGAGACAAGTGTGGCAAATCCCACCTGAAAGTTTGCTGCAAGTCTCCTGCTGTGTTTTCAGCAAATTCATTTCAGGTGGCTGTGCCTAAGTTTGCAGCTCATCTTCTATTTTGTAGAAGAATCACTTGGGTGGTTCCTTCCTCTCATAGGTGCTTTCCTTCCCTGTCAAGTTTGTTTTGGAAACCAACTTTTTAAACTTTTTGTTACTAATAAGAATTTTGTTTTGTGGGAATTCCTAACCGAAAACAAAACAAAAGATCATTTCCTAAGGATGTATGCTTACCATATTCCGTCTTGTATGGATTTGCCTGCTTTTCATGTCTTTGCAAAAGAGGCATTCTTTCTGTTCTGTTCTGCAAGGCTCCTGTATTTGGTGTAGCTTTCTAATAAAATACTTGAATTCAGTGGTGTGTCTCTGAGGCAAATTAATTTAGTGCCATGGTTGAGACTGAAGATGTAAATGTCCAATAACATTGAGAGCAGGAGTTTGCTTTAGCAGGATTTGTTAATGAAAGTACATCCAGAAACTTTCACTTTCTGCAGTGAACAGTGAGGACAAATGCTGGCCTGGCTGAGATGGGGAGAGTGGTGTGCCAAGGAGATCCCAGGAGAGAGATGCTGATTCTTTTCTCTGGAGGCAAAACCCAGGAAGGCTTTCGAGGCTCAATTCTAGTGCTGCCTGCCCCTGGGGGGGGGTCTCCTAGTTGATTCTCCTCCAGTGTGCCAAAGTGAGATCCGTGAAGATTTTCCATCCAGGTGAAATTTAAATCCCACCCATTCACCCTTTTATATAACGTATGCATGTTAATTGCATCCCTAAGTATTTGGTTGGAAGTTTGCTTTAAGTTAGATCTCGCAGTCTTCCTGAGTTCTGCCCTGTTTTGCTATTTCCCAGAAGCTCTTTTGAGGGAACGTCCAGGAAGCCACACACCCTCCTTCTATACCCTGCAGCTCCAAGTGGTCGGGAGCCCTTGGAAAGAGCTGAGAGTTAGACTCAAGGATCTGGGTCCTTCCCTGCCAGCCCAGCCATGTGACCTGGGCAAGACCATTCTACTCTCCCCATCATGCAGGATCTGAGTGTTGTCTGTGTTCCCTTCCAAATATAAAATTATGGAATTGTAGGACTTTGGGAAATTGCATGTCCACAATTTCTTTTTCCATGGGAAAAAAAGGGAAACCATATCTATGGAGTTACAGTGGAGATGTAGCAGAGATGCCCTAGAGCGAGCAACCATCTGTGTTTGCCTAGCACGGAAGGATTTTCCAGGACACAGGGCTTCCCGTTTTAAAACCCAGAAAGTCTCAGACAAAATGGTCACCATAGGTGCACATATGGTCCATTCACCAGACTCCCTGACACCTTAATACAGGTGCAGGATGGCGAAGCCCAGCCTAGGGAGGTTTCTAAACCCCGCAGGCTTTCTGATGGAGTGTGGCTGAAAGAAAGGGGGAGACAGGTGCCAGCCACATTCCCTAGAAGAGAACACCTTAATGTGCAGTTGACTTGTTTGATCTGCTTCAGCTGTGACACAGTGGTCCCATGTGTACAGGTAGTGCACTCACAGAAAATGGAACCAGGGGCCTATGAGGATATTCAGTCCCCCCACCTACCTAACACCGAAAAAGAAGTCATCTATATATTCCATAAGAAATCATTTCGTTCTTTCCCGTTCTGGAAATAAAAGCTTCCTCCATAATGGGTGGGCTGCCACCTTGTGGCCATGAGTGGGAATGTGGGAAAGTACAGGTAACCACAGAGGACTAAATGCCTCTGGGTTTAAATCAATTCGGTTCCTATAGGGTACGAGGCAGTGAGCTAGATGCTTGTGTGGCTAAGACTATCATTATGTTACCAAGGGTAGAGCTTTACTGTGTGCATGTGATAAATACGCTTAGCAGTTTGCATGTAGTATCTCCTATAGTGTGCTTAACAACCCTGACAGGCAGGAATCATCACCATTTTACAGATGAGGAAACTGACACTCAGAGGTTAAGTACATTTTTAAGGTGACACAGCAAAGAGCTAGGATTTGAAACCAGGATTGGCTGGCCCTAAAGCTCATGGTCTGGACCACTAGGCTATACTGCTAGAGAGATTAGCGTGAATAGAAAAATAGGACCACATAGATAGTCTGGGTGGGAGAAATAGGTCATTGTGAATATGTGGGAGAGATTAACTTGGTGAACATAAAGGAAGAATGCAAAGCAGGGAGTGACTCTGACATCAAAAGCAGTGGAATCCAGAGTAAAGAGGGAGAGAGAACTAGAGTTGTCAGGATTCCAGGTTAAGGGGAAGGTGGGATTTGAAGTAGCTGTTGAAGGATGGATAGGAATCAGATCAACAGAGAGAGCTACAGCTTAGTGACCATTAATAAGCTGGCCAAGTCCGTGTTTGATAAATATTAGCCTTCTTTTATTTTTTGAGATGGAATCTCGCTCTGTTGCCCAGGCTGGAGTGCAGTGGCATGATCTCAGCTCACTGCAACCTCTGCCTCCCGGGTTCAAGCGATTCTCCTGCCTCAGCCTCCTGAGTACCTGGGATTAAAGGTGCGTGCCACCACGCCCGGCTAAATATTAGCCTTTGTAAACAATGTGTATATCATGAGTTAAACCCACACTAAAGGCTTTTTATATATGTATCTCATTAATGTGCAAAGGCCCTGCAAGGTCTTTGTTGTTATGACCCCCATTTTATAGGTGAGGAATCTAAGCAGTAGAGAGGTGGTCACTCACCCATGGTCACATTCATAATAAAGGAGTCACAATGTGAACCCACGTCCTTCTGACTCCAAGCCTGTGCTAAAACTGCTTGTGGTGGAGAAAACTCCCACTAGCACAGGAAGGGAGGGCCATGCTCACAGCATGCCTGGATGGTCCAGGTCATGCAAGTTATGATAAAGGAGAGAGCGTGCAGGGGTGGGATGGACGAGGACACTGAGAATGGAGATGGGGGCCTGGATGCTGATGTTTTCGCTGATAAATATGTTGAAGCCTCTCCCTGCAGCTACCAATGTACCAATGTGAGCTGAAAAGCATCATGGTACCCAAAGGGAGAGGAGGGCTATGGAGGCCATGTAAGAAGGGCGCCACCGTCCAAATATTTCCTTTCCCTTATCTACACCACTGGGAAGTGCGGTGCATGGCTCCTTCACAAACTGACCGATCTCAAGTGGGTTAATTCTCCCCTTTTGGCCTCCATTTCATCATCTATCATATAGGGATCGTGATTTTTGCCCTACGTCATGAAATTTGCCTACTTAGCATCTAGCACTGTCAGGGAATTGGGAGAACCAGACGTAAGAAAAGACATGAAAGAACTGAAAAGTATGAGGTATATTACATATTCTGATTTTGTAAACTGAATGCATATGCCTTTTGAGAAGACTCAGTGTCAGCCCCTTATAGAAGGCATTTCTTCGTGAGGCTGGACGTTTCATTTGAAAAGCCTTACTACATGATGAAGTGCCTTTCAGTCACAAGGTTTTAGGGAAAGCAAACCCAAGTTTAAAAAGAGATGATTGACTTATGGGTCTGAAAAGCTTGGGAGTGCGGCACTCCCAGGCATGATTTAACCAGGGGTTCAAATACAACCACCATACTCTGTCTCTGTATCTCTCTTCCTACCCCCCGCCATCATCCCTCCTTTCCTTCTCTTGTTTTTTCTGCATTGGCTCCATTTGCAGAGAGGAGCCCTCTCCTCACTGTAGCAAGACGGCCACCACAGCTGCAAACCTCACAGCCTCCCGGTTCAAGGTGAGTCTTTGTCCCTGCATTCCTGTGAGCACATCTGCTCCCATTGGCTACAGCATGGTCACGGGACAGAGAATGAGAAATGCTAATTGCCTTAGCCCAGACCACATGCTGCGCCCACCATGCATAGGAACTGAAATTAGGGAGGAGTGGACCTGCAAATAAAAATGAGGGCTGTTGCAGTAAAACACAGGGAAAGAAGTGCTGGGAAGGCAAGCAGTCAACCACTCAGTTGTTCCCATGCACCATGATTGCTTTTCTCCTTGGTTTGTCATCACCAGGACACAGACTCCCCTTGCCGGAAGCAAAGCCTTTGCATCTGGTTTGCTCCACGGCAGTTCAGAGATTGCTGAAGCCCAATCTCATATGACGATCCAAGATCTTAGGAAGTCCAGAAAAATGGGCAGGATAACCTTGGAAGCCAAGATGGCATATTCGTGGCTCAGTTCAGATGGTACAAGGAACTAGGTCCTGACTCCTGGGCTAGTTGTGGAAAAAGTTCAAGCGATCTTTAGGTTCAGTTTAATTCCCCACCCAGGAATTGAACTCTTCCTGCAAGGTGCAAAGCCCAGGGTGGCCACGGAAGGAACTCTGAACATCCCTGATCTTAGAGAATTCATGTCTAGTAGAGAACACAGTTGGGGGTCAAGTAATTGTCATTCTAAGAAATGGCCTGAAAATTTTAGATGACTCCCTTACCGGTTTCTTGTTGCTTTCCTCTTAGCATTTCTCTCCTATGTGTGATATTTCTGGATCATTACTTCTCAAAGTTTATTATTATAATCACCTGGATGCTTGAAAGTGCAGAAATAGAGGTCTTACTTTAGACCTCCTGATTCAGAATGGGAGGTGCAGAGAGCAGCAATCTGGTGTTTAACAAGCAGCCTGGGTTGATAAGGCCACTAAAGTTTGGGATGTTTTTCTGTGATGTATCCATTTTTCCTGTAACTCACAGTTTAACACTTAACTGATAATCAGCCTTATATTACATTTGTTTGCCTCTAAATTCTGAAAGTAGCCCATTAAAGCATAGAAAACAGTGTAAAAGGGGCCCTTCTCCTTGGAAAAGTAGGGCACAAGTGGTTTTCAGAGTTACCCTGACATTTTCACAGCAAGAGGTCATTAGGCCCCATGCAGCCTCACCTTGATATTTCAGTGGGGCTGGAAAAAGCTTTCCCCTGTTGTTGGTCTTATACAGACAGCTTGGAGGCCCTTAACTTCACAATGATCAGAGGCGATAATGGTTAAAAGACAAAGTGAGCCAAAAGAGAGGGTATTGACAGGAAGCATGCCAGGTGACTTAATTGAATTTGGGCAATTCAGATGGGGTAGCTGGTTCTCATTTAGGAAATGCAGATTGAATAACCAGTTCTCTTGTTAAAGAGGGCGATGCAATTTGAGGAGCTCTGCATCAGGCACCGACGGGCCCAGCCAGTCCCCACATTGAGTTCTTGCCCCTACCCGTGCTCACCAGCACTTTAATTTACTTGAGATTTGCTTTTCCTTCCTCCTTTGAAAATTTCTAAAGTTCTATCATTATTTTTAATTTTATGGTACTCAGTTTCAAAATCAAGTAATATTCTAGTTTGTTGCAAGTACATTTTACAGTATTTATATTAATACTTATTTTATCCATTATTTTTCCATTAAAAAAAATATATATATATTTTGAGACAGGGTTTCTCTCTCTCACCCAGGCTGGAATCCAGTGGCATGATCATAGCTCACTGCAGCCTCAACCTCCTGGGCTCAAGCAGTCCTCCCACCTCAGCCTCCCAAAGTGATGGGATTACAGGCGTGAGCCAGGCCTCTCTTTTCTTTTCTAGCCTCCTTTTAAGATAGTAATGATGTCTTAATGTCATTTTAACCTAAGACTCAAATTTGGGGAGTTTGGTTCTTTTGAGAAAGGAAGAATTTGCTGTGATTTCTCTGCTCGTATCATACCTCCAAAAACCTTTTGGAAATAGATTATACTGTTTTAAATAAGTACATAATTATAACAGCTAATGTTTACTGTGCACCAAGCACTGTTCTAAATGCTTTATAATTTAATTTTTATTTACCATAATAGCAGGAGTTAGGCTCCCCCATTTTGCACATGAGGAAATTGAGGCACAGAGCCACTTATGTGATTTTGCTCGGGGCTCACAGCTTAGAACAGAGCAAAGAATGGACATCAGCCTCTGCCCTTCTCCACCACTGTGTGCTACCACCCCAAAAGAATCTTAGCTGCGGAGAAACCAGACATCAAAGTCCCACTGAGGATTTGTGATATTTCTGATGAAGAAGATATTTTCTCCCATCCTAGGGGAACGGATTGCAGGGCTTAGGTGAAGAAAACTGTAGCACTAACTTGCTACTGATTTATGTGAAAAGATAAATTGGCACCAGACAGGGAAATCCCTGGCTTTAGGTGATCTTGGGGAGTTTACCTGGGGGATAAAGCTTGTGAGATCTCTACAAAGTGAGATGCATTTTATTGTATAGAAAGTGATGTTTTGATCCCTAAGTTTTCTGGAGCCAGTAGATATCAGGAAATCTGACTTAGCCTTTTGACATTCAAATCCATCTTGAATGAGAATGGCAATGTGGCTTGAGACAGGAGCATCAATTCATCCAGGTCTTCAGGTCAGCAGTATGACCCCTTCTTGCCTTTCAGTTTTAACTATTCCATGACTTCAATAACATGGGAAAATACATGATTATTCTTTCTCAAAAGAAACTAAAAATGTTTCAGTGAAATTACAAGGCAACAAGGGACCATGGGGATAATGATTGTGTTTGAAATAAGGTCTCAGAGCCAGTACAACAGGAGTCCCTCGGCATAAAATAACAAGATTACACTCCAGAAATATCTCAATCCATTAACCCTCCATCAGTTTAGTCCAAAGAGATTCTTACAAGGCCCTGATGATCCTTCGAAGCACCACTCAGCTAGAGTTTTAGTTCAGAGACAAGGCTGTACCCCAAATGTCAGCTCTAGTCCACTCTTGATTGTCTTAATTAATAAAAACTTTGTGAGGACTAAGCCCATGAGTCACAGGCCCAAACCTACTTAGTGCTTCTCCAATTATGTGTGGAGATGGATTTTTTTCTTAAAAGACTGCAACCTATAGACTAATACATTTGTAAAATACTATAAAAATAACTTACTAGAAAAATGAAATAAAGATATTGTTTTAGTCTGTTTTCTATTGCTTATAACAAAATACCTGGAGTTGGTTAATTTGTAAGACATTAAATGTATTTCCTTCAGTTCTGGAGGCTGGGAAGTCCAAGGTCAAGGGGGTGCATCTGGTGAGAACCTTCTTGTTGTTCAAGACTCTCTGAAGGGTCCTTAGGTGGCACAGGGTATCACATGGAGAGAGAGCTGAGTGTGCTAGCTCAAGTCTCTCTTCCTCTTCTTATAAAGCCACCAGTCCCACTCCTATGATAACCTGTTAATGTATTAATCCATGAATCATCTCTCAAAGGCCCCATCTCTCCATACTGCCACACTGGGAATTTCAACATGAGTTGTGGACAGGACAAAAACCATAGCAGATATACAGAATAGAAGCACAAATATTTAATTATTAGATTACACAGGCATAAAATTACATTTCAAAAAATATCAGAATGCACATAATTAGAAGAAAGGAAAGAATTACAAATCTGTGCATGTGGGTCATGGAAAGTGTGGTGGTTAATATCATATATAGGTGGTTAATATCATGTACACAAATGCAGCAACGTCACATTGCTATCATCATTTTTAGATACTCTCAACTTCAGTGTTTATGTCTTCAGGGACCTGTAATCAACAGTTCATGGACTGGCAATGATCACCTAAGAGTTAATGGGACTCCATTCTTAGCCTTCAGTGCCCTTAAACATCCAGGCTCCTAGAAGTTTCTTGGGAAACCAGATGTCTTTGATACAATAAGCCAAGACTCTAAGAATAATGTGCTTTACATTAATTCAAACCATTTATCAGAGGAATATGAGAGCAGATGCTGTATTTTAGAATTCAGACATGGAGTTATTGATCAAAGAAGAAATTAAGACTTATGGTTATTATAGTAAAGGGCAGGAGGGATGGGGGCAGCAGTGCTTGGAGTCCTGGATAACCCATTCAGCTCTATCTACAATAATGGAAGTCAGGGAGTGTTGGCAGGATCAGTGTCTGCTGATTAGGTCTACTCTTGGCTCCTCTGGTGAGGATTTGTTTTATTTTGATGGGCATAAGGGAGGCTCTGCGCATGGAACCTCCACCACATGCATTGGTGCTACTGCTTAGGAAGAGGGAGTGATCCTCCTGCCTCAGTCCTTGAGGCCCCCAAGCCTCATTGCAATCCCGGGAATCTGTCATCTTCACCTGTCTATTCAGATCCAATCCCCACCCTCTTTCTCCCCTACCCCCATTTACCAAAATCTGAACTGTTGCGTAGTCAGTCCCTATTGGCATGCACCCCACAGTGAGCCAAATGCATATTAATGAATAAACTGACACGTGGTCCAAATTACATGCTACACAAATTGTAGCAACTTTGCTTGTGTCTAATATCAGCATTGCGCACATAATGACAAAATCATACATTGAGATAGTTTCTAAATAGCGCCTTGCATGTGAATGTTGAATATTTTCAATGCTTTTATTCTTATTTAAAAAAATATCTTTTTGGGAAAAATATAAATTAGCAAAAAGAAGAAATTCATCTAAGTCAGTACTTGTATAGAACTAAATCATTCTTTTCCATAGCTTCATGGTATTTCATTGTATAGATTTACCAAAATGATGGTAACCATTGCTTTTGATGGACATTTGGTTACATATTCAAATTTTTTTCACTTTACATCGTAAACATTTTCCCACATCACTAAATATTCTTCTACCCTAGTGTCTTTAATGACTGAATACTTGCATGGTATTCTATTGTATGGATATAATGCTAAATTCAATCAGTACCATATAATTACTTTTCTCCCAAACTTCTGCTGTTATCAATAGTGTTACTGCTGATACCGTTGTAAATCTATCTTTGTCTGCCTTCATAAGTATTTCTTGGGTTAAGTTCTTAGCCTTGTAGCCCTGGATCAAAGGGCATGCAATATTCTGGGGCCTTCCTGAAGCCTTGCCATATTGCCCAAGTTGAAATATCATGTGGGAGGTGGAAAGAGCTTGAAGTGTGGAGAAAGACAGGCCTTGATCCTAATCTTTGCTCTGCCACTTACCAAGCTGGGTGACCTTTGCCAAAAACTGATATTCTCTGAGCCTCAATTTCCTTGTATAGCAAAAGGATGAAAGTAAAAGCATTTACTTCGTAGGACGGTTTTGGGACTCAGATAAAATCATGCATTTTGAGCCTTCTGTGGGAAGCAGCCTTCCCCTTGGTCATTTTGGAATGGTGTACAAGCAAGGATGCATTTTTAATTCAGTCTGCCTTCTCCATCAACTTTTACACGCATCTCAGAACCCGGGCACCACTCCATAGAACATTTTAGCCAGGGAGGAGAGGGCGTGGGGGCTGGAATTTCAAAGGCATGTAGAACTGGTCTAGCTCTCTTATAATGTGAACAAAATTTCCACAAACAAATGGTTACTAGATAAAAAGGGTTTGGGATTGGAGTCTTTTGAGGGCTGTGTCCCCTGCTCTAAAGTGTGGGGCCTCGGAGTTGTGTGTTTTTGCTGCTTGGTGAACAGGATGACAATGTCTGGTTCTGAAATCCCAGGAGCTGAGGGAAGCCCCTTTTTGCCCAGTTCCTGTTCTCCGAGGGTTTTTTGTGAAGTGAGCCTAGGAGCTAAGAAGAGAGAGAGAAATGAGGTCTGCTGATCCCCAGCAAAACTACATGCACCTCCCTTTCATCTGTTTTGGTTGAAAACCTACGAAGGTTAAAATAGAGAAAACCTTCAGGGCAGGCAAGCTATATGTGGTTAGCTTTGTGTGGGAACCTGAGTCCTGGAGACTGCCCTGACTTTTGCAGCAGGCACATTTGTATGTTTGGATTTTCCAGAAGGGATAAATCACACAAACAGAGCACCTTGGGAATCCTTCAGGGAGTCCTGTTTGGCCCCAGCCCCCTTCTGTTAAACACACACCCCATTCTCCAGGCTGTGGAGAGTGGTTCAAACACTGCCCTTGTCTGAAGAGCTTTCTCTGGAAAACTCATTCTTGGAGAGAACTTTCTTTGTGTAATAGTTCAGCCTTTTAGACTAAACAGACGAGAAAATAGTGAAGTACAGAAAAAAAGGAGTTCCTCCTGGTAAACAGGGGAAGAGTTCCTTTGGGTTTGGTATCCTCTGCCTCTCTGATTGTTGCATGCCATGTTCACAGTGGTACCCCAGCCAAGACAGATACTGAGAAACAGATCCTCTTTTCCACTATGTCTTGTTTTCTCATTGCTTGGATGGTGTTGCAAGCCTGTCTGGCCTCCAAGTGCACATCTTGTCCTCTTCGGGCCCCAACACAGGCCTGTGATATTTAGCCTGCAGAGCAGCATTCGTTTAAAATCAAAGCTTTGAAGGTTGATCTGGTTTGAGAGCAACCCCGAAGCATGAGATTCTTTGACATGTGGGCCCCTTGGGGCTGTGCGGAAAGAGGAGAGTCCAGTTTTCCCAGGATGAGCCTGGAGTGAGGTTGAAGGATAGTCTCCTCATTTATGGGCCTAGCTCTGAAACCAAAGGAAGGACAATTGCCCCAACCTCCATCCCCATCCTACCTCCAGTCAGGCTGGTCTGCAGTGCACACATCCTGCTTTTATTACAGGGTGCATTTCACTTACAGACCCTTCCACCCCAGCCACCCCACCCCCACCTACACCCCCCTGAAATGAGCTCCCCATTCCATTAAGGTGGATGACAGCACCCTCCCAGGGTTAAGCTTCCAATGGAGGAGGGAGAGAATGTTGGACCAGCAATTTCGGAAGACAGTTAAAAGATTAGATAGTAAATTTACTTAACAGAGACTAATCACCTGGGACTGGGTTTCATATCCTGTTTTGAAATAATGTATTTTCTTTTGTGCTCTGGTCTGAATCTGTCATCCCTCCTCTAATAATGAGAGGCAGTGGATTTTTAATCTTTGACCTTCTTCCATATAATCTAATCACATGGTTTTCTGATCCTTCTCTCCTTATGTGGTGAAGTTCTGGAAAGAAAAAGAACTCATTTCTCAGGCATTGCTGGGCTATTCTCCATTGCTATAAGGGGCTGAGTTGACAGGTAGAATCAGGTTCTGCCTGTTAGATGTTCACCTCTAGGCCCTTAAAATCAAAGGGTGGAGGAGGAGAAAGAAAAGAAAGGAAAGCCCAAGGCTCTTAGGTCTGAATCAGATGAATGAAGGGTGGCAATTGGAAACTACAATAAAACATTCACAACATCTGTTTCATACCAGTGCAGCGTAGAGAGCTGTGAGTCACAAAATGGGAGCAGTCATAGGTGAGGCAATTTCTGAGTGTAATAGCACTAGAAATGAGACCTTAGGTAATCCTCCAATTGTCTGCACATGGAAACTTCTACGCACTTAGCAGCTTTATCTTCACTTTCAAACTGGGAGGTCCTGGGTGTCTTTCCTTCCTCTTGGGTTTGGCTCATAGGCGGGATGCCTGGGGTGCCTGACCCTAGGCAACCCCTCCAGAAGTCTTCCCTCTGTGTGGGATTGTCAGATGAGGTGTCTCTTCAGACTCCTTGACTTTGGGAGTTGCCCCAACAGGAGTCCTGCAGGCTGGGAGGTTGGATTCAGTTCTAACTAGAAATGGGAGCGAGAGGACAGAGGAATGCCTTCACTTCACCTCCTGCCCATCTCCCTATTGATGTAATTGTTGCTTGATTGGCAGAAGAGGTGTAGACAAGATCTGTAGCCCCTCCCTCTTCACCTTTTCCATCTCTGAGGGCTCAGGGACACTTTAGATACAGCCATGTCTTTTGGCTGCTTAGCCAGAGTTCTCTAAGTTGAAAGCAACAAAACACACTCAAATTTAGTTAACTTAAAAAAAAAAGCATTTATTGAAAGACTATGGGGTGGGGCATCTAGAATCAAAGGGAAGGTTGAAAAACAAGGCTTGCAGATCATCTTCAGAAGGTATTGAGAGCAGCAATTGCTCAACAGTCAGACCCAGGCATCAGCGCTAGTGAACAGATGCCACTTACCCTCGGTCTTTTGTGCCCTTTGTCTGTAATTCAAATGTCATGGAGGGAGAACCTCACTGACCCAGCTTGGGTCATGCATTTGGTCAGAGCAAGGTAGGGCATCTGGATTGATAGTCCTACCAGATTGTACCCAGGGAAAGGAAGTTCCTCAAAAGGTAATAGGAGGATGTGCTTTTACCCAAAGAAGATGAAGACAATGGTAGGTTAGCCATAAGGCCAGCACATTTCTGCCAAACATCCACAAATCCATGTCTCACTGGAGTCTGACCTTGCTGAGTAGGTCTTGCGATGGGGCAGGCAGAGCAATCCAAAAGAGATGGCAGGAGAAACTGATGGTGCTCTCTTCTCTTGCCTCCTTCCCTTCACACTGTGCCACTGTCGTTACCACTCCTACACCCATCCCCCCATCATTATCAGAATGGGCAGATTGACTCCCAGAAGTTAAACTTTTGGGTTGAGGTTATTTCATTTCTTATGAATCTCCCAGGTTCTAATCGTCACTTGTCTTCATTAACTTCCCTCCTGGGCCCCTTTGTTCCCCACTGAGGACCTCCCCCAACCCCTCCCCCAAATTCACAGCTGAGATAAATAATTCAGAGGTAAAATAAATGTCCAGCCCCCACCCCAGCTCTGTGTAATTACCTCCCTGGTGTGTGTTGGCTTCGCCCTTATGGGAAATGTGAGAAGGGAAACGGGTCCTTTTAGCCTGTGAATGGTGCTTTATTATTTTGATGCATGAATGCAGAAGGAATAAGAGACAAAATAAAGTTAATAATACATTGCAGTGTAGATAATTCATCACTTAAATCAATAGGAACTGCAGGTCACTGAACTGGAACTGGTGTTACTGTGATCCAAACATGGAATTAATAATTGAAACTACACTGATCTGTCTTCCTGGAATGGGAAGACAGACAACCCCAGGGATAGATGCACACAGCACAGGAGGAACAAGGCAATAGAGATAGACAGATGATTCATTTAATTCCTGCAGCTGTCACATACAGTAAATATGAAAATCTGCTTTCTATCTGGAATCAGCTTCATTTGGGAGCGAGGCTAGTTGAATTATACTCTCAGCTCTGTGTTTATTTTTTTCATTTATTGCAGGAATTTTAAATGATGGTTAGCATGGAATGCTATGTTCTCTGAGGTTGAAAAGGCTCTCTAGCAACAACTAGGCAGTGGTATGCATAGCATCTGTGGCCCCATTAGCTCTTACACACCCACCTGAAAATTGTGGGTACTCAGTCTCCCAGGAAGTTTGGCTCTGCAGCCACATTGAGAACGATTGAATCAGTGACCTGTAGTTTGCAAAAGAGTGTATCAGAAGAGTCAAGAAAGTGGACTCAGGGAGCTCCCAAGTGGAACAACCTTGGGCAAGTTACATAGTCTCTCTGAGCCTCAGTTTCCCTCCCTATAAAAGTAGGTAATGACAGCACCTACCTCATAAGAGTGCTTGAGGGCTGAGTGAGATCATGAATGAAAGCACTGAGAATCACAGCTGGCTCCTGGTATCCAGCGGTGCCTGCATTACTCTCAGAGGTCATGGAGCTACTGGGCCAGGGTAAGGGTGAAGTTGGTGGTTTATGGAGAGAGATTTAGTGTTGTTTAAAATCGACACTCCCTGCTTTGGCTTTTACAGGGATAGAGTTGATCGTAGAAGTTAATCTCTGTACTGCTCCCTTCCTCTTGCAGGAGATGGGTGGGAGTGAGATCAGGACGCCCACCCGTAGCTCTGGATGCATGGCAAAAGTAGTAACTCCATTTGGAGGTAGGGATTGGGCACAGTTAAATTGTTCTGCCTAATGAAACGGAAGGAGGTGGAGTGAGGAACAGGTTTCTAGAGGACTTCTGGGGAGGGAAGCAAAGGGGAAAATCCAGGGAAGAATGTAAGAAACAGAATCCTACAGAAAAAAGTGGCTGAATTTTTTTAGAACAAAGATGCTTAAAATTTATTTTTAAATCTCCTTCCTTCTATACAACCTTCACGTGAGCCTGCATCCTGTGGGTGTGTGCCTGTGTGTCAGTGTGGGTGTCTGTGTAGGTATATAGATACGTGCCCATGTGTGGCTGTGTCTGTGCAGATGTCTCTGTGTAGGGGTGTCTATGTGGATGTCTGTGTGTGTGGGGGGGTGTCTGTATGTTCACAAATGAAGGAAAAGGGGTTGGATTTCCTGGCTGGACTGACATGGTCCAGAACAGGACAGCATACGTGAGACTGGCCCTGATGATGTATGCACTGATGGATTTCAGCAGAAGTAGGATTTCAGAAGCAGAGTTCACTAGGAAAAGCCCCAGTCCTTGCCCTACCACATGCTCTGGAGAGCCCGGTGGCTGCAGGGCTTCCTGGGCAGGTGAGGTGAGTCTTGCGTCCACTTTACTTGCTCCTCCACCTCCACCTGTGTAGGCTGTGGAGGGACTGGCTGGGGACATCATCTGCCAGGTATAGGAAGGCACCATGTCCAGGAAGTCCCTTTCTACATTCAGCTGCATTTTTGCTCAGTAGGGGGGTCTGTGTGCCCCTTGTGGTAACTTTTCTACCTGCCTGGAGCACCAGTCTGAGGATGCTGTGGTTATGTGTGGTCGATCTTGGGAGCGAGAATGGTGATAGACCAGCCCCTGAGCTTAGGGAGGAAGTCCAGCAAATGAACAGGGTTTCTAGAAGGACCACTTGCAGTCCTTTCCCCATTCTCCGGGGTGTGCTAATATGTGGAAGGCCAGGGCCACCTCCTCTGGGGATTTCCTGAACCCCCTGCAGCAGTTGGGATCAGATGCATGGGAGTTAGACAGTCAGGGTATTTTGGAGGAGAGGTTGGCATGGCTGAGAGCCTTTTCGGCAGAGGACCTGGGGCAGAGTTGGTGGGTGACAGCCCCTCCCTAAAGAGAGAAGTGACCACATTCTGAACTGGTGTCTTTAAAGGGCCACCCCTCCTCTTCTCTCAAGATGATTCCAGAGCCCAAAAGCCTCTTCTAAGAGGAAAAGTTCTACGGATCTTAGAACTTTTGGAAGGAATACAGTAGTCTATTAAATGCAGGCCTTTGGATCTAAAGCCACAGTGATATGAAAATCTGTGCAGTCAAATGTACCCTTGAAAACCCCTTCAGTCACCCTTAAATCTCTAGAAACTGGTCTCTTCAAAATTCAGAAGCCAAACAGGAACTTACTTTTTAAAAGTCTGTTTTCTTTTGGGATCTGGCCTTTCCTGGAGTGGTAGAGGCCACAATCTAGTTTGAACTGGAAAGATAATGGGGTCAACAAAGAATGTTTATCTTCTTGCTGAGCAATATAGTTGAGTTTCATGAGTCAGATGCCCTTAGTGATGTGACTTCAGTAGAGTGTGAAGCAGGAGAAGGCAGTGAACCAAGAGGCAAGAGAACTTACTGGGTGGTCCAACAACGCTGCAAAGTAGTTGTGTGACCTTGAACAAGACGCTGCACCTCTCTGGATATAATTTTTCAAACTTCAGAACAAACTCTGAAAATATTTAGATGGGTAGGTAGATAGGTAGGTGGAGAGAGAGAGAGATGCCAGCTTCTTAAGAAATGTGTAATTTAGTGTTCCAAACAACACGAGAATGAGATGATTTCATAATTATGGTTTTCTAGTTACCCGTATTTTTCATGAGAGCTCCATTAGCAAGGAATCCAACTTTTCCCCCTTGACATTGTTGAATTGCATTATAAATGTCCAGAATTTATATACAAAGTGTTAAGCATATCCCATTTCAGGATTGAAATTAGCTAATATTTAAGACGTCTTCCTTGTCAATTAAGAACAATTCTTCCTAACAGTGAGGTAGGCATGGTGTGAGTCCTGATTAGTGGTTGCTCAGGGCTAGGTAGGAGGAAGAGGGTATAGGAGTTTGTGGCTAAGGGATATGGGGCTTCTTTTTGAAGTAATGAAAACTGTCTAATATTGACGACAGTGATGGTTGCACACATCTGTGTATATACTAAAACCACTGAATTCTGTCCTTTAAATGGATGAATTACAAGCCGTGTAAATTTTATCTCAATAAGGCAGTTTAAAATTTTTCAGTGAAGGCCAGGCATGGTGGCTCACGCCTATAATCCTAGCACTTTGGAGGCTGAGGCAGGTGAATCACCTGAGATCGGAGTTCAAGACCAGCCTGGCCAACATGGCAAAACCCCGTCTCAACTAAAAATAGAAAAATGAGCTGGGTGTGGCAGTGAGCACCTGTAATCCCAGCTACTCAGGAGGCTGAGGTAGGAGAATCGCTTGAACCCGGGAGGCAGAGGTTGCAGTGAGCCGAGATAGCACCACTGCACTCCAGCCTGGGCAAAAAGAGTGAAACTCTGTCTCCAAAATAATAATAATAATAATTAAAATTTTCAATGAAAAAGAGGGAAAAAAAGTTATTTCTAGATGGTTTTGCTTCTGTGCATGGGTCAGAAGCCAGCAGTTAGAAAACTGTAGTTATATTCATGGCTGTCATGGAAACAAGGCATGGGGGACTGGTCTTTGTCCCATTATTGCCTTTGGGCTCTTCAAGGACAAGCTGGAGCTTAACATACTGAAGTTGGAAAGAATTTCAGAGGTCATCTAAGGAAAGACTGTGCCAGCTACTCTCAGCATTTTGCTTAGCCAAACACTTCATCTCTGCTTTTACCAGGAACTTACACCTAAAGAGGAAAAGAATCCATGTGGGGGATATCTGTGGCACGGCCTGGGGGGACGGAAGGACTGGGGAAAGAATGCATTTGACCTGCGAACAGAAGGAGAGAGTAGAGTGACAACAGCTGCCTTGAAGTGTGGATGAAATGTTACATGCTTCTCACACCCAATGTGAGGCAACAAGCAAACTCTGAGTTAAAACAGGCAAAGACAGGTATGAGTCTAGAGAAGACAGCAAGAGGAAGGAAGGAAAGGAATCTGACAGGCATGGAACCTTCATCAGGATTTCATTCCACACTGAGTGCTTCCCAGTGGCCATCTCGTGTCATCCCTGCCTCGGCCCTACCTCAAAGGTAATATGCCATTTTCACAGATAAGAAAACCAAGGCTCAGAGGTGTGATGTAACTTTTCAGAGCCACTCAGTTGACAAGTGGGGAAACTGAGATTCAAGCATAAGATCTAGGGAGTCCTCACCAAGGTGGCCCTAAAGCAATCCTAGGAAAAGGGTCCGCCATAATCCACCCAGTTGCTCCAGCCAAAAACCTAAGACTCTTTCTTTTCTGATTTCTCTCTTCACACACACACACACACACACACACACACACACACACACATGTTGTCCTGCAGCTAGCCATCAACAAGCCAGGTTGAATCTAACTCCTTACCTGATCCCTCAAGGTCGTGCTTCTACCTGGCTTCACCTACCCTGCCCAACCTCATCCTGCACCATTCTCTGCCTGGTGCTTCCTCTTTCCCCAGTCCACTGGGAGGACAACTGTGCTTGCTCTGCCTCTGCCTCTGCCTGGATGCCTCTCCAGGTCTTCTCACTGGAGCCCTCCCCTTCAGGTCTCAGCTCAAGAGTCATCACCTCCCCAGAGGGACCTTCCTCGCAGCCCTGTGTAATATGGCCTCCTCCAAATACTTCCCATCACCATGACTACATAACAACTTTTTTACAGAAATTATTTTTTGCAGTTTATCTACATGTAGTCTTATGTGTTCCCTATTTCCCTAACTATAACCTAAGTCCATTGAACTCTCTCGCTCCCCGAGGTAGCCTCAGAACCTAGAAGGTAGCCCTGGAGCCTAAAAGGTGGTAGCTCCAGAGCCTTGCTCATGGAATATGCTCAAGGGAGGGAGGGTGAGAGAGAAGGTGGAAAGGTTTTCCCTCAGAAGAAAGAGAATCAAAGCAGACATTTCTATGGAGCAGAGGGCTCTGGGATGCTCTGGTTTTCGGCTTACTTGCTGTGGACATCTGCACATCTTTCTTATGCATTTGTCTCTACAGATATTTATTGAATGTTTTTTATTAAAAACAAAATCCACTTCTCAATGATTGAAGACAGATATCCTGGGACTCAGGAAATATGTATGCTAAAGTTTACATTTGACCATGAGGTGCAGTTATGAAGTCTGTTTCGGGATTGGGAGTGGGAAGGGGCAGATCAACTAGGAAAAGAAAAAAATCAGATGTATTTCAGTTTATACTAGGTACAACCATGTAGAAAGACAGCGAAATGAAGGAAATGATTCCTGCAATGGGGTACAGTGGAACCTCTGGTCCCTGCATGGTGCAGTGGAAGCTCCCACCACCTGGCCATGTTGTCCTCAGACTAGATCCACCCAACCTCTCACATGTGTAATGCAGGCATAAAGCATGAAAACCACGTGTCCACAGTTGGGACAACTGGTCTGTCACAGTGATCTCAGGTGATTCATGCATGGTGACGCTGAAGATGATGATAATAGGGCAATGGTCACTAGATGGTGCACACTTGAAATATGCTAATAGCGTACTTTCCTTGCATACATCTCATTTAGCCTCATTTGTACAATTTCTCCACACACATACACTCCACAAGATGGGAAACTTGCCTTCTTTACTATGAATCACCAACATCTAGAGTAACATCTGGCCTGTGGATGATGTTTAGGAATGAATTGTTGGGCAGATGGATAAAGAAGATGGGTCCACCAGCATGCAAGCTCTTCATGGAGGGGACTTGTCTGATTTACCACCACAAAGCTGATGCCTGCAAAATGCCTGGCATAAAATAAGTCCTCCATAAATATTTGCTGAATAAATGACTCTCCATTTCACAGATAAAGAAACTGAGGTCCAAAGATATTACATACCCTGCCCAAGGTAACATAGCCAGGAAGTGATGAAATGGTGATGATCTGGGCTCTTTATAGTAAGAAAAAGAGGATCTTTCTGGTTTCAGGGTGGGAGTAGGAAACTACATAGAATAGGGCAGGGGCAGGAGTGAGTTTGAGATACCCCACAACAAATGCCATAACTTGCTATGACAGCTGTAAGCAATATAATCTGTGGCCATAAAACAGCCCAGTGCTGGACTCCTGCACAAATCTGCCTTGGAACTGTCATACACTGTTTTAGTTCAGAGGAGCTGTTTGTTTTTTGTTTTGTCTTTGTTTTTTTTTTTTTTTTATTTGAGACAGAGTTTCACTTTTGTCGCCCAGGCTGGAGTGCAGTGGCGCTATCTCAGCTCACTGCAACCTCCGCCTGCGGGGTTCAAGCAATTATCTTGCCCCAGCCTCCCGCGTAGCTGGGACTACAGGCATGTGCCACCACGCTTGGCTATTTTTGTATTTTTAGTAGAGATGGGGTTTCACCATGTTGGCCAGGCTGGTCTTGAACTCCTGACTTCAGGTGATCCGCCTGCCTCAGCCTCCCAAAGTGCTAGGATTACAGGTGTCAGCCACCACGCCTGGCCTTGTCTTTGCTGTTTTTTGTTTGTTTGTTTGTTTAGACAGAGTCTCTCTCTGTTGCCCAGGCTGGAGTGCAGTGGCACGATCTCAGCTCACTGCAAACTCCGCCTCCTGGGTTCACACTATTCTCCTGCCTCAGCCTCCCGAATAGCTGGGACTACAGGCGCCTGCCACCACACCCGGCTAATTTTTTGTATTTTCAGTAGAGAAGGGGTTTCACCGTGTTAGCCAAGATGGTCTCGATCTCCTGACCTCATGATCCACCGGCCTCGGCCTCCCAAAGTGCTGGCGTTACAGGCGGGAGCCACTGCGCCCAGCCTTGTCTTTGCTTCTTAAAGGATGATGAGGAAGAAATTAGCTAAGCTTGCTGTTAATGAATCTTCCATCCCCATGAGAATGTTAGTTTTGAGAGCCCCAAAGTGAACCTGAGCCAAGTGTTCCCTTCCCGCTCTCCAGGAGCTGGGGCTGCTATAGGGGAAGAAAGCAAGTTCATGGAAACTGCACCTGTCACCAACAAATTCAAGGTGTCTCGTTCCCATTTATCAAGCTGTCAGCTCCTAACCTGTCAGAAAACCATCTAGATGTGTTTATCAGCCAGATTGAGCGGAGCAGCCCCATCCGGTTGCTTTTCTTGTTGATAGCTTTATGGCTGTTTTCAGGATGACCTGCAAGGGAGGGATTCTCTTCCTGCTGCTCTTTCCCTCAACAGGAGAAAAACAAAAACAAAGTCCTGCAATTTGGGGTAATGTAGATGTCAACAACAGAACCGCCTGTGGCCAAGGATTGCACAGGTTAGCTTTGTCTATTTTCGTCCAGTTAAACGCTGACTCCCGGGCAGTAGGCAGCTCAAAGTACAACATGTCAACTGAGGAGAAAATTAAAGCCAAAAACCTCTGCATAATTTATTCATCACAACCTAAAATTGACTCCCTGCTTGTCTGCATTCAGGTTGAGGCTCATTTAACTGCCTCCACTGTGTCTGTTTAAAGAGAAAATAGAGGAATTGGCTCAGTGGGGTAAGATAAACCAAACACAAAAACGCCCAACAGTTCTTTCATTTTACTCCTCACGTGACTTTGTTCCTCTCTGCTGGTTAAGATGAGAATGACTCTACATCAAAATGATTAATTATTATTATTACTTCAAGTTTGGTGTATCTTGCGGGGGAAAAATAATCTGGAATTTTTTCTGAACAAAACTCCTCCAGACCAAGTTGGAGGAAACTGCACCTATCACCAACAAATAGGCTTTGCCCTATTCGTAGACTCCACCTGGGTTTCCTTCTGCTTCTGAAGTCATCAGTGCACAGTAGACATTGTCAACATTTTATAGATGAAGATCAGAGAGGTACAGTAACTTACTCAAGGTCACACGGCTAGAAAGAGTCAGAGCTAAGACAGACCTAAGTCTGTCTGAGTCAAAGCCTTTAAATTTTCCTGAGTTTCATGTAGATCATGCTCAGTAGGGCAAAGACCTACAGAGGTGTGTAGCCAAGACAGTGTGAAGTTAGGAGATGAATTTGGTAAACAAGAGAGGATACTCTTAGCTTTAGAAGACCAGTTTTGGTTGACAGGTGAGGTGGGAGGCAGATTGCTACTGGATGAGCATGTTAAGTTTTATGTCATGTCTCCCCAGTGAGATTTTAAGCTCCTTGAAGACAGGTGCTTTCTAAGGGTATACACAAGTTCATAGGAGGATTCCCTTTGTAATGAACCCAACAGGGCCAGATACAAAGACACCTTCCAAAGTTGGCAGCGAGACTGTTGACAATGATGGCAGTGAAGAGTGGTGTCTGCCAAGGTGACAACAGGGATGGGATTCGTCTCTCTGCTGCTGTCCAAGTGTGAAGTCTGGAGCTCCTATGCCTGCCATATTTGGGAAGAGAAGGAGCTTGAATTCCAGGGTAACAGGGAGAGGCAATGAGAAGATTTACACGTTGTGTTGGGAGACCCAAGAAGAGTAATGATTAAGCAAGGGCATGGGAGGAGAGGGGGGCGCTAAGCTTGCTGATAAGGATGGTGCTGAGCAGTTGCCTTAGCCTTGCTGACCCGGGAAAGCAGAGGGGGAGATGACTGGAGAGAAGGAATGGCATATTTAATGGGAGGGGAGAGATAAATCATTCTTAATCTTTATGTTCAGGGAGGAGAATGGTAAGGAATCTTAAAAACCCACTCTCCTTTCCAAGGCCTGGGGAGAGCCATGAGGAAGGAATTTGAATGCCTGCCAGAGCAGGTGAGCAAAGCTTGGGAAGAGAATCTGGTGCAGGCACGAAAGTGCTAGCAGGAGGTACGAGAGTGTCTGAAATCTCTACTGGAGAGTGCAGACATCATCTTTTCTGCCAGCCTTGCATGGTGGGAAGTAGAGTGGGAACCCGAGGCTTTATTCTTCCTGCAGATGAAGGCTGACCACACCAGATATTGTGATTGTAGAGGGACAGGTGCAATGAAAGGAATGAAAAATCCCTCAAAGATTTGAGATGGGCCGGGCGCGGTGGCTCACGCCTGTAATCCCAGCACTTTGGGAGGCCGAGGCGGGCGGATCACGAGGTCAGGAGATCGAGACCATCCCGGCTAAAACGGTGAAACCCCGTCTCTACTAAAAATACAAAAAGATTAGCCGGGCGTAGTGGCGGGCGCCTGTAGTCCCAGCTACTTGGGAGGCTGAGGCAGGAGAATGGCGTGAACCCGGGAGGCGGAGCTTGCAGTGAGCCGAGATCCCGCCACTGCACTCCAGCCTGGGCGACAGAGCGAGACTCCGTCTCAAAAAAAAAAAAAAAAAAAAGATTTGAGATGGCAGTGCCAGAGGAATGCAAGGCAGCTTAGAAAAATTATGACGCAAGTGTTATATATTTACTGTAGAGAAGTTACATGAGACAGAGAAGCCAAAAAAGAAAAATAATTTAAACTCATGATTGTTCACCTAGAAATAATCACTAGCAATATTTTGGTGCAATTTTACCCCAGTGTGTGTCTCTCTTATATACACATGCACACACACATTTATAGCATTGGATTATACTATATGTACTCTTTGGAAACCTACCTTCTCACTTTAAAAATATATACAGAGCATTTTTCCAAATTCATAAATAACATCCTTTTTAATGGCTATTGTTCTTCCATTGTAGTAGGTGGGCCATGACAACTAGCTCCTACAGTTGGGAAATTTAGGTGGTTTTCAATTTTTTCCATCATCCAAAGTGCTCCAGGGAACATCCTTGTACATATATTTTTGGGGGGCTTTGTCATATTATTTCCTTAGGAGTAAAGCTCTTAAATAAAAAGTTATGTGCACGTTAAGAGCTTTTGAAATATATTGCCAAATTGCTCAACTGAAAGACATTACCGGTTTATATTCCTTCCAGAAATGCATGAGAGCACCTGTCTCTTTCTGTCCTCACGTTCATGGGGGATCATCATTTAACAAAATGGTAGATGCTGTTAAAGTTGGAGAGGCTGGAAGGAACACCATGACCTAACTCTGACTTGCATCTCTCTTGCAACTCTCCAGACAGAAGAGGAGTAGGCATGGGGGATATTTAGAGTGCCCAGAAATAGGTTTTGCAGAATCAAGCAACATTTTGGAGGATGCATTTAAGATATGTGTGAGGGCAGTGACTAGGAGATTCTCTCACCACCAGGTGTAATATGTAGACTCAAGAAGAAGCTTTTGTCCCCAGAGCTGACATTGTAAAGACAAGGAGGGCAGTCCCATGGTAGCATACCAAGAGGCAGCACTGGGATGGATCCCTTTAGTTCTCTTTCAGTCTCATACCTCCTGGTGCCCTGACCCAGGCTGCCCCTTCAATTCCAAGCAAAGTCCCAAAGCTTTGCCTTTCTCTTATAAAAAATCATGCTGGCTTCTAAAATTAAAAAAAAAAAAAAATCCAGCGAACCTCTCAGACTCTTCTAGGCAAATGATTGAACTTCATCTGGGTCCCATTTGAGAAGAGCAGGCATATAAAAATCTACATACATGGCACAGATAAGATCGAGAGCTCACCTGGGGAGACTTACAAGTGTTTCACATTCAAAGCACATGTCTCTAATGCTAATCAGATAACTGTAGAGTTTAATTCTTACATCTGGCACAAAACTCTTGCTTTTATGTTGCCTATTTTTTCCCGGAAGGTAATAAAATTCACAATCGTATCTCATAATCAATATAGCATCTCTTCAGGCACTTCTGCACATTATGACTGCCTAAGCTTTGGCCTGCTTAGGTAAGAGAACCACACGCTGTTGCTTATTTTTCCTTGTTGAGATACTCAGCTCTGAGGTCTTGCCATCTTGTGGCTTAGAAAGCAGATCTTGTTTCTCCCACTAAACAGGGTAGGATGAAGTACAGAGAGAGAGAGCGTGCGCTGGCATGAGTTCACAATTGGAGAGGTTGACACCTCACAGTACATCCTAACTGGGATTGTTGAGCTATTTACCTAGAAACCAGAAGCACCAACTCAGAATCAAGTGGAAAGTTTGCCCTCGGAGAGACAGTAAACTTTTAGGTGTCATTGCTGATAAGCGATAGAGAAGAATTCTGTCTGTACTTAGGGTAGGTGCATAATAGCAGTTTGCTACACTGGTATGTCAAAGTGCTGTTGGCATGAAGTTCATTTTGGATGAGCAAAAGATACACCAGAAGAGACCCATGTGTGAGTAGGCAGAACTCATATTTTCCTAAACTAACTTAATATTGGTCAAAATGCAATGAAAACCACAAAGATGTATTTTGGGGCTATATGGGCAAAGTAATTTAGTATTTTATAACTTTCTCAAGTTCATATTTGAGAGTAACAAGAGCAAAGGTCCCATCAAAGCCTGAACGTTTGCTCCTTAGCTATTATGATTTCAAAACCCATCTTTCTGTTTTAGATCCACTTAAAGTGAGTATCTTTCCTTGTTGAAGTGAGCAAAGTCGCCTAAACAACATGTTTATCTCTCAAATGCTAGGAGAATAGGCTTATATCTTAAGTTCTAACCATTTTTTCTTCCAATAGATATTTATAATCATAGGAGTTTTCTCTTTCATAGTACAGTACCCTAAATGAAGGAGATCATTTCTACCCTTTGAGAGTGACCCAGGTGAGCTCAATTGTTCTGAGATGAACAAAGTCCCACATACAGCATAGACTGTGCTGAGACAAGCAAGGTGCCCAGGGTGCACCATTTAAGGAGGCCCTCTCTCTTTCAGGGATGTGAGTGCTTCCTTAGAGATGTGCCCTGGGTGAGTCTCAGACACGTCTCCCTAGTCTTGGTTCTGGTCCTGGTTGTGACCTGCAGACTGCTTTTGGACACATCAACCATACCTACTATCTTTTAGAGCCTTCTTCACTGGAAATGTATTAAGGGCCCTAGTGGGCATCAGGAAATGTATTTTGCAATGTGTGCAGATGATACAGAGCAGGCATGCCTTATGGCAAAGGGGTCCCTTTGCTTATCTCCAGAGGGTTCACCTACTAACAACTGAGATTGACTGCAATTTCTTTGATGCTCATCCTGGCTTATGTTATATCTTTGCCTCAGTTATAACATTTGGGCCGAAAGATTCAAAACAAATTCTATTAGGTGACCCGAAGGCTGAAAGGTTGACTGTGTTTAACTGGATTATTTTACATTTTCTCAGTTTGTGCTTTATTTATACGCAGTAAGTTTCACTCAATCCACCTGACTTCTTACCTTTTGTCCAGCTTGAAAAATGAAATGAGTTTGGGCTTTGGCACTATGTGTTTCATAGGCTCCTAATCTCTCTTTGTATGTTTTGTTGGCCAATAATACGTAAAACTATGCCCCAGGCTTTCTTGAAGTGCATGTAAATATCTGCCTCTCTCTTATCTCCCATGGTAGTAATTCATCCAGGAAACTTACTTCCAACAGGTTAGGTATTAAACTCTCCCTCACATAAATCCACATTGGATGTCTCTGATCAAATTATAATTTTCAAAGTATTCCATCACTATGTCCAGTTAAATCGTTCCTAATATTTTCCCATGACTGGGTGACTTTTTAAAAAATCTTGATTGTGCTACAGAAGTGTTTTCCCAAATGCTTTATTAAGACTTGCACAAATGCTCACCATTTATCAGCAGGAAGTGTTTGCCTGCTTGGAGGAAAATCAAACTAGTAAATTATTTTATTTTATTTGCTTTTATGTAGCCCCCTGCATTTCTGTCCATTTGGGCTGCCTTCTTTGAGCTTGCTATTATAACTAGGGACAACTCCTCGTGGCCTCATAAATCATAATCGTTGATATTTATTGCTCAGTAGGTCTTTTAAAATCCAGTTGGAGGGGTTCCCTCCTCCCTTAAAACTCTGCCTTTTATTTTGCTTAAGGCACTATGGTAGGAAACTGAAACATATTTTCCTGGTTTTTACTTAAACTAAATGTAAGGCAAGCCTTATATAAAGCCAACAAAAGAGAGCCTGAGGTTTGAAGATGAAGGTCAGCCTCTTGGTCATTGATTCGACAAGTTCCAACCTGGCATTTGCAAGGGTTTGTCTCGCAGCAACTGCCTATCAGACGCCTATGATGGTCCAGACTCTGAATCAGGTACCTAACACACTGCTAGACAAGCAAGGCTTAGTCTCTGCCCTCGTAGAGTTGACAGTCTAATCCAGGGGTCACTGATCTTTTTCTGTAACACAGCAGATAGTAAATATTTTAGGCTTAGAATAGTCCCTGTCACAACCACTCACCTTTGCCTTGTGTGGTGAAAGCAGCCATAGACACTCTGTAAAGAAATGAGCATGAGGTTAGGCACAGTGCCTCATGCCTGTAATCCCAGCACTTTGGGAGGCCAAGGCAGGCAGAATGCTTGAAGTCAGGAGTTCAAGACCAGCCTGGCCAACGTGGAGAAACCTTGTCTCTACTAAAAATACAAAAATCAGCTGGGTGTGATGGTGCATGCCTGTAATCCCAGCTACTCAGGAGGCTGAGGCAGGAGAATTGCTTGAACCCAGGAGATGGAGGTTGCAGTAGGCCAGGATTGCACCATTGCACTCCAGCCTGGCCAAACAGTGAGTGAGACTCCATTTCGAAAAGAAAAGAAATAAGCATGAGTGACTGCATTCCAGTAAAACTTTATTTACAAAAACAGGGAGTGGGATCAGATTGGCCCCGTAGGCCATAGTTCGCCAACCCCTCGCCAAATGAAATAAAGAAGCAAAAAGCAAAAGTAAGTAAGAAACTAAATGTAATAATGACCATGTATGATCATTGCCATAAAAGAAACAAATGGGGTGCTGAGATGGACAGTTTCGGGGAGACTTGCTTTGGATGGAGTGATGGGGAAGGAACGGCTGCTGTGAAGAGATGTGATTTCAGCTGAGCCCTGAGGGAGGGGAGCAATCAGCAGTGTGAAGAGTGGGAAGGAGAGGATTTTAGGCAATGAGAACCACAGGTTCAAAGGCCCCAAGGAGGGAAAGTGCTTAGTGAGTCTAAGAGCTAAAAGGCAGCCACTGCGCCCACCTTTCATCCCTCCCAGCTTTCTTCATCCATGAAGTGGGATGTGTGGGAGTGTTGGTCTACCCCAGAGTCTGGTCATAAGAGCGCCAGCTCAGGCTGCCCTGGGGGGCCTCAGTGGGACTCCAGGGTATGGATAATGACCTTTCCTTTGGCCAACCAGGGGAGATGGGGGTTGGGCTCACTTTTTTTTTTTCTTTTCTTTTCTTTCTTCTACTTCTTAAGCAAAGACCTTTCATCAGCACACGGAATATAGAAAGCTTGCTCGGAATGTGTCAGGCTAAGCAAAAACACATGGTCTGGTTATATTCTCCTAAAATAGAGCAAGAGAAAGGCGGGAAACAGAACAGCCTCCCATAAATCATTATTTGTCTGGGGAAAAAGTCTCTGACAGATATGTGGGGTACCACTGTGTGTGTGTGTATGTGTGTGTGTGTGTGTGTGTGTGTTGTGGGGTGGGGGGTGTGGTTTGATTTCCAAGGCAGAATTTCACTGTCTGATCCTGTCTGGAGGGCAGAATGCTTGTGCTCTCCACATCTGGAAGCTGCATCTCCAGTGTGACCAGCCACTTGGGAGATGCCCTGAGCCTGTGGGACATTGAAGCCCACTCCCACCCCCACCCATGGGTACAGAAGCTGCCCAGAGATGCTGGTGGAGGCAGGATTCCAGCAGGTAGATCACCAGGGAATCTAGATGGAATCCATAGTTCTGCCCTGCAAGAATGCTGCAATTCTGTACCGTGGAGGAGCCAACAGAATCACCAGGCTCTGTGACTCAGTCACAACACCCTGACCTGCCCCTGTCCATTCTCCATATCATACCCAGAGTGGTCTTTTCAAAGCACAGCTTTGACCAATTCTCTGTCTTTCACACATACACACACACACACACACACACACACATGCGTGCATGCATGCCTGAAATAGTATAGTATTGCTCTTAAGATAAACATTAAAGTTCCTACCATGGTACAGAAAATATATGTAGTTAGGCCCCGTGGCTCTTTCTTTTCCAGACTCCTCTTACCCTTTTCTGCAACCACACAGAGCTTTTTACCAATTCTACTAACCCATCCTGCTTTCTGCACCACAGAGCCTTTGCACATACTATTCTCTCTGCACAGAAGGTTCTGTTCCCTGGTACCGGTTCACCTTGTTCTCAGATCAAGCATCTGCCTTCCTCATTAGGTCAATTTTCTCTAAACTCCTATAACACTCACATTTTGTCTTCAACGTACTTATTGCTATTATAGTTTTATATTATTTGCTTGTATTATTAATGTTGGTTAATCTTTGATTAATATGGGCTCTCACCTCCCACTCTCACCCTGCTCATCAGTCTTGGTGCAAGAAACAGCATAGAGTCTGTCTACAGCTTTTAGTTTTGTTAATTTTATTTTCATTTTGTTATGTTTGTTCATCAGTGCACTCAGACCATGTCTGGTACATGGCTGAAATAAAATACATGTCTTTTGAATGAATGAGTGGATGTGCTGGCTATTTCTTCCTGCAGTGGGCACCTGTGTAGTCTTTAGTAATTATGTCCTGTTACCTAGGGGTTTCCTCTCTACCAGGGCTTTGATCCAGTCAAAGACGCAGTGGTCTCTCACTGGATATTTTAGCAGTGAAGGGGGAAAGGGGAGGTAAGGAATGGCCATGCCTTCTGGGAATGAAGATTTTCTGAGCTGGAGGGGATGTTAGAGATTATCCATGGACTCCTCATTACACAGGTGAGGAGATGGAGCTTTTTAAAGGTCAATGGCTGGTTAGATTACTAGCCATCTTTACAGTCCAAATTGTCAGTTCTTAGGACACAGGCTCTTGCCAAAAGCCTTGCTTCCTGGCCCCTAGCCTCAGTCCAAGATCTTTCCTGAGTACAATGCCCCCACTTTTATTCCTTAAGTAAGATTAGTGTTGGCAAACTAATAAAGCTCCAGCTTTAGGTTCTATGACTGCAAAACCCTGCTGGAGCCCCAGATAGCTTCCTTTCACCAATCATAACTCGGGTTTGTGTTGCTGGCCCTGCCTTAGAATCTTAGCATTATCTGGGACACTGAGGAAGCAGCCACCACTTCCTGTCATTGAGCTGTCATCCAACCCAAGAAGGTAACTTCGGCCAGGGTGGTTTCATTTTGGACTCACACTAATAAGAACATGCCTCCTGTCATGGAATGACATGAATGATCATGGCACTTTGGAGTCAAATAGGCCTGAGTTTGAATCCCAGCTCTGCCACTTAAATCTGTGTGATCTTAAACAATTTACTATAATCCTAGAGCCTGAGCTTCCTCTGCATGTAAAGGAGATATGGGATTGTACCTCGTTTGGTTGTTATGATGATTAATGAAACCAATCACACCAAACACTTAGAACAATTCCTGGCATATAGTAGGCATTTAATACATAGTTTAAATTCTTTCTTTTCAAAAACTTTGTAATTCAGAGAAGAGGCATGGCTCCTTAACTTCTGCCTTCTGGATTCTATGCACTCATCTATGTGTGCATACATTAACCAGAGAATCACCAAGCACCGACTATTACCTGCCATGCAGTACGCCAGGTACCATAGGTACAGAGGAGAATGAGTAAGACATGGCCCCTGCCCTCCTACAGTTTAAATCCAAAAGGCAAGACAGTCATTTGACCATGCTACATAGACAATATACAACAGAATACCTGAGACTCTCTGGAGCCACCAGCCATGTTATATGGCTAAAATTCAGGACTCTGGAGCCTGCCTGCCCATGACTGATTCCTGGCTCTGCCTCTTACTGCTGTGCCTCCTTGGGCAAGTTAACCTCCCTGAGCCTTCGTTCCCTTAGCGCTAAAGTGAGGATGATAGTAGTTCCTACCTCACAGGACTGTTAGAAGTGTCCAGGCACCTCACAGTGCCTGGCACCCTGTGAGAACTCGGTAAATGTTGGCCATTATCATCTGGGATGGCACGAAATGCCACAGCCAGGGTCCTGAATGTCTCAATTCAGCAAAGGAGAAGCAACTCCAAGCTGACTCCCAGCTTGGGAGGGAAGACAAAGAGTTGGGGCCTGGGAGCTACAGAAGAACTGAGCAGCTGTGTCCTCAAGCTCCAGACGCCCTCTTCCCACGTCACTTAGGATGGATTCCTGGCCCCCACACCTGAAGTTCTGTTCTGGAGAGACCACCTACTCCAGGCAGCCTGGAGGCGGGGCCTGTGACAGGTGGTTTCTCATAATGTGAACAACTGACACTGTGTTTGCTTTTTCTTCCACTTATAGATGCTTTATCCTGCACAGACGCAGACAATGAGGCACAATGGGCTCTCCAGGGTGGTTTTCACGTGTGGGATATTTTCTTATACAGGTTTGATCACACAGTCCTGTCAACACAGACAGGGCCTTTCTTTCCCCTGATGAGCTCCATCTGGCTTTGAACACCTGTCAGAACCTAGGATGTTATTCTTGGAAGAGACTTTAAGTTCTCTATAGCACAGGCATACCCCCTCACTTACAGATGGATAAACTGAGGCCCAGAGTGAGACATAACTTGCACAAAGTCACAAGTTGGCATCAGAGCCAGGATTAAAACCCAGGCTTTGAAGTTCTCAGATATGTGGTATTTCTAATTCGCCATTTCTACATGCTATTTCCATTACTGTGTATAAGGCTTAAGGCTGAAAAGCAACCACATTCTTTTCAAATCTCAGCCCAGATTGACTGACTGGAGTCGTCTGCCAGGAAGGGTGGCATGGCCACATTCAGCTCCTGAAGGAAAGAGCTGTCATCGATTAGCAATGCCTGCCATGCATAGGAGATGGGGGAGCCCCCTGTAGCACACATTCATTACCCTTGGCCAGGTGGAAGTAAAAGGGGTACCATACCACTCATGGTGGAGGTTCATTCATAAGCCATGGATAGGAAGGAGATCCAAGGGGTTAGGTTAGATTATGTATTGGGAGGGAGAAGGATGGAGTTTGGAGAAAAGAATGTCGGTACACATGACACCTTCTTCCACCACAGCACACACAAACCATTGAATTGCCCCTTGCAGGTGACCTTCTGATCTCTTCCCGAAACCCTCTTCTCTCTCTAGGGGGAAAAGTCTTCCCAATCTATATCAAAGAACTGTCATGGATTGTGTCAAAGATTGTGGTAGATGTGAAAGGTGGAAGTGTCATATGGTGATTAAGGGCATAGTCTGTGCAGGCAGAGAGTTCTGGGTTTGAACACCAGGTTTTCACTTGATAGTTGGCTTACATTATCATTTAATCTCTTTGGGGCTCAGCTTTCTATCTGTAAAGTGGGGATGACAATACATCTTTCACAGGTTTCTGTGAGGATTAAGAGAGAATGCATATAAAACCTGGAGGACAGTGGCTGACATATAATAAATTCTCAAAAAACTGGCAGCTGGACATGAATATATCTTTAAAATACAAAATGCCATGCAGTTTCCTCAAGCAGTTGACCATTCATAAACTATCCTTCCAGTTAGATACTGATGTGCATGTATAATGAGGTCCTTGAAACCCTATTCACCACTAGGAGGTTTTCTGAATCCGTGATAGCTTTAAAAAACTTTCAGTGCTAAGTGGATTTTCTTACATCCTAATCCTTTGAAATATATGATGAGTAAATGGTTTATAGGGTCACCATATATGGTTAATAAGAATGCTTCATTTATCACACTACTCTATCCACTCAATATACTGGAGTTATCTTAGTGGCAGGTATGAAGGCAACAATTCTTAACAGTCCCTCAAAAACATTTCAGAAAGACATTTGGGTAGTGGAGAGAGAAAATGAAATAGTTTGATGATGATTCCTATGTTTTAATATTTGGTTAATGATGTTTCATTAACCAAACTGGGTTGTTTTATAGAACCCCCACCCCAATGCATGAGTTGAACGACTCGGGACTCAGAGTGGTTAAGTGACTTGGATAAGGTCATGCGGTGAGTAAGTAGCTGAAGCAGATCTAGCAGCGGTGGCACCTGTGGCCCTCCCGCCCCCAACACATACACAGTGGAGGGTGCAACAGAATCACCGGAGGAGCTTGTTAAAAACACACACCCAGGACCCTGTCAGCAGAACCTCTTGTAGGGGTGGGGCCTGGAAGCTGTCTGCTTTGACCAGCTCCACAAGTGATTCTGAGACACAACCAGGCTTGGCAACCATTGCTAGGCCCTGGCTATTCAAAGCGGGCCTGGGAACCAGCAGCATCAGCGTCACCTGAGCTTGCCAGAAATGCAGGGTCCTGGGCCTCACCCCAGACCTCCTATACCAGAATCTGCATGTTCAGAGGATCCCCTGGGGGATGTATGTCCAAAGTGATGTCTGAGTCACTTTGGTCTACAAGACACAGAAACACGAAGCCTTTCACAGCCAGTTCCAAGGTCAACACACTAAAATGGGCTGAAGGGGCTGGGCACAGTGGCTCTTGCCTGTAATGCCAGCACTTTGGAAGTCCAAAGCAGAAGATCACTTGAGGTCAGGAGTTCAAGACCACCCTGGCCAACATAGCCAGACCCCCACCTCTATTTTTTTTTTTTTTTTTGAGACAGACTTTTGCTCTTGTTGCCCAGGCTGGAGTGCAGTGGCACCATCTCAGGTCACTGCAACCTCTGCCTCCCAGGTTCCAGCGATTCTCCTGCCGCAGCCTCCAGAGTAGCTGGGATTATAGGCACCCGCCACCACGCCCAGCTAATTTTTGTATTTTGAGTAGAGACGGGGTTTCACCATGTTGGTCAGGCTGCTCTCGAACTCCTGACCTCAGGTGATCCACCTGCCTCGGCCTCCCAAAGTGCTGGGATTACAGGTGTGAGCCACTGCCTTTTTTTTTTTAAAGTGGATGTGGAGGCTGAGATTAATAATGCCTTGAGGTGAAGAGAATATGCAGACCTGGGATGAGGTAAAATTAGGCCTTGATCTTGTGGGTATCTCAGCAGTATTTCAAAATCTTGCTACCTTCTGATTCTTTTTGTTGTTGTTTGTTTTGATGGAGTGTCACTCTGTCACCAGGCTGGAGTGCAGTGGCGCTATCTCGGCTCACTGCAACCTCTGCCTCCTGGGTTCAAGTGATTCTTCTGCCTCAGCCTCCCAAGCAGCTGGACTACAGGCGCCCGCCACCACGGCCAGCTAATTTTTGTGTTTTTAGTAGAGATGGGGTTTCACCACGTTGGCCAGGCTGGTCTCTGTCTCTTGACCTCCTGATCTGCCCGCCTTGGCCTCCCAATGTGCTGGGATTACAGATGTGAGCCACCATGCCTGGCCCCCTCTGTGATTCTTTATGAATCAGCTGGTTGAGCCTTCTCATTGTAGGTAAAAGGTAATTTGATTTTTTTTAATAAACCTAAATATTTCATCATATATACTTTGTGTCAGTCTTACTTACTATTGCCTACATAAATGTAGACAGTTTTCTCCAAGCTGTCCTTTTCTCACATACGGAGAACATCTTTACCTTAACTTTCTAGTACTCCGATTTCTCAGAGATGCTACTGGCCTTTTATGCCCTTTAGAATAACGGGCTGGTTTTGAAGATGACTTTTGTTCTAATGTTACTTTCAACATTGGATATATGTGAAGTGGGAGATAGACAACCTTTACCTTCAAGATAAGGTGGGAAGGAATTGATTTCTCTCTGGGAAAGTTTATTGCTTATTTTCTAGTTTCACAAGTGCTATTTGTCTATATTTTCCCCTTTAAAACTCAAAATGAGTTTTGCTTGTTGATGGTGGGGCTGCATCCAGAGTTTGGATTGGACCAGACCACCCAATCACTGCCCTTCATTTTGCCGCTATGGACACAGCCCAGATGCTTGTTGGCTGGTCTCCATCTTTTAGCACTGGAAGACCATATTCAGCAGGCATGGCATCCCTGAGCCTGAAGTCGTAGCTCCTAATGGAGATACTCTGGTGGGGGCAGGAAGGGAGATTCCATCACATGTCACAATGCAAAATTTAAACAGACTCACCATTAGAGATCTCCTCCCTGTGGGTACTCTGTGGGGCCTCATCTCCCTCCTTGGCCTCAACACAGTCTTTCAATTCCCAGCTCTTAGCCTGGGCCTTTTGGCAGTGGGCCTAAGGCCATTGTGCTTTCTGGGCTCAACAAAGACTTGGAAGTTGGTTCCACAGTGACAGGTCTCCCAAGCCTGCCCCCTTGCAGGCACCAGTTCACCTGCCATCGGGTGGGTACTGGAGTGTGTCCACCAGGGCCATGGGGTTTGAGCTCATTCCTTCCCCATGGCTTAGGTTCCTAGACCAGCCTAACCCATAGAAGAGACTCAGCAAACACCTGCAGCCTGAACGAGTGAACAGGCTGAGCCTGTTGGTGGTGAGGAAAAGAGGAGAAGCAGAGCTGTGGGGAGGGAGAGTGGGGAGCAATTGAGTCCTAACCATTAATATTCGCAACCTAGAGAAGGCAGCCACACAGTCCCCCTTGGGAGAGCCTCTAGGGAGCACTGCTGTCTAACCTGCAAAAATAGAAAAATAATTTTCTTTTCAAAAATGCCACACTACCCAATTGATTTGCTAATGGGTTCTGGCAGCCTTTGTATTAGTCTAAGCAGCCATTCAGACCACCATTGACAATGTCAAACTTATAAATTGCTCTTGTTGAAATCTGTACATCAAAATTAAATAGGCAACACCCGGTAAGCTGGGCCTCACCCCCACCCCACCCCCACCACCCCCCAACATCAGGAAGGCCAGGAGTGCCTCTAGGTGGCCTGGGCTGTGTAGCCAGGGAACAGGCCTTCCTCCAGAATGCCCAAAGACATTCTGAAGTCTCTGGAAGAAAAGGTCAAGGAATGAGGCCGGAACCTGGAAGGCTTTGGACGTAAGGCTAAATCTGACACATAGACACGTTTCTTAAAGTTTTCACCATTAAAACTCCAGAGCTTTCATTTTGCTTGAAAACTCAGAAGATCTGGCCACTGTGACCTGCATTCTCTCAAGGCAACAATCAGCTAGAACTGTCCTCTTTAAACAATCTCTTTACTCATCAGTTTACCAAACAATTGCTTTCCTGCCAGCCACTTCCCCCTCCTGCCTTACCTGCCTGGCCCCAATTAGCCTGAGTTTGAGCTCCCTCAGTGCTAGGGTCTTAGGCTTTGGAGACAGAAGACCTTGGCTTCAAATGACGTTGGAAAGGCTACATCCTTTCTTCACGTGTTACTTGTCTCATCTGTAAAATGGAAATATTTTTGTAATCTTGAAGTACTTTGTTGATTAATGGATAGATTATCTCCAGGATCCTGCTTTGCAGGAGCTAACCAGCTTTGAGCTGTGAGCCGGGAATCTGACAGGTGTTAGGAGTAAGTGTTCTTCCTTTACTCTCGGAGAGTCCTAGTGTTTATGCTCCCCAGGCCCCACCTAAAACTAAGCCAGTGTTTCTAACAAATAATTGCTATTCATTATATATATAATTATATATTAATGATTATAATAGCTAACCATTTTGGAGAGCCTCATATGTGCCAGATACAGTCCTCTCACATTGTGTCCATTATCTGTGCTCCCCTCCTCCAGCCCGATATCATTTGGGGTAATTATTCCCAGTTTGTCGCTAAGTGGTTAGGGTTCAGGAGGGTAAGTAACCTGCCCAAGGTCAAATACTCTGAAGAAGCCAGTGCCAAAGCATTCTGCCCCCCTTCTTGCCTCCTTCCTCCCGACGCTTGATCATCTAGAATAAGACCATTTTCCATGAACTGTTGGGCTCTGGAGTGACACTTGTTTCCCCCCAGCAGAAATGACACCTTTGAAGTAAAATGTCTCAGTTCCCAGCTCCACAGGAAAAGCCTATTTGGGGGCCCATTATGACTGTATTCTAGAAGTCGTCAACTCAGATGCTTAAATATAGCATTTCTTCAGTGCTCAGCCGCCGGCAGCAGTGAAAACATTTTGAAGGGCAAATAAATATTTATGTATGAGAGCTCTTTGTGCACAGTAAATGTTTGATTCTGTTGCCCCAATTCCCTGGGCCGAGAGTAAATTATGGAGCCCAAAAGAGAGTGTGGGTGAGAATATGCTTTCAGCGCCTACCTTCATCCAGCAAGGCTATATCAAGCATCTGCCACGGATGTGCCAGGCACTGGGCTCTGCCAGGCACTGGGCTCTGCAGCAGTGGTAACAGGCTATAAAGTGCTTCTCTGTGCCTGGAGACCTATACAGTGCTTTGCACCAATTATCTTACTTAATTGCCACAGCCTTGTGAGATAGTTATCATTAGCTTCACGTTACGGAGGAGAACCAGCTGTGTGTTCCTATTTCTAAGTGATCTGTTGTATAAAGACATGGGCCAAGAATGTAATATTCTGACATATTCTCCCTTTCCCCACGAAACTGTAGGCTCATTGAGGAGTAATGGATGATCATAGTAGCTAAGATGCTGTTAAGTCCTTCCTGGGTGGTAGGCCCTTTACTAAGCACTTCCTATTTCTTTGAATCCTCACAACGGCACTGATGAGATGGGCATAGTAAATTGCTCAGAAATAGCTGCTAAGTCAATGCATGAAGGTCGCACTGATTTGCTTGCAGCCATGGGCGTGGAAGAAGCATCCATTTGGGTTATACTGACCAAGAATCTCTCTCCATGACCAAACTCTAGTCAGGATCCTTTGAGTCCTGTTCCCAACTAGGCCTTGACTTTGGGACTTTCATGTATAATTTTTGCAAGAATCCTACTAAGCCTGTTTAGCCGGAATCCTCCACCCTTGATATCTGGTCAAGGTCCTCATCCTCCACAATCCCCCAGGTGATGTCTGGTCTCCCCGACCCGTCCTCAGCAAAAACCTTGTTAGGTGGCTTTAGCCAGAACCCCCTTCACCCCTGATGTGTGTTCTTGGTCATTTTCCATCTGCTGACGCCCTCCCTGCTCTTTGGCTATAAACCCCCACCTGCCCACACTGTATTCAGAGTTGAGCCCAATCTCTCTCCCCGACTGCGAAACCTCATTGCTGTGGTCCCACACCCATCGCAATGGTCCTGAATAAAAGGGTCATGAATAACTTTTATCTTTAACAAGGCCTAATCTCTGGAAAAAGTACAAGAGCAGACAGCCTCCAATTGGGTCAGCCCATTCATGGGTTTGTCCACTCTCTTTGTTTCCTCTCACTTTTCCTTTTCTCACTACCCTTGCCCTTTCTTTCTTCTTCATGGTAGTTCCTTTTGCCTTTTGTTCTCTCCCTCTCTGTCTTTTTTTTTTTTTTTTAAATCCCTTTGCCTTCTCCCCTCTTTTTTTTTTTTTTTTTTTTGGCATTTTCCCTTCTTCTCTGAGATTGTGGGGAAATGTTGGAGGGGACTTCTGAGGGTGACAGGGCCGGGTGCCTGGTGCAGAATGCAGCCACTTGGGGGAAGTAATACCAGATGTGACGCTGGTGCCAACAATCAGCCTGAAATGTAAACGTGAGCTGAGCTCCAGTAATAAACCTCTTACAGCTGGAGCACCAGGAATGCCAGAAAAGAGGAACGAGGCCTTGCTTCTTAACTCAGGATGGATCAAAATCTGGTCTTTGCATATATTTATGCCCACAGCATCCTATTTTGCGTTTTCAGAAAGGTGATCCGTCTTCTCCCAAGTTTATTGGAGGCGGTTTTCCAACACCACTTTTAAAATATTACAGGCGGCCCCATGATGCATGGCTTCGTTTATAACCCACAGCACTTGCGATCTTTGGGGGAATATTTCTCATTAAATCTATTTCCTAACTCTTTGTAGCTGCCTCCTACTTCCCCAGGAAACTCTAGAAGATTCAAGACAGGCTTGAGCAGCCAGGCGAGGTGGGGATCCAGGGCGGTAAGCATGGATGCTAGGGATGAGGGAAGTCAGAGTGACCTTCCCACTTTGTTTCTCTGGGGTGGCACCATATATTTCTTACATCCCTAACAGCCCTGTGCATCAAAGACCTTAAATCATGGGTGTCTTTACTCTGCATCTTTCTTTGGCAGAGGTCTCTCTTCATGAGACAGTTTTATAGGGATAGACAGAGACAGGAACAGATGAGCCTTGGCCTGGATCAGGCTTTGGTCAGCAGGAACCTCCTTATTATGAAGAGGGTTCCCTTCTAGAAGGAGTAGGGCAGGAGCTCATTTCTTGGATTTTCCCATCAAATGCTGCAACTCCTTCCTATTGTCAAAAGCAACATTTTTCTTACTAATAAAAATTGTTTATAGCTGGGAATCAGTTGTTGCTGTAACCAGTGTTGACATTAAGTCACTATGCCTTAAATACTAGGCCAAGTATTTGTAAGGGTTTCACAAGAACCTTCGTGCTTTGACCATTTGAAAGAAAACACTGGTGCTAGTCTCTTGCAGAATGCTGGCAGAAAAACATAGCCTGAACCCACCTCCCCCACCCAGTGGCTGTCCTTGCCTGATCTTCTACCTGGGGCCAATTTTTCTCCTTGTGACTGTTATCTCCTGAGATAAAGGGACAGAACCTTATGTATAATATTCCCTTTCCCTGCCCCCCATGGCTTAGATGTGCTGTATGCTGAATCTATAAGATGCACTATAACTCACTGAAATTAAATAGATTTGATGGGTTTTGTTTTGTTTCGTGTTTTGAGACAGTCTTGCTCTGTCGCCCAGGCTGGAGTGCAGTGGTGCAATCTTGGCTCACTGCAACCTCCACCTCCCAGGTTCAAGCAATTCTCCTGCCTCATCCTCCTGAGTAGCCGGGATTACAGGCAGCTGTCACCATGCCTGGCTAATTTTCATATTTTTAGTAGAGATGGGATTTCACCATGTTGCCAGGCTGGTCTCCAACTCCTGACCTCAAGTAATCCACCAGCCTTGGCCTCCCAAAGTGCTGGGATTACAGGCATGAGCCACTGTGCCTGGCTCAGGTTTGGTGTTTGTTTTCATATTTATATATCGAATTGTGAAGGCTAGTATGCAACTTATGGAATCCGACACTGTGCTGAGCCATGAGAGGCAGATAAATCATTTATATACTGGGCAATTGCAACTGCCATTTTGGTCAGCGTATGTGCAGGGTGAGTCTGAGGTAAAAACATGAATCTGCTCTTCAGACCTACTTTCACATCCTTACGTGGTAATGTTTTGAGGCAGGTATTTTTTTGTAAAATGGGTTTTCCCCCTCTTTATTATGTTTTGTAACAGAAGTTCAGCAAACTATGGCCTGGGAAACTGGCCCCTAGGCCAAGTCTGGCCCACAGAATGTTTCTGTAAATAAAGTTTTATCGAAACAGAGTTCATTCATTTGGTACTATCAATGGCTGCTTTTTTCCTAGAAACAGAATTGAGTGGCAACAGAGACTGTGTATGTTGCCCACAAAGGCTAAAGTATTGACTGGCCTTCTAAGAAAACGTTTCTCTTCCTCTGCTCTATATATTAACATGCACATATGACTATGCAGAGCTTGTTTTGTTCCACTGGGGCTCTTATAATAAAATACCATAGACTGGGTGACTTAGAACTTCAGAAACTTACTCTTCACAGTTCTGGAGGTTAGAAGTGTAAGATCAAAGCTCCAGCGGATTTGGTGTCTGTTGAGGGTGTTTCCTGGATCATAGAAGGTGCCTTCCAGCTACTTCCTCACATGGAGGAAGGGACAAGGCAGCTCTCTGGGGTCCCTTTTATAAGGGCACAATTTCATTCATGAGCATTCCTCCCTCATGACCTAATCACCTCCCAAACTCCCCACCTCTAAATAGCATCACATTAGTGATTAGGCCTCTACAGATGAATTTGGGCGGGGTGGGGTGGGAAATAAATATTTAGACCACAGCAGACTGTATGTATATTCAAAGCCATCCAATGCTGTATTTTTTCAGTGGTTTAAGGAACTTTCAAGGGTAATTTTAACTAGCTGTGACCTCACCTTACACACTGGTTTCTGAATCTAAACCTAGAAAAGATTCATCTTGGCCAGGCATGGTGGCTCACACCTGTAATCCCAGCACTTTGGGAGGCTGAGGTGGGTGGATCACTTGAGTCCAGGACTTTGAGACCATCCTGAGTAACATAGTGAGAGCCCATTTCTACAAAAAATTAGCTGGGTGTGGTGGCGTGTGTCTGTTGTCCTAGCTACTAGGGAGGATGAGGTGGGAGAATCACCTGAGCCCAGGAAGTTGAGGCTGCAGTGAGCCGTAATCTCGCGCCATGCACTCTAGCCTGGGCGACACAGCGAGCCCCTGCCTCAAAAAAAACAAGACAAAAAATTCATTTTTACTGTTGTATATTTGACAGTTGTTCTTTGGGTCTTTTGTCTACATGGGTCAGCTGTTTTTGGCCTTGTGTATCTAGTCACAGCACACACTTTTGAAAGATCTCTGTAAGGAATCTTTCTCTGGAGGATAGGCTGGCTATAATAAGAGTGAAACCATCTCTGTGATACGTTCCCAGGACTGAGATTTCATGGAACCACATGTGTATGACATACCACAGATATGAACTTCATGGAGCCCCCAGTTGCTTTGAATTTCTCATGGTCTCATTCCTCCTGGACTGTCTGCAAAGACGCTGAACGGTCCCCATGACTGCAGGATTCTCTGTGGCCCATGCTCAGTGACACTTACTGGAAGGGAAGCTTAGCTTAACCAAATCCAGTCAGGTTTGCCTGGAGATAAGAGCCTCAGAACACCCGCAGGTGAAACTCCGTTCACCCCACAGGTCAGCTTGTTCAGGGGTGAGCTGACCTGACTGTTAGAGTCCCCAGACACACTCATGAAAAATACAGATGCTCATATGCCCCAGGAAGTTCTGATCCTGGAGAGGTGGGGTGGGCATAGGCATCTGTGTTTTTAACGACCTCTGCAGAAGAGCCTGAAGGGCAGCCAGGTGTGGGAACTGCTAAGCTAGTCCACACTCCTCCCTTCATAGCTCAGGAAGACACACCCAAAGTTGACTCAGCAGATGACCAGAAAGGACCAAATCCCAGGCCCTGACAATTAGTCCCCACCAATGATTTCCAAACCCACTTTAGCAGAGCCCTGCGGTGCTCACAGATGTCTTTGACACTATCCTGGGTAAGAGAATAACCCGGGGGCAGCCCTAATAACAGAGTTCTGGCCTTCTTCATGGTTAATCAGAATCCATGTATATGCTTTAAATATTGGGGTCACATTAGACTTTGTTCCTAGAGCAAGAGCTGCTGAGACAAACAACTGCTAATGGGGGAAAAAAATACAATTGAAATTCTCAGCCCTGCATCTTGCAGTGAAATCAATCCACCAAAGCTTCCTTTTCTTAAAAATCTCCAGAAAGGGAAAATTCCACAACTTACACCTGCCTCAGAAGGACTTGCAAAGTGTCTCCCGACCTCACAATCATTTCTCTCAGGTGCTGAGAGGGAGTTTCTACCTGCAGCCTCACATCCATCTGCAGCCCCCTCAGGCTCCGGCTCTGTTCTCTGTATGCACCTAAATCACATGACACCTAAACCCTGCCTGTTCCAACGGAGCCTCTTCCTTCGCTGAGTCTCCTCTGAACCCAAAAATCCACAGCCCCCGTTTGCTGTGGGGGCTTCTGTTGCCCTTCTGTTGCCATGACTATTAATAGTGGGCAAGCACCCACTGTGTGCCAGGCAGTGCATCAGGCCCCGGACAAGGCAGGGGTGTTGCTGGGGTGGCGCGTCAGGTCCGGCAGAGAAGGGAAAGTGTGGCACACAGTCATTCACTGCCCTTCCTGTGGGTGGCAGTTTTCAGGATAATAATAAAAACAACTTGGCCAGGCATGGTGGCTCAGGCCTGTAATCCCAGCACTTTGGGAGGCTGAGGTGGGCGGATCACTTGAGGTCAGGAGTTTGAGACCAGCCTGGCCAACATGGCGAGACCCCCATCTCTACTAAAAATACAAAAATTAGCCGGGTGTGGTGGTGCATGCCTGTCATCCCAGCTTCTCAGGAGGCTGAGGCAGGAGAGTTTTGAACCCAGGAGACAGAGGTTGCAGTGAGCCAAGATCGAGATTGTACCACTGCACTCCAGCCTGAGTGACATAGCAAGACTCCATCTCAAAAAAGAAAAAAACAAAACAACAACAACAAAAAAACTACCTTTCAGGCTCTCCTTCCCCATTATTGCCCAGCCCCAGCCCTTGGGTCTGCATCCAGCCTCAGGCCCTGCATGTGGGGCACATTCTTCCAGGAGGATTCCACCAAGCCAGCTCAGTGTATGAAGAACCAGGCCCCCACTTTTCACACTGGCAGCCCTGGTGCCTCTGTCAGCCAGGACCCAGGTGGCCCTGCCCCTGACCTGGGCACAGCTGTGGGGCAGAAATCCTCAAGGCCCACCACCCCAGCCTGTTTTTTTTCTTCCTATGCCTCCTTTTTGGGCCACAGTCCCATGCAACATCTCTGCACTGCCACCTCCTGGCCAAAGAGAGCAGTGAGCAGGGGCCTGGGGGAGTGGAGTCCAGGCACCAGGGCGGCAGACGGTGGCTCTCCCTGCAGCTCCCGAGGGACCCAGGGAACATCCCAGAGTGCAGTCTGCAGAGATGACACCCACAGGCCAGGGAAAGGTGATGGGCAGCATCAGCCCAAATGTTCCCCCAGAAAAGTCCCCAGCAGAGGCAAGCATCTGTTTTTTCTCTCGTTGCATTTCTCTTTCAGCCTTTTAGTTTATATTGCCCTTGGTTTCTGTTTAAATGTTTAAATACTTGCATATTTATGTGTGTGTGTGTAGGATCTAATTCCTTTTGTGCAGTGTATGTTTCTTACTTCCATAGACAATACTGACTTTCTCATGCAGATCAAAACAAAGGGGACACCACAATATATAGAAACTAGAAAATGCTAGTGTGAGACATAATAGTAATAATAACAATACACCCCCATACATTCACCATTTAATTGTGAAATCTTTTCTCTTTGAAAAAAAGACTGAGCTAATTTTTAGTTCCAGAAACCTGTTCTCTATCATCAGATGGAGCTGATAAAAGGCTTTGCAAATGGAGAGGTGTTCGAAGGGGAGGGGAGCAGCTGTGTGTTCCAGTAGGTCAAGTTGAAGACACCCTTTCTAAACCCTGGAGTAACTGAGCAAAGAGTAGGGAAGGGGTGAGAATGAGGGATGAAGGCTGGGCTAGGGGGTGAGCGTGTGTCCGGTGTCGAAAGACCCCAGGCAGGCCGCAGAGGGGATTGTGGACCCACAAGCCCCCAGATGCCTGTCCTCTGATGATTCAGGGCCTGTGCTTGCAAATCAGCCCAGAAACCTGCAGAAGATGCTGGAGCCAGGTGGTCCCTGCCATCACCAAGCCTCTCCCCTGGATGTCACTGTTGTGCTGCGTGAACAAGGCTGGGGAACACTATGGGACCATGAGAATCCCTCCCTAACAGCCGCTGCCCCTTGGGGCTTGGGGAGGCACAGTAGGAAAAGGCAGGGCCCAGGCTATCTGCAGGCATTTGGGAGGTTGGGGCCCAATGTCTCCAGCCCAATGCTGCTGCCCCATGGTAGCATCTGTGGGTGATACTAAGGCTCTCTGGTCCTGTAGGTCCTGCAGCAGGACTGATTCTCTATTACAAAGAGGCTGGGGAGGCTGAGAGGACTGGGGTCAACTGAGTCCCCTCCCTTGGTCTCTCAGGCCCTTGGATAGGTTCTCAAATCAGCAGCCATAAGAAAGAGCTAAAGGGTCAACGTGTATAGTGATTGCAAGCACAGACACAAGTCCCAATCCCAGCCTCATTGAAAACCAGCCAGGTAAACTCAGGGAAATTGTTTCATCTCAGAGCCTCACTGCTACCACCTACATTTGATGTGACTCCCCCCTAGCATTGTCGTAAGAATTAAATAAGAATACAGCACATAAAACTTAGTACATAGAGTGCGGCTATTATTGTAACAAGGAATTTAGAAACAGTACGCGAGAAACTTTCCAAGTTCATAGCCTGGGAGGAAAATCTTGTTTCTAATCCAATCATGACATTAAGCACAAGCCCAAAGATTAGAACAAATCAAGAGATATTTGGCCCAGGCCTAGTGGAACCACTGCCCTCTTTCTTTGTACATGGTTTTGGGTTTCCCTAAGACGCTGGCTGCCTCTTCACAGAGCCACATATGCATGCGTTTTGTTGCACGTGTTGGGAGGAGGAAACACCCGAGTTTAGCCCTAAAGCAGTCGGGATTGTTTTCTCTCTCTCAGTGTTGATATATTTGGAATAACTGAAAGCAGACCTAGAACATATTAAAAGTATAGCATGTGGAGAGGGTTCCAGGCGGAGACACAGAACCTCTGTGGAGAGGCCAGGCCAGAATGTGTGATCATCTCTCTTGCCTAAGACCGGATACTGGGCCGGGCGTGGTGGCTCATGCCTGTAATCCCGGCACTTTGGGAGGCTGAGGTAGGCAGATCATAAGGTCAGGAGTTCAAGACAAGCCTGGCCAACATGGTGAAACCCTGTCTCTACTAAAAATACAAAAATTAGCCAGGCATGGTGGCACATGCCTGTAGTCCCAGCTACTTGGGAAGCTGAGGCAGGAGAATCACTTGAACCTGGGAGGTGGAGGTTGCAGTGAGCATTGCGCCACTGCACATCAGCTTGGGTAACAGAGTGAGACTTTGTCTCAAAAAAAAAAAAATGTGGATACCAATCACGAAGCTTTTGATCTTCCTTTGGTTTTCTTTTCTGGAATGCAGTTTTGCATGGTCAGTCATTAAAGCAACTCCCTGATATGTTATCAGTGTGATGTGACTTTGTGGGGCATGAGCTAGCAGGGTCCCATTCCCTTTCCAGAAGTTGAGTGTCAGTGTTGCCAATCTTCTGAGCTGAACAGGTACCACCCTGGGGCCTCTCCTTCCCTCCTTCCTCTTCCTTTCCTCGGGTGTCACAGGTCAGTCCCAGTTGGGGTCCTGATACTCATCTCTATTTCATCAGCAACCTGTGGACAACTGGAGGTACAGACCCTTCACGAGGTTGGCATGGGTTTATTGAATGGAGCCACTGTTCTTACCTCAGAGTAAGTTAGGGATACAACTGAGAGGCCCATTTGATATTAAAGAGCCATCAAGTCACCATACGAAGTAGCTTAGGGGATGGCAAGCCCACACTTGCTCACGACTTTCACCCATAGACAATGGACAAACTGGGAGGTGGAAGGTACCCTTTTAGTTTTGTTATACAGTTGAATTTTCTGTTTTTAGGGGACAGTTTTGGCATCTTAACTCCATATTCACTGACTCAACCCATACTTCCTCTTTCAGGTCATTTTTTGGGCCTACTACCCCAAAAGAGGTGTTATGTCTTTGCTGTAGGGTAACAGGGACAGCAGAGGCAAGTATGGCATGCTTCGGTGGGGGAAAGGTAAATTGAAAAATGAGAAGGGAAGCAGTGCCCAAGCAGCTGCAAAATTGTTCAAAACCATTTTCTCAACTGGGTTAATTGTTCTTCCCCATGGTGCAGAGATACCTACGCCTTCAGAAGTCTGCATTTCTTTATTGCAAGGAGCAGCCTATTAAGAGAGACAGATTGTCTACCAGGAGTGGCTGACTCTCCACCTCTCTTCCCTTTGTCTCTCTCTCACTCCTCTCCTGCTAACACCCTGCCCCACAAGACACAGCTATCTGACTCTCCCCGCCCCATTGGTATTAGCTTTATCACTGGGAAGGGTTGTCAGCGATAGGAGGGGTGGGCAGACTCAAACCAGCTCTGCTTGAAGAGTAAGAATAATTACAAAATCTCGGGCCGTTATCCAATTACTTTGACATGTGGCCATTCTAGGGAGTTCTAACTGGATTAAGTTCATTATAAAAAGATTAGTCCTAGGATGGGGACTGTGCATAACAAAGTGAACCTTCAGAATGTGCGCTGCTGGGCCACCAAGGACTGTGGGGGTAAAACCGAGTGAATGGCTTTGTTTATTGAATTACTGCTTAGGGATTCGCCAAGGAGTTTTGTTCAGATAGAGTTTGTGACTTAAAGCAACTGTCAGCAGTTTCCTGTTTGTTTTCCTTTTTTCAACACTATTCTTCAATGCCATTGTAGTTACTGTCAAAGCACTAATTCAAGGTGTTTGTCCCTAATGTTCTGTGTGAGCATGGAGGTGAGATTATTGATCAAAATGGATCTGAGACACAGGGAGCTCATATATTATTCATAAACTGTGTATATGTGCACATATAGAGAGAGTGTGTGTTCACTCATATAATACCTTGCACTTGCATAATGCTTCCTAGCTTTACAAAGCACTTTCATATTTCTCATTTGACCTACACAGCAATGCTTTGGGATAAATAGGCATTATTATACTGATTTTACAGATAATGAAACTGAGACTTAGAGAAGCTAATCTAGAGTCACCCAGCTAGATTGTCCCAGAACTGAGATTACTACTCAGATTTGCTGTTCTTAGCCTAGCATGAATTCAGTTTACACATACATTTTAAACACAAAGTACGTTCAGTTCATGGCAGTTGACTATTTGGATTCACCAGCTGGTTGAGATCAGTTTTCTTTCTCTATTCCCTATGAGAATTGTATCAGATATCAGTTTTGAACAACTAATTTAGTTGCTAAGTACTTTTTTCTCCTTCTTGAACTCGGGAAAATTTTACATGCAGACAACACCATGGAGCTGTTCTTTGGAAGTTATCCCAAACCCTTCTTCTGGTGTATTCACTACAGTTTGTCCTACTTTAGGAAAACTGATCATCATTTCATCTTCCTAGAATAAGTGCCCCAGCTCCTTTTAGGATCCTGGGACATGGATATTGGTGTCAGTGGAAAGATGTAAATTACCAATCAATCTTTTATATTAATAATTTATCTTAGCACCTTACTTTCTTGGACCTCAAACTCCCCCTAGGTGAACTGGTAAGAATTAAAACTCTAAACTGATAAATCTGAGCTCTAAATGTTTGTTAGGATCAGCAGTGCCTCAGCTTCCTCCCCCTAGCCCACTGCAGGCATTGTTAATGGATCATCACACACTTTTCTACTTAGCCTAGGCTTGGACTTCCACAAATCTCAAAACAAATCGCCAAGCAGCCATCAGCAGTCAGAAATTGGCTAGTAAGATGGTCTCTATTTATCATTCTGATCCTAGGCTCTGGTCACCCCCCACAAACTCCAGAGGCCCTGAAAGGCAAAACCAGACCAGCCAATGTCTAATGCCATCTTTATGGCCCATCTGGTGATCAGCAATTCAAGATACCAGGAAAGGCCAAGGGGAATGTGGAATGAATAAGTACATATATTCGTAGGATAGTTACAGTAAAGTTTAGGGCAGAAGCCAGTTTGCTAAAACAGAGAGGTTTCTGTGTAAGCAGAAATCTAGAATGCTGTAGACTAATGATTCTGTCTACCCCTCTTCCCCAGAAAGAAATGTGCATAGATACATTTTGTACAAATTTTTACTTCTTAAAGAATATCTAGCTTATAGAACAAGGTTAAAGACAATATCTACTGTTGAAGTATAGTCGAGATTCTCATTTGCAAATAATAGAATGCTAATTCAAAATGGCTTTTTTAATAAAGAAAGGAAACTTGCTCATAAAACTAAAAATTCAAAGAGTCCAGGCAAGGCTGGATCTAGTGGCTCAATAATGTCATTGAGACTGTTTTTACATGGTGGCTCCCAGCATTTTCATTTACCCTCTTCAGCATGGAGTTTGGCAGATAAAGGAGCTTCTTTTTCTAATAGTTCCTGTAAAGGTTCTGGAGCTTATTCTCATTGGCCCAGCTTGGTCATGTGCCCATCCCTGAACAAGTCACTGCTTCTGGGGGATGTACTGTTCAGATTGGCCAGGCCTGGGTCATGTGACCTCCCTGGAGACTAGCCTGGCCCCACTCCTCCCTTTCATCCCGAACAGCAACACTGAAAAAGATGCAGATGTGGTGGCTGGAGGAAAGGTGACAGCCTCTCAATTGGCTGCTTGCTATGTCCCAGACCCAGTGCTGGGTGCTAAAAGGAGATGTTACAGACGGGTCCAAAGCTTAACAGTCTGTAGACCTCTTTCATGTAAATAATCTTATTTGACCCTGACAAACACCATGAGGTAGGTATTTTATTATCATGATTATACAGACCAGGAAAGTTATGTTCAGAGGGGCTCTGAAATTCTCTCAAATAGACCTGGTGCTTAACCTTCCTTTGGTCCAACTCCAGATTCTGCACCCTTTCGATGAGCCTTTTATCATGATCCGTGAGAATTTTAAGGTGCAGAGTTTAATTTCCTCCTTCAGTTACCTGAAAGGGCAAGTCAGAGACTGGATTTCCATTTCTCCACTTGGGAAGAAGTCTTGAACCCCAAATGTATGATAAGGAGAATTGTATCCCCTACTGTTCTTCAATACTTAGGTACGGTGCAGAAATAATATCAGCTATAGGTCCTTGAACATGTACTATGTACCAGACACTGCACTAAGCACTTTACAAAGAATGTCCCATTTCATACTAAAAACAACCCTATGAAATAGTATGTTTTACCCCGTTAGATGCTGAGAAAAGGAGGTGTGGGAAGGATGAAATGACCTAACCTAGGGAGTATATAGAGCCAGAGTTTGAACTCAGCTCTGACTTCGATTCTGCTGTTCTTCCTGCCGAGAGATGGATGGCCCTAATATCTTTGATTTCAGCCACAGACCAATTAGAATTCAATAGGACGCTGGGTAGACAGGAGACAAGAAAGTCATCAATCCCAAACTTTGTGGAAGCCCCCCAAAAAGTGGAACAAAATTAAATTTTAGACAAATTGGTGGTGATTTAAGAGACCTCAAAATAAAATAAGGAGAAACAAATAAGCTACAGGTTACAACAGGAATATTGTCTTTCAAAGGTTTCAAAAGTTAAAATTGACTAGGTTTTCATTGTCCAAGTCCTGTGGCCTGGTTTGCTTTTATCCGAGAGCCTTGTGTTTCCCTTGCTTCTATAACTCAGGAATGACAACAGTCCTGGGGGATCCTGAGTGGTTGCATCTGGAGAAACGGGCATGCCAGCCAGAGCTTCACTTAAACACAGCACGCACCCTCCTCCTGGAAACCCTGTCCCTTGCCACATCTGGTTGCTGCAGATTGGCATTTTCACATTGGTTATGATTTTCAGGGTATACATCTCATGACAACACTGGCAGCTTTCAATTTATTAGGCATATTAGCAAATAAAACTGTCCCGAAAAGCCCAGATTTAATATCTGGAAGATTCATTTCAGGACTGATTTAATGCAACCTGCATAGTGGTTTATTTCACATCTCCAAGTTGGGACTAAATCATCCTTGTCTTGTTGATACCCATAATACAATGGTTGGTATTTGCAAAATAGACCAGGCTATAAAAGAATCTGAAGACTCTAGTTGCTCTAAATGTTTTTTACTTAAAAAAAAAGATAAAGATACTTTATAATTTTATGTGTCTAGGAGATTTAGTTTTTTTTCTTCTTTGCTCTCAGCGATGTCATTTAAATAGAAATAATAGGAAGTATGTTCAGAGATGTGGTTCTTCTTAACTGTTGATTTGCAGCTATGGGGAATCACCTTCTTTCTCTGGAATCACCACACTGCACAAAGAACTAGTGACATCTGGCATTCAATATGACAAACTATAGAAGCACCATCCAGAAACAATTCATCGTTTCAGTATACTTGTTCTTAAGCCCTGGGCTGCTATCATACTTTTTCAAGATGAAGACTTGAACAGAGCAAACCTGTTATTACCAAACCAGCTAATGGCACTTACCAAGGGCTATTACCCTCTGTTAGCATTTATCACCCGCATCTCATTTGACACTTATCATTTATTGCCTGACAGTTTTATTTATCTTTTCTTTTATCCTCCCCGACTGTATTACCATCTGCTGAAAGCCTGGGCCCTAGAGTTAGCCCAGTTCAATTCAATCCCATCTCTGCTACTTACTACCTAGGTAACCACAGCTGTAGAACTTAACCGCTAATCTCAGTTGGCTCATTTTTAAAACAGGCATAAAAATAGGATAATAGGATTAAATTAAGTAATATATACAAAATCTTTAACACAGTGCCAGGCACGTGGAAAGTGTTCAATAACATGATAGCCACTGGCATTAAGATTAAGACAAGGATAATAACACTGATAGCATAAAATGTGGTCTTAAATGTTGCTTTCCATTTCATGTACCAAAGTCCCTTGCATAAAAGTAGATAATGTGCATCTGTGGAAAGTCTTGATTATAGAGCATCTATGAAAAAGAGCCATTTGTTTGCATTTTAAGATTGTGTACATCTGAAAGTGAACTTGTGACCCATCGAGGTGCTTAAGGAAGCTTATTTTATAGGAGAACTCTTAAAGTTGCTGAATGTGTTTACAATGCTTGGTTTTTCTAGAAACTTGTCTTCCTCTATCTTGTTTGCATTATTAAGTTGCTTAGCTAAGCCTTCCTTTATAGAATCTACTTAGATCATCTTAAGCCTTTCTGAGTTAGCAAAAATTCCAAACTTCTGCAGTGTAAGTTTTGCTGTATTTGTGGGATCTATTAAGCTCACCAGACAGCAGTTCCAGCCAGAATTCCTTGTCCAGTATACATCCGTGCTCTTCCCTATTACGTGTTATAATGTAGTGATTCAGAGGCCTGATGACGCTGGCTTCCTTTGGTAAAATGTGCCCGAGCCCAGCGGTGATACCTGAAGGCCCTTCCTCATCAATCATAGCGCTGACCCACAGCGCAGCTACGTAAGTTGCCCAGGGGGTTTGTATTTGACCTGGTGCTGCTTTGTCTGCATTGGGTTCTTTTAGTCTGTGTTTCCGGTTCCTCGCATGCTTCTCCCAAGGCGCCCATTCCTTTGCTGCCTACAGGGTTTTATGTACCCGGTGATGAGATTTTTCCATATCATTGTCCTGCAGTGGATCTGTAGCTCTATCATGCCTTCCACTGTGAACAAGTATCTCTGCCTTCCAAATCAGGGTATATCTCTATATAATCATTGTATAGGCTGGGCACAGTGGCTCACACCTGTAATCCTAGCACTTTGGGAGGCTGAGGTGGGCAGATCATGAGATCAGGAGTTTGAGACCTGCCTGGTCAGCATGGTGAAACCCCGTCTCTACTAAAAATACAAAAATTAGCCAGGCACGGTGGTGCACACCTGTAGTCCCACCTACTAGGGAGGCTGAGGCGGGAGAATCGCTTGAACCCGGGAGGAGGAGGTTGCAGTGAGCCGAGATCAGGCCACTGCACTCCAGCCTGGGTGACAGAGTGAGACTCCGTCTCAAAAAAAATAATAATAATCATTGTGTAGAGAAAAGGATAAGGCAGAAGGGGAAGGAGATTCAAAATAAAATCACTGTATCTAAATACCCTGAATTTATACTCTTAAAAATCACAATACCCATGTATCAGTATTTGTTCTAGAAAACAACAGTATCATCATTGGCCACTGCTGCAACAGTACAATCAGGCAAGGATCCATCTGTCACTTTCTCAGTACCAGGCAATATGCTAGGCACTTTCTATATATTTCTTTCCTATTTCCTGTTTAAATGCCACTTTCTCTCACATACTGATGTCTGCTATTAGAATCAAACATTCTCTGTGAAAGTTAGAGATTTATCCATATCATTAAAATCTATCCATAGAATAGCACCTAAATGCTGGCAGGATTTTTTTGGTGGGGATGGATGCTTATTTGCCTAGTATTTAGCCAGAATATGTTCTTTGCCTCATATTCTGCCATCATGGGCAAAACACAGCAAATGTATGTATCAGAAGAAGTTCACTCTTCCTCCAAGTAGTTTACTCCCAACTGTCAGAAAATTGTTGTGATATATTGGTACGTTAGAACAAGATTTATTGCCGTATTCTGAGGAAAAAGTAATGTAATAAATATACAGATCCGCAGTATCTACCATGTGGATGGAGCCCCTGGATTTATGACTGCATTGTATACTTGCATTCTGGAAGTCAGAAGTTGCACCTAAGGTATTTCTGATCAGAAGCTTTAGTGTGAATCTGAGGGTTTGCTTTGGGAAAAAAAAAAAATGCATAATGATTATAATTGCTATCGTTTATTAGAGTCTTTTCTTTGCCACGTGCTGTGCTAGGCACCATTCTTTATTCTAGTCCTTAAAAATATACAGGATAGCTGTAAGATTCCCATTATTCAGAAAAGAAAACTGAGGTGCATGAAGAGCTATGTGGCTCACCCGAAGTCATGCAGCGAATCAGTGACCGACCTGGGATCCTCACCCAGGTCTGTGATCCCCGCCTACCACCATCCTAGTTGCTTCCAGGTTCACAGGCTCAGAGAATGCCAGGCCTCCCGTTCCGCCGCACAAGGCCAATGCCATCTAGATCCAACTCCCCCTTACCCCAACCCCTTATCTGATCTGCCTAGTTGACTGGACCTGCTAGGTGTATACTCAGTCCATTTCACCTCTGCCCCTCTGCCACCCTCGAAGGCCAGGCTGCCACCACCTTTTGCCTGGTCTGCTCCCTTCTCAGTGTTCTCTCCTCACTCACTCAGTCTTCTCTTCGTTCAATTCATTTCCCACAGAGTGAATGTCTGTCTTCCAAAATGCATGTTCGATCCCTCACTCTCCTGCTCACAACACTTTAATGGTTTTACCTTCTCTTAGGGTAGAAACGATAATGAAAATCCTCCCACATGGCCTTATAGGGACCTGGGTGATTTGACCCCAGCACTCACCCCTTGGCCTCTGTGCTCTGGGTGCACTGACCTTCTCCCTACCCCTCCAGTACGCTGGACTCCTTCCTACTCCAAGGCTTCATATGAGCTTTTCCCCCCAACTTCACCTGGTTGAGTCCTCAACCAGCGAATTCTTCCAATGCCAGCTCAGGTGTCACTTCCTTCAGAAAGCCTTTTCTGATTGCATCCTTGCCCCCATATACACTGCCTTGTGTGATAAACTCACTTTGATTGCACTAAGCCCAGCTATAGTTAACAAGCTATTTGTATAGTTGTTTAATCTCTAAGTACATCCCCCAAAGTAGAAGCTCCAGGACAGCATGGATTATGCTTAAATTTTTACCACAGTAGCCCCAGTTCCTAGGATGAGACAAGCACCTAGTAGGTGCTCAATAAGTATATATTGGTTGATAAAATGACTGAATGATTCCAGTGCCCCTCCCTTCACTGAACGCCAACCACCCTGTATCCATTAAGGGTCAGTGTTAGCATGTCACCCAGCCTGGGAACAGGCCAGTACAGGAAGTCACCGGATATGGAAAGCTGCCCTGCTTGTTATTCCAGCATAATGTCAGCTGCTTTTATCATTCATTTTCTCCCTTCTGGGGAGATTCGTTCTTTCTCAGTGGTGACTGTTGCTTGGGAGGTCTCTCACTGGCCGCTTGCTCTAAGAGGAAAAGCTACCAGGCGCGGTGGCTCACGCCTGTAATCCCAGCACTTTGGGAGGCCTAGGCGGGTGGATCACGAGGTCAGGAGTTCGAGACAAGACTGACCAACATGGTGAAACCCCGTCTCTACTAAAAATACAAAAATTAGCTGTGCTTGGTGGTGTGCGCATGTAATCCCAGCTACTTAGGAGGCTGAGGCAGGAGAATCACTTGAACCCAGGAGGCAAAGGTTGCAGTGAGCCGAGATTGCACCACTGAACTCCAGCCAGGTGACAGAGAGAGACTCTGCCTCAAAAAGAAGAAAAACCGTGGCCCAGGAAGGCATGTGAATGAGCTGGTGCAGCATTTGGTCTTGGCCCAGTGGATGTTGATTTCCTGTCTACAAGTCATGGGACCCAAGTACCTTAATGCCATGAGGCAGCTTTGGTTAGAATCTCTTTGCTCTCTTTCACTAATTTCACATCCACGTGGTTCTCCCTAGGCTAGCAGCCCTAATTTTGTGGGGGAAACTAATTACAACTATGGGATTTCAGAGCTTTCCTTTGGTATGCCAGGTTCGTTGCATTGTTTGAAATTTGCTTTCAGCCTGATGCATTTTTTCAGTTGCCAGACAAATATAAACAGATTTGCTTCTTTAATGTTTGCCATCTTGGAAAGAATATTCTTTAAACAAAAATCAGACACAAATACAAAGGATGTTGCTCAAAGAAACCGTACCACAGTTGTCTGTGAGCACAGTGATGGGATTGCTCTGAATTTCTCCAGAGCCCTAAGAGCTTAGAACAGAATGTCATGATTTGTGCTGAAGCTTTCTTTTCTTCCTGCTCATTGTAATCCTATATATCCCTATTTATGAAAACACCATGAAAGCTGAAATGCACTCAAACTTCCCTTTTGGCCAGGAGTTAGAGGCATGTGTAGATCCAACAGAGTTTTCCACTTAAAAGGATCATTTCATCAGTGTGGCGTCATGACCAAAGAATGGTCAATCCATTAATACTTATTGAGGTGCTATGGTATAATTAACGGAATGAATGAACACACTGAAACAAAGAATGGAGGCTGCATTCCCTGACTTTGAGGAAGGTACTCTCTGGTTGTAGAGATAAGATGGAATCCAGAGCTGACCACAATAGGAACAAATCATCCCTGCAGGCTGATGAAGTCAGGGAAGGCTTCCTGGAGGGGGTGTGGCCAGAGGCCCTCAATGCACAGTGTAGTGGTTCAGACTTTAGGAAGTGGAGAGAGAAAATGAATCCCAACTTCACCACATTTTAGAGTGTGCCCTCAGACAAGTTAGTTACCCTCTCTGAGTCTCAACTTCTCATCTGAAAAATGAGGGCAATACCTCTTTAATAGGGTTATTATTCTTTTTTGTTGTTGGTTTTTTTTTTTGTTTTTTTTTTTTGAGACGGAGTCTTGCTCTGTCACCCAGGCTGGAGTGCAGTGGTGCGATGTCGGCTCCCTACAACCTCCACCTCCCGGGTTCAAACAATTCTCCTGCCTCAGCCTCCCAAGTAGCTGGGATTACAGGTGCACGCCACCATGCCTGGCTAATTTTTGTTTTTTTTTTTTTTTTTAGTAGAGATGGGGTTTCACCGTGTTGGCCAGGCTGGTCTCAAGCTCCTGACCTTGTGATCCGCCCATCTCGGCCTCCCAAAGTGCTGGAATTACAGGCGTGAGCCACCGCGCCCAGCCTTCTTGTTTCATTTTTGAAGATATGTGAGGTAACATGCATAAAGCATTTAACATAATGCCTGACCCACAATAAGTGTTCAGGAATAGGCAGCAAGTATTGTTGTTGTTCTAATTCCCAAAATAGACCCTCTCTTGCCTCCAGACCTTTGCAGAAGTGCTCCCCTTTCCTACAACACTCCTCCCCAGTCTCAAAGGCTGCCTTTGCTCTTCTTTGGGGATTGAACTTGCATGTCAGTTCTAGTAGGAAGGCTGCTGTGATCCTGTGTGCTCCCACAGCCGCGTGCCTTTCCCATCATCTTGTGGTATCAGCCTGTCTCTTCCACCAGCCTGACATCCACAGAAGGCAGACACTGTAAGATTGTCCTCTGTTTCTTCCCACAATACAGTCAATAATTATCAGTAGAATTAATGGATGAGTAAATGAATTAGCAATTTCTCTCCCATAGTTCCACCCCCTGCAGAGAAAATGTGAATCATTGACTGGATCATTTAAAGACTGGCTATTTAAGTAGAATCTCAACCAGCAAAGAGGAAAGCCAGACTTGGGTGGCTCAAAATCATCAGGCTGTTGAGCTCTCCAGTCTCTTCCCTCAGGAAGATGCTTCCCATAGGTTAATTATTCCTTTGGGGAGTTGATGGCAGGTGATTACTGCTGTGCCATCTACGAGGAGCGTTCTCCCTCTTTGGCAAATGGATCTCTTTAGAGGACAATAAAGCTGAAATCCTGGTGGGCTTCCGGGAAGCAGGTGGAGCCCATCACTCCCTAAGGAACATGGCAGTTTGTGTATTTGCCACAACTCCAGAGCCACCACGGCCTGTTAGAGCAGAGTGCAGGCTCTCAGTCAGAAAGGGAGGAATTGGGCAAGCAGCACCAGCTTAGTACCCTGCTCAAGAAGTATTGGTTGAATAATAAATGAAGGATGAACTCCTTCTTGCCCCTCTGTATTCCACAGGCCACTCAGCCCTTCCTAGCCAGGCTCCTCCTCTTAAATCATCTGTTAGCGCATCACTCTTGTGCTGAAGATCTTCTTTTCCTTTATTGCTTATTCAATAAAAATCCAAACTCTCCCATTGGCCTTTGACGACCTCCAGGGTCTCAACCAAGATTATCCTTGTTTTCTCTCCAACCCTTTACTCACATCAATGCTTCGGAGCTAGAGACCCTAGACTCAAGTTCTGGCTCCAGCACTTACTAACCACGCTTTTAGGAGAAGGTACCCAGCTCTTTGGAGCCTCAATTTCCTCATACTTAAAAAGGGAATCACAGTTCTTACCTCCTCTGGCTGTTTTTTTTGTTTGTTTGTTTTGAGATGGAGTCTTGTTCTGTCACCCAGGTGGAGTGCAGTGGTGCCATCTTAGCTCACTGCAACCTCCGCCTCCCGGGTTCAAGCAATTCCCCTGTCTCAGCCGCCTGAGTGGCTGGGACTACAGGTGCATACCACCATGCCCCACTAATGTTTTGTATTTTAGTAGAGATGGGGTTTCACCATGTTGGCTAGGATGGTCTCGATCTCCTGAGCTCATGATCCACCCGCCTTGGCCTCCCAAAGTGCCAGGATTACAGGCTTGAGCCACCGCGCCCAGCCTCCTCTGGCTGTTTTAAGAATTAGCAGAGATGCTGATCAGAAATCCTTAGTGGGCTAAGGTCTTAAAGTCCTTTCTCATATGCTAATGTTATTAAATACCCTCACCCTCAGCCCCATTTCCTTATTTCACCACCCCCCTGCACATCTCTGCCTTGCATCTTTGTTAATGCTGTGTTCTCTTCAATCCCACAAGCTTCTCTTGATCCATTGATAGTGAATATTGTTCACCTCTGTAAGCTGGCAATGCTTTCTCTTTCCCTGGTATGCTTGCCAGTATTATTCATGTGGAAAGCTCAGTTACAGTGTAAGCTTCCGAAGACAAGGACTGTATCTTATAATAGTGGCTACTGACTGAGCTCTTTCTATGGGCCAGACTACCACACAAGGTTATGCATGTTGTGCGATGTTCAGCTGTAGGTGGGGCGATACTCAAATCGTAGCCTAGGCTGCTAGTCTTTACATGCACAGTGTGGTTTAGATGTGTGCTTAATTCTCACAGAAGCCCTACGGGGCAGGCATTCCCGTTTTACAGATGTGGAAACAAACTATGAGGGTAAGAATTTGGCCAGGGTTTCACAGCTAGGATATGGAGTTGCTGGGATCTGACCGCAGTCCTGTTTCCTTCCTAATCCATTGGCTGCCCACCAGGCTGCCCCACGGGGTGTCCCTGGGCAGTCGCTTATCTATACTATCTACCTTTACATACGTTGATTGGCTGGCTGAGGTGAGTACACTAGGACTTGACTGGAAAATTTTACAAACCAAGAAAGCAAGGGACTTCTGTTCCTCCTACCTCCTAGTCTTTCTGTCTCCTAGGGAAAGAGAAAAATTACAAAGAAGAAATCTCTGTGTGTGTGTAGGGTGTGTGTAGTGTGTGTGTGTGTGTGTGTGTGTGTGTGTGTGTGTGTGTGTGTCTTTTTCCCCTCTTCCCTTTCCTCTTTTTATCTGGTCCAGAAGAATGATTTGAAATATATAGTGCCTTGTACCAAAAAAAAAAAAAAAACACAACAACAACAAAAAAACTGTGTCAGGAATGGGTAGGGAGTTGGCATTTGGGGCTGAATTAGGAGAAATCGTCCAAACAGGTCCTGGCTGCTTACCAGGGAGCACCTGGCATATGGCAGCCACAATCTCTGCGGTGGGCAGCCTCCATCTTATGAAGAGCCTGTGGTTCTTAGTGATAAAGCATGGTCTTAATCCAACCATGTTTGACACCACCATCCCATCTGGGACTTTGTGATGGCTACAGACTTGGCAGAGTCAGGGTTCACTACAGAGGGAGCTAGGATTCCCTTCCCCACAGTTCTGTTACTCAGAAGAGTAGAGCGTCAAGGAGCATTTTCTGAAGTCTGACTTCAGCTCTTGGGTACGTGACACAGACATCTCTAGGGAGCTACTAAAGTGGTTATTGCAAAAGGAACCTCCGGGAGTCAACTCAGGACAGAATATCACGGGCAGTTCTTCCTGTGCAGTGGTGTGTGCTAGTAGACACCCTCATCATACACCTACTTGCTATGAGTCACTGTGTTATTCACTGACACTTACTTAGCACAATGTAGGGACAGAGCTATGAAAGCTGGGAGGCTGGGCCTGCAGCCGTGAGATTGCCTGACCCACCCTCCGGCACCCAGCCTAGGTCCTATCCCCTCATCGTATACTCAGTACACACTTTCCCTTTCCTTCTCCAAGAGAGCTTTGATCAGATCTCTAAAATTGTGACTTGAGATTTTTGCAGAGGGAGCAAGTGGAGTAAAGGTCACTCTCCCCCTTCAACCTTAGGCTCAGTGACACCAGGGGCCATGTCTCTCTTTTGCTCACCCCTGAATCCCCAGATACTCCCACAGTGTCTTGCACATAAAGATGGACAATAACATTTGTATGACGGATGGATAGAAAGATCAGTCAGTCAACTATTTGTTATTCCAACTCCCTCATCTTGCAGATTTTGGTTTTGTTTGTCTTGTTTTTTCTGAAAAGGCAATTGCCAGGTAAAAGGTAGTCCATACATAATATAAGATAAAGGGGAAAATGAAATTAAATGCGTTCTTTCTCTTTTTCAAGCACCTTTACAGCAACTTCCCTGACTTCCCTAGGGAGTTTGATCTATGCCTTTGTTTACTTCCTCCCAAATCATGGGCTATACCAATAAGACAATTAGAGAGAGTCCCCCGAGTTTTCCCTGACAGGGACCAGGAGGGTGTTGGGCCGGGCTGGCTGTCAGCAGGTTATCAGGAGAGGGGGAGACGAAGGCAGTGGCATTGCCAGACCTGTGACGTTCCAGGAGGCTTTGCAGGCTCTCTGTGGATTTGCGGTATTTATCCTCTGAAATAGGATGTTTCATCTTCACTGGGTCCAAAAGCCCACAGGTTATTGTCTAGGAGGCACATCACTCATGGCATGTGGCACCAAGAAAGTGGCCAAGGGACTCAGTGTCCTGGGTGGATCAGGCCTCTCGGGGGGCTGCTGGTTTGAGAGTTTCCAGAACCGGACCTTAGCTTCTCATGTGAACTGAGCCACAGGTGTCAGCTGCCAAGCGCTCTCCAGGCCTATTTCTAGACATGATGGAGAGGGGTTCCAGGCCACAGACTTCCTTCCTAATCATAATAACAGCAGTACTGTGCTAAGGGTCTGTATTCATTGAGTACCTATTATGTGCCAGACACTAAACTCAGCCCTCTGCATGTTTTATCTCTTCAGAGCCTCCCCACCTACAGTAGGAGCAATTACTATCTCTACTGCCCCGATGAGGAAACTAAGGCTGGGAGGGGTTTACATCACTTGGTCAAAGTCACACAGCTAGAAATGGCAGACTCCGGATTGGAAACCAGATTGCCTGACTTCAGAGCCTCAAACAGCAAACCATTCAGCATGCAAATGTGTCTGCCTATTTTTATTGTTTGCTTGAATATACACCTTTTTCTCTGGCAAGCTTGTGTAGAGAAAATTAACAAGGGTTTACTCTCCTCCTCACTGATAGCCCTCCTTACAGCGTATGGCTCTCCCCACTTTCCAGCCAAATTTTCTTTTGGCAAAAATGCGGGCCATGGGGTGTCAAAGGTAGGAGGGATAAGAATCACTTGAAGACACTTAAATTCCCAGTCCTCACTCCCCGAGGTGCTGTTTCACCTAGAGAAATGGCCAGGAATCTGAACTGTCACTTCTCCCCAGGAATGCAGGTGAGACCTCCCTGGCCTGTGTGACACTGACTAGGACCTCACCTCTGTCTCATGGGAGTGACTTATGCTGCAAGTCCGTGGGCTCACTGAGTCTCTTCTAAGTCTGCCTTCCTTAAGCTCTGAGTCCTAAGACACTGAGCTCAAAGGTAGATGTGGTCCCCGAGGAAGGACACCCCACAGAATAAGGCAGGCCAGCTGGAGCCTGACTTTGGGGAAACACCCGCCTCCTCTGCTGTGGAGGCCGGCCCACGCCATGTCCCCGTGGCCCATATGCATTCCATAGCACCTTCTTTCAGCTACAGCCCACGAGCCAGTATGAACTATTTGCAGTTTCCCATTCATTTCTTTTCCCCATAGGTGCTAGGTTTTACTATCTGCTCATGTACAAATAGACTTCTCAGGTAGACTTCAGATAAATAACCTGCCACTCAACAGAGACAGCTATCCCTCCAGATTAGCCAAGGAAAGTTTTAATTCCAAGAAGTCTCATTTCCAATTGTGCAGAATTGACCCTCTCTTTCTGCTCTTCTCTGGCCCATGCTGGCCTTGATTCCAGAGCATCCCTGGGTTTGAATTTTGCCTCTACCTCTGTGTAATTATGAACAGCTTTTGCTAGGCTGGTTAACTGCACTGTACCTCAGTTTCCTCATCAGTAAAAGGAAGGTCATGATAGCAACTACTCATTGGATTGTCATGGTGATTAAATGATTTAAATCACATAAAATAAAAAGTTTAACACAGTATTTTGCTCATGTTAAGTCCTCAGTAAATGTTAGCTATCTCCATTATAACAGCAACAATAATAACTGTTCTTAATATTATTATGGAACATTAATAATAGCATTTCCACACTTGGGGGTAAAATGGTTTATCCGATGGTTTAAGGTAGAGTTGGGAAGCACTTGCTGTTGTAACCCTGAGCAGGTGACCCAAGCTCTACTAGCCTTGGTTTCCCCATCTGTGAAATGGACACAATTAGAGTGCCTAATTCAGGGTTGTTGTGAGGATTGAACAGGTTCCTAAAATAATGCCTAGGAATAAGTATCCACCAAGTACTGGCTATTATATTATCATCGTTATTACTTAACATTTTTATGAATAATTATTCATTATTGAGTCTGGGCCAGTCATATATAACCTAATGGGAAGAGTCTTACGCCAAGAGGCAGAGGCAGACTAGCCCAGGGACTTTCAGCAGAGGTGCTTGGATTATCTCAGCCTGGGTTACTTTCTCTATCCATAAAATTCTGCCCACTTCTCAGCTTCCTTCCAGAAATATCATGAAAATGGGAGAAATAGGTGTGAAAGTGCCTTGGCTCTAAAAGTGCTATTTTAAGTAAAGTAGTACCTACAGTATTAACTACAGCCATTCCTGTTTAAATGCTTTTTTAAAAAATTTCAGTCCTCCAAAAAAGACTGTAGAATGTTAAACACTGGAGATATGTTTTTAAAGGTTTTTGGTATTTCCTCCTTCTAGAAAGACTTGCACATACACAAAGAGGCAGGCAGTGACCTATTGAGCCACTTTTCCAGGCAGAAGGAGGGAAGGTAGGCAGAGACGACATACACGGCAGCCTTTGTTGCCTGACCTGGGACTTGGCCCCAGACCTGGTCCTTGCCAGAGATCCTCAAGGGACACCCGAGGAGTGTGAACTCTCACGGTGGTTCTTGTTTAAACAACTGTTTTTCAAATAATGACAGTCATAATTTTAGTGCTATACAGAAGAACGTTCTAAAATTTAATCATTACTCATTTAATGCATAATAGAGCAAAATATAACTAGCATATTAAAATCTTTATTTTTACTGGTATTTCCTTCCTAAATTATTTTCTTCTTAAAGCAGTTTTTAACATATGAGCCAATTTTAAAGGGAAGAGTATTTGTAAATACGACGCAAATCCTGAAGGTGAAAAAAACTGCAAAAATTTGGAACATGCCACATTAAACAAAGAGTACCTGTTATTTGTCAAGCACTCTCCTGGGTACTGGGAAGGTAACACTTAATAATGTATGATCTCTGACTTGAAGGTCTTCATCTGATGTGAGGAATAGCTACATCCACGCTAACGGGAATGCAGTGGGATAGGTGATGTGCTGGCAGCTCAAAAAGGGACAAACTAAGCCAGATAAAGCAGAGATCCATCCTGCTAGGGCAGCTGAGAAAAGCTGAAGAAAGGAAATGACATTTGAACTGGCTGTTAAACATGTCTCAGTTATCCAATTCATCATAGGCACCCAGTCCTGCAGTATGTAATAATATTTAATGTCCCTATGTCATGGCCCTGACATTCTTGCAGGCAAAATCTCAATGGTCAAGGACATATGTGATGTAATTGTGAGTTTTGACAAGCTACATGGTAAGGGCGGGGGCCCTGCGATGTAGAGCAGCTCAGGGAGACAGAGACATGAACGGGCATGGTGAGTGCCAGGAATGGCTGTATGGCTGATTTTAGGAAGAAGCAGTGGGTGAAGTCTAAGAGCAGATTGGATCCCAGGGGTCTCCGGTGTTGAATGCCACACCAGGTACCTTGGACTTTTATCTCTTTTTTGATTGTGATAAAATGCAAATAACATAAGATTTACTATCTTAATCATCTTTAAGTATGTAATTTAGTAGTGTCAAGTCTATTCACATTGTCGTACCACCAATCTTCAGAACCCTTTTCATCTTGCAAAACTGAACCTCTATGCCCATTAAACAAAAACTCCCTATCCCCTCCTACCCCCAAACCCTGGAAACTACTAGTCTCTGTCTCTGTGAATTTGGCTACTCTAGGTACTCATGTAAGTGGAATCATGCAGTATTTGTCTTTTTATGACTGGCTGATTTCACTTGGCATAACGTTCTCAAGGTTCTACCCATGTTTTAGCATGGGTCCAAATTTCCTTCTGTTTTTTAAGGCTGAGTAATATCTCATTATATGTATATACCAAATGTTTATCCATTCATCCATCAGTGGACACTTGAATTGCTTCCACTTTTTAGCTGTTGTGAATAATGCTGTTTTTGGTATGCAAATATCTCTTCAAGACTCTGCATTCAATTTAGGGGGGTATATACATAAAGGTGGAACTGCTGGATCGTATGGTAATTCTGTTTTTTAATGTTTTGAAGAACCACCATTCTGTTTTCCAAAGCAATTGCACTGTCTTCCATTCCTACCCACAGTGCATAAAGATTTTAATTTCTCTGCATCCTTGACAACACTTGTTTTTTTTTTGATAGTAGCCATCTTAATAGGTGTGAGTTGATGTCTCATTGTGATTGTGATTTGTGTCTCCCTAGTGATTAATGATGTTGACACCTTTTCATACACTTGTTGACCATTTGTATGTCTTCTTCGTAGAAAAGTCTATCCAAGTCTTCTTCGTAGAAAAGTCTATCCAAGTCCTTTACCCATTTTTTAATCATGTTGTTTTGTTGTTGCTGTTGAGTGGGATTTATCTTTTAAGCAATGACAAGCTAAAAGGTTTTTAAGCGGGGCTTTAACACGGTTAGATCCAGATTGTAGAAATATAGGTCTGCCGGTAGGAAAGATGAATTGACTGGTAGAAACACAAAGTAGGGCTCCCAGGGAGTTGGCTTTGTGATGGTCCAGCTGAGAAATAGTGAGAGCTGGAACTAAGGCAGTGGTGATGGTTATCTGAATAATTAATAATTACTGTCTACTCACTCCCGAAAAACTGCAGTCCCTCTAATTGAAGATATATGTTCTCTCTTAGAGAAATGAGCCCCTTCTCAGGACCTCATACCCACACCTTTCCCCACAGTTGGATAGACAGACGCATCCGTCCTGCTCTGGGAACCATAGCTTATAGTTTTTTGGCTATCCTGAATTCCAAGTCACCGCTCCCAAGAGAAAAGCAGTGTTATCACTGAGAACCCTGTTGGATGAAAACATGCCCTCAGTAGATCACTTTCTGAGTAGTGCACACCTTTCCCCACAGTTGGATAGATAGACACATCCATCCTGCTCTGGGAACCATAGCTTGTAGTTTTTTGGCTATCCTGAATTCCGAGGCACCGCTCCCAAGAGAAAAGCAGTGTTATCACTGAGAACCCTGTGGATGAAAACATGCCTTCCGTAGATCACTTTCTGAGTGGTGAGATGCTGAAACAAACAGTGGAGATTCCAGGATTCTACCTGACTGGGTTCCTGGGCTATCCCTTGTCCGTTGACTCTCATCAGTTTCTCAGCAACCGGCTGAGCTCTGAAATGTGTTGTTTTGGTAGTTAGGGGACTAATACCTCACTTGTTACTGCCTTTAAATATAACAAACGACATTCTCTTTCCTTTTATTGGAAAAAGCAATGGAGCTTAGAGTTGGCAAACCTAGAGCACCTCACCCTCAGGAGCTCAGCTTCCATTTCTGTAAAGTCAAGGAAACAACACCTCCCCCTCTTTTTTTTTTTTTTTTAACAGGGCAGAGACTACAGATTGCCTTACTCAATATCCACTGTGGCATCTTTCTCATCTACCTTCTGGTCCTGCAGAGATGGGAATGCTAGAAATGACAGTCCCCAGACTCCTCTGCATCCAGGGCTGTGGTTGTGATTCAGTATCTGCCTGTGATGGCAGAAGACTGGAATAGAGAAATGAGTTAGGTGGGAAGAGAGACCTGCCAGGGAACCCTCTTGCTGGTGCAAGTCATGGTGTCGCTCTGGAGCTACAGCTCTGGATATAGATTTAGAATCTCCACATGGCAGCTCAGATGGTCTAACTCCAGATCTGGCAGCTGGGGTGGCTGCTTCCCACTTCCCCAGCTTGTGCATAGTAGCAGCTCCCTTGGTGCGTCAGTTCTGCAATGCTATTCCTGCAAGTTACTCCCAGAGGTGCTCACTGGAACCTGCTCCCCGAGCCCATTCAACAAGTTTGTCAGCATGTACAAGTTTGTCTTTTGCTACAGAATTGACAGATGCTTACCAAATTGTTGGACTTCCTGCTTAAACTGTCTATAATGGCTTCTGTTACTTGTAGCCAAACCCAGACTGGTTTACAGAATTTAGGAGGTTAACAGAAAATAACAAGCTAACACTCCTAGCACAGTTCCTGGCTCTTAGAAGGTGCTCGATAAATATTGGTTGACTCTGAAACTGAAATCAGGGCTGATTTCATCTTAGTGGAGGAGGCAACTGCTTACCTTATGATGGGATCTCAGGGATGCGTTCTTTCTTTCTCCGCTCTGCTCTGCAGAGTCCACTTACCTGCTCGTTGGTTTCTTGAAGAAAACAACTTTGCCAATTAGAAACAAGGCTCAAAACTCAAATGCAGCTGGGTGCGGTGGCTCACGCCTGTAATCCTAATACTTTGAGATGCCAAAGCGAGCAGATTGCTTGAGCTCAGAAGTTCAAGACCAGCCTGGGCAACATGGCAAAACCCCATCTCTACAAAAAGTACAAAAAAAATTAGTAGGGTGTGGTGGCATGTATCTCTAATCCCAGCTACTTGGGATTTTGAGGTGGGAGGATTGCTTGAGCCTGGGAGTTCAAGATTGCAGTGAACTGTGATTGTGCTGCTGCACTCCAGCCTGGGTGGCAGAGGCAGAGTGAGCTACACACACACACACACACACATACACACACACACACCCTTACACACCCTTAAATGTTCCTTATTAATTATACTGGCTTGCATTGAACTGAGGTGTAAGTGGTCGATTTGGACTCCTTTCCTAAAAGAAGGGTTTGAGAGGGGAGGAGTGAGAGAGATGGAGGGTACTGGGTCCCAACCCGCAGGAAGGAGAGAAGCAGGACATGGGAAGAGGAAGCCAGGCAAAGACTGGGGGCTAGGAGTGCCCTGGATCCCAAAAGTCTGTGCCCCAGAAACACATGGTCCAGTCCAGGCCGACACATGACCACTTAGCTCCATGTCTATGGCTCCTGTGAGTGGCCAAAAGTCTGCCACCATGACTGAAATGACAGAGCAGAAGGGTCAGAGGTGTGAAGAGAGACTGGAGAAGCAGACGGGTCAGATCATGCAGGGCCTTGTGGACCCGGGTACAGACTTCTATCTAGTCCAGTGGTTGGCAAACCCATTCTGTAAAGGACCAGATATTATTTTAGGCTTTGCAGGCCAGACAGTCTCTGTGACCCTATTCCATTCTGCTGTTGTGGTGCAAAAGCAGCCGTAGACAACATGTAAATGATTGAGCGTGGCTGTGTTCCGGTAACCTTTATTTCAGGCAGCAGGCTGGATTTGGCCCACAGGCCATAGTTTGCCAATGCCTGGCTTAGTCTAAGGACACTGAGAAGCCTTTAAAAGATATTGGCAGGACGTGATGGCTCATGCCTGTAATCCCAGCACTTTGAGAGGCTAAGTTGGGTGGATCACGAGGTCAGGAGTTCAAGACCAGCCTGCCCAACATGGTGAAACCCAGTCTGTAGTAAAAATATAAAAAGTTAGCTGGGCATGGTGGCAGGTGCCTGTAATCCCAGCTAACTGAGAGGCCGAGGCAGGAGAATTGCTTGAACCCAGGAGGCGGAGGTTGCAGTGAGTCGAGACTGTGCCACTGCACTCCAGCCTGGGCAACAGAGTGAGACTCCATCTCAAAAAAAAAAAAAAAAAAGATATTTAGGAAGGGGGTTACCTAATCATATTTATGTTTGTGAAGAGCCCTGTGACTTAAGGTGGAAGGTAATTGTCAGGAAGCAGAGGGATTTGAGTAGCCCAGTTGAAGGGATGGTAGCTTGGGGGAGGATGCTGCCAGTGGAGGTGAGAAGTGGACTGAACAGATATTTGGGAGTAGAAATGCTAGAATTTGGTGGTTGGTCAGATATAAGGATTAGGGAGGGGGAGCTTCAAGACTGACGCCCAGAACTGTGGCTCGTAGGATGTTCTGGGGCTTAGCTTGCTCACCCTGCTGTTTATCTGCCATCCTGTGGTTTGTTAAACTGTTTCCCCCAAAACATTCTCAATCAAGGCATTTCTCTTCAGTGTATGGATTCACCTGTCATTGCCCCAGTCCTAAAGGTTCCGAGCTGGAATGATTCTTGACTCTTTATTTCCTACAAGTCCCCTCTGCTCCCATCTAGTCAAGCACATGATCTGGTAACTCCGCTACTCAACCTCTTAATGAAAGTATCCTCACTTTCCGTATCTACTCAGTTCTAAGTTCAGATGCTAAGACTTTCGCTACATATGTTCAGGTATTAAGGGAATCCCAAAATGTTTGTCGAAATCACTTCAGTTCCTGCATTTAGGATAGTGAGAGTTCACCTAGCATGCAGCACTCATAGTTTCATATTCAACACAAGCACCTGGCCCTAGCTGAGCCCTCTTTGTCTTAGGCCCAGACCTCTTACCTGTGTATTTATCTCCCTTATCATCAGTTGATACATCACTGCCTGATCAAGCTTCATGAAGCTCTGTTCCTGTGTACCTGCTGGAAAAACTTCTGATGGTTGCCCATTGCCTCCAAACTGAAGCTCCTTGCCCTTTCCCTGGCACTCCAGCATCTGCAGTTGAAGACCAGCTCTGATCTGTGCCCTTTTTCTCTCTCTCTTCCCCTTGCAGACTCCTTAATCTTGGTCAGCCTGTTCTCAAATGCATCATGCACGTTCCCACCTCTACGGATTTTTACTTGCTATGGTTCCCACCTTCCACTTCTTTTTTTTTTTTTTTTTTTTGAGACAGAGTCTCGCTCTGTTGCCCAAGCTGGAGTGCAGTGGCACAATCTCGGCTCACTGCAAGCTCCGCCTCCTGGGTTAACGCCATTCTCCTGCCTCAGCCTCCCGAGTAGCTGGGACTACAGGCACCCGCCACCATGCCCGGCTAATTTTTTGTATTTTTAAGAGAGACAGGGTTTCACCATGTTCGCCAGGATGGTCTCGATCTCCTGACCTCATGATCCACCTGCCTCAGCCTCCCAAAGTGCTGGGATTACAGGTGTGAGCCACCGCACCTGGCCTCACTTCTTGTGTTCTATACAGAATTGAAATTAATTATTTGCAGTTTGAAACCTTGCTCCTTGACTTACTAACACTGCAGCATGGGGCCAGTTACTTCTCAGAGCCTCAGTTTGCTCATCTGTAAAATGGAGTTCATTTCATTAACCTTGCATGGTTGGTATATGGATTAATATAGAAAATTCCCATAATGCATTTAGGATATGGCAGGTGTTCCATAAATATTGCTTTTCTTCCCCTATACTTCCTAAGAGTGATTTACATAATTAAATGAGCTCATAATTAAATGAGCTTAGACCAGTGTCTCACATGTAGTATGTGCTCAGTAAAGGTTAGCCTTTTTGTTCTAATTTAATTTGAAGAAGGATAGCATTTATAAACAAAGTGTTCTCCTTCTCCTTGTCATTCCATCATTATGATAATCAGTTCTGGGTACTCAAAGATCAAGGATGCTCCCTGAGCGGGTGGGAGGAAAGTAAGCAGCTTGGAGCCGGGACAGGAGATGCAGCCGGAGGAAAGAGGAAGGCATTAAATGTGTACATTTCCCAAAATCAACATCACCTAATTTTTAATTTTGCTAATGGCTAGTCTTTAGTTGAGATGTCATGCTGAAATAACTCTTTTAATAAAAGAGAACTAATGCGCTCATTTTTCCCCTTCCTTCCTCTATATCAGCAAAGACTTGGTGCAATGATGTATATCACCCTTTTATTTTAATTAAGCATATAGCTTTGAGAGGCTTGTAAAAATGTTGCCAACAGAGAAATGCTTTAACAGATGTGAACTTGAGGTTGGCTTCTCCCATATATCTTTACTACAGAAAATTGCCCTCTTCATTTTGTACGTGAGGTGAATGGATGAGCCTGGGTATGCGCCTTGGAGTGGAAGCGTGAGAGAAGTAAAGTATTCAGGAACATAGAGTGTGGGATTATAAGCATTTTTTTAGAAGGCTGGGGAGAACAGAGCAAGGAAAGGAGAGCTATTTTCTGTGCAGGATCATGTGTGGAGAAGTGTCCTGTTGGACAGAAGTTTTCTATCATTTTCCTTTCCACATGTCAGATGACAGATGATGTCCAAATACCGATTTTGAGGGGAAAAATCAGGGTTTTAAATCCGAGACCCACAACTTAAACTCCAGCAATCTGACTCCAGAGCCAGATTACCAAGAAGCTAAACCTCTTGACAGCTCAAGGAGCAGAGCAATGTGTCATGATAGTAAGGCTGCAAGCAGTTATCCCGTAGGATATAAATGAAGGAATGAGCGATGTGTGGTGGGTATTTATGCAATGGCTTTTACCTAATCTATCAGTGAGTACAGCATGGAAAAGCTTAATGGGTGGTATTTCTGATTCCTGTTTTTTAAAAAAAATAGGGAGAGAGAGACTTGGAGTTTAAATAAGCTAGAAAAAGAAAGAAGCAGAGACAGACTGACAGACTGACTTGTACAAAAGAGAACTTAAAAGTCAAAAGAGAAGTTCACCCACGCCAAGAGAAGTAAGCCTGAACCAGAAGCAGAGAGAAGCAGCAGTTCTGGAACCAGGGCAGAAGCTGCCTGAATGCGAACACACTTGCTTCACACCGGCTGGAAAGACGCATTAAAACTGAATAAGGAAGTCGGGGAGCTGTAGCCCAACAGCAGGCATCTGTATTCCTTCCGTGCCGCCGTGATGGTCTCGCTGGTGAATAATTCATTCTGAGATTATCCTCCCTGCCTCTAGTTAAGTTGTTGCCCCTGCTCTCAGCAAAATTAGCCCAGGTGTGTGTGGCTATTGTGATTCCTAACGTGTGAGGCATCCTGGAGAAGGGAGTTAGCCACCCGGTGAAGTCTGTAGATAAGGGGCCTCTGTACATGGGGGCTGCCCGGAAGGGGTTAGAGGCTCCAGCTCGCTAAAAATCTTGACTCCCAAAATAAAAACCAGGTGAATCAGGTAAGTGTGCATAGCTTACCCAGAGACAGGGCTGACTTCCTCATTTTGTAGCTATTTATTGTCCTCTTCTAGAATTCTGCCCAAGTGAGGACCAGATACCCAAAAAGCCTTTATATCCCAAAAAGAAGGTCATTGTTGCAGAGAGCCTGATGTTTCAGCAATGCAAGGTGCTAGAGATCCCTTCTAGAAAAAAATAAACACTCACTTCCACGTAGTAGAAACCCAAAACCTCGCTTGATTTTAACACCTCTAAATAACTTAGTACTATATCTACTGAATATTGACATTAACTCTTCTCAGAGGAAGGTACTAGAATAGAAGAAAGCATATTGAATAATATCAAATTGAGTGTACATCAAAACCTCGCATCAAAGAAGTTCCCTTTTTTATGTGTTCTCACTTTTTAATCAATGAAAAAGTGACTTGAAATGACAAATGTGTAGAATCCAAAACATAATGTTACTATTAGGATCGAAAAAGTAAAGCCTTTTGGAGTTTAATCTGAAAAAGAAAAGACTAAAGTGTAACTTTATCTTTGTTAGACAAGGGACATTTCTTAAAGTTTTTATAATAATTATAAAGTTAATGTTCTTTGTTTTTTTTTTAAAAAAATTACATATTACCTAATTTTACAATACAACAGTTCCCATCCACCCCCATATTCTCCTATACAGAGGTAGCCATTATTAAAAGCTTAAGTCTCTTTCCAGAGAGTTTCTCAGCAGAATCAAATGGAATCAGATTACACCCCATTTTAAAGTTTACTGTTTTGCTTAACAGTATATCATAGTTATGTCTCCATCTCAAAACATAATTATTTTTCTTATAAACTACATGGTGTCCTGGTAGCTAAGTGCACTAGAATTTAGTGTAACATTAATGGGGCAATCATTGATAGAGATTTAAATTGTTTCTAGTACTGCTAATACAATGCTGCAACAAACATCATTTTGTTTGTATATATCCTATGTTTCTTTTTTTTTTTTTTTTGAGATGGAGTCTCGCTGTGTCCCCCAGGCTGGAGTGCAGTGGCGCGATCTCGGCTCACTGCAACCTCCGCCTCCCGGGTTCACGCCATTCTCTTGCCTCAGCCTCTCGAGTAGCTGGGACTACAGGCACCCGCCACCACGCTTGGCTAGTTTTTTGTACTTTTAGTAGACATGGGGTTTCACCGTGTCAGCCAGGATGGTCTCAATCTCCTGACCTCGTGATCCACCCGCCTCAGCCTCCCAAAGTATCCTATGTGTATTTTGCACATTACTACTAGTATATCTATAGGATAAAATCTCCAGAAGTGGAATGTCTGGGGCAAAGGGCATGAACATTTTATGTATAAATAGGTATTGCTAAGTGGTTATATATGGTGAGGATTTTTTGACTTTGAAGAAGGAAGTTGGTATGTCTGCAGAAATTTTTAAGAAGAAGTGAAACACATAAATTAAATCCAGAGTTCTTTGAGCTAGACAAAAAGTAGAATTTTATTATCCACATATAACCTTGAATGTGTCACTGAAGCTGTAATGTCTCCTTTCCTGAAGAACTTTAAGAAGAGCAATCTCTTATCCAAGCCCCAAATGCTGCACTGTCTCATTGATGCTTAGGGAGGCCATAGCCACATGTCCGTTTATGGATCCAAACCACTAAGAGCTGAATTCTTCCACCTGAGCATAATAAATGGCAAGTGCAAGGAAGTTGTCAGAAACACAAATCGGGTTCACAAACCTCTTATAAAATGTCTTCTCAAACCCTCACCTTAGTGCAGCCGTTGACAAACAGGCTGGGGCCCTCAGTGACAACTGACATACCAACTTCCCTTATCAAAGTATTACTAGCCCCAGGGGCCCTTTAAATTTCATTTTATTTTTGTTCTGATGCAAGTCAGAACATCAGGCAGAAATGCATATATATGTAAGATGAATGCAGTGCGCAGTTGAAATTTCTCCTGCTATGAGTCTCTCCACACCTTGAATTTTGGACTCTCAAGTCGTTTTTAAATGCAGCTTCATTTTTCTTCCCTGTCATTACCTGATTTCATCTGAAAATCTCAGCATGTGGTTCTCTTTTCCCTTAATTCATTAGATTTGGCATTGCTGTTTATTATATCAACTTGACATCTGTCTAATATAACATCTCTGAAGCACCAGGATGTTGGGAAAAAAAAAGGGAGAGGGAGAAGAGGATTTAACTCTTCAGGGCTAACTGAAGACTGTTTAAATTTATAGAGGTGACTTTAGCCCTTTGTAGATCTTCCTCTAGATAGAAATATATTTGTAATCAAAATGATAATCCATACTCCCTCTTTCTTCTGCTGAGATGAAGGGAGAGAGACTTGGGGGAAGGCTGAGCTATTTATTCACAGATTGTTTTAAGTCAGAGTTGGTCTGTCCTGGGAGAGAAGATTGTATTAGCTTGATAAAGCTAACCCTTTCAGCCTGGGGAAAAAAGAATCACACAATACTGCTGCGAAGGTTTCCTTGGCTTCTCCAAAGAGGAATTAGATTTTAACGTGCCAAAACCTTCCAGATTGGAGGGTATGCTTCTAGAGATAATATGGACATAAAAGCAATACTGGCTTTGTGTTTTTTGATGGGAAATAGGAAACATTACAACAGACTCCAGGTTTTAGAGAGAAGGCTGACAGGGAACCCCAGAAGCAGGGGGAAGGGCTGTGGCCATCTTTCTTTAATACAGAGTCTTGTAAAAAATTGTTATTACTATCTGCATCAAGATGTGTCTTGTTTGGAGTACTGGTTGGAATTCCTCAGCATGGAATATCAATAAAAAACAAGGGATTTGACTGAGATTTATGTCAGGGGACCAGTTCTTTCCATGCCTGTAGTGCCACACACAGATTCAGAGGTAGGCAAGAACACAAGCTGGGGCTGAGACACAATGCCCAGGACCACAGCAGAGCAGGAAGGGTTCAGAGCCGTTAAAATCCAACTCGTAAGTCTCAAGGTATAGTAAGACTAGGACTTGGCTAGGAATTGCTGTTGATTCTGGTCTGGGAACCAAAGCTCACCTCCACTTGATCTTAGGTAGGGTATTGATTTCTGATTCTTTTCAAGTCTCTCAGATTCTAAACCTGATGATTATTATGCAATGATGTTGGGTCGCTGTCTATTCCTAGTTACTCATCATCCCACTAGAGGGATAGAAAAACTCCTATTTAGCAATCCCTTCATTTATTTCCGTCTCCTTTGTACCTCTGAAGCTGAACATATTAGTCATGTTGTATGACAAGGAATTCCCAGCTGTTCAGAAGGAGAGAGGGAGAAATGACAGGGAGAGACGCCGCTATCAATAAAACAAAGCACCGTGGGTGAGGTGTGCAGCATTTTGGTGTTGTCAGCAATCTAGCCAGCCCCGAGTCAATCTACCTGTATAAGGCTTCCCCAGTGGAGCTGGAAGAAAAGTTGCCTGGAGAAAGAAGGAGAAAAAAAGAAGAAGAATCTCCTTAAGACTGAGAAATACATTATTTTTTAAATTGGCAATCCTTTTTGATGAGTTAAATGGAAGCAAGTTGTGATCTAAATCAATGGAATTGATAGTGTTTTTATCTTGAAAGGTTAACTGTATTTTTGCCACTCTCCTAACTCCCAAGCAACTTGGCTTTTAAGAAAAAAGAAATAATCCTCTGGGCAAGGAGCCTGGGATACACTTAATTTAGGGCTGATGTTTATGACTGGTCATTGACCTTGAAATTCCATTAGTGCTAATGAAGGACAGTGCTGGATGCATCCGGGCTGAGTCCAGTAAGTGACGTGCTTGGCGCCTGCAGGGCCCCGCCCCTTTGTCTCTGCACTTGGCTGGGACCTGTCTTCTCTGGGTCCTGATGCCTCAGCAGCAGCTCTGTCTTGCAGAGCGAAGCACCTCCCACAGCTGCAGGTTCTCCCAGGCCTTCCCTCCAGAGGAGAGGAGAAAGCTCTGTTGGATTAAGAGTGTGGTGCTTGCTCTGTGTGTGTCTCCCTTCCTACAGCAATGACATTCAGAGGCAGAATATGCAGCTGGCATTCTAACATTTTCCATCTAAAAAGAGCCTTAGAGATCACTCAAATGTGGGCTCCACATATGCCCATCACTTAGATTTAACAATTGTAAATATTTTGCTATTTGTGTGGTGGTGGTGGTGGTGATTTTGCCATTTTAAATTACAGACATTGTTATACTTTATTCTTAAATATTTCAGTATGCCCCACCAAAAAGTAAAAATATGTCTATGTAACAAACCTGCACGTTGTGCACATGTACCCTAGAACTTAAAGTATCATAAGAAAAAGAAAACCATAACACTATTATCATACCTAACAAAATGAATATTAATTCCTGAGTGTCATCCCATATACAGTCCATATTACAAGTCCCTCAGTTGTCCTAAAAATGTTTTCCAACAATTGGTTTGTTTAAACTACAATCTATACACAGTTCACATATGACATTTACTTGTTAGGCCTCTTTTTGTCCAAAACGATGCGGTTCCATACAGCAGCCTCTGGACACATGTAGCTGATGAGCAGATAAAATATGGCTAGTCCAAATTAAGGTATGCTGTAAGTATAAAATGCAAAGTGGATTTCCAAAACAGTATTCAAAAAAAAAAGAATGCATAATATCTCATTAACAATTTTAAATAGATTATATGTTGAAATTATATTTTGGATATGTTCGCATAATAAAACATTAAATATATTTAAAGTTATAGCTTATATATAAGCTGTTTTATAACAACTATTAATGTATTGGGATAGAAAAGCAACTTTACAATAGAGGGATTGGTAAATCTTGGCCTGACAACAGCGAACCAATTCGTACGAGGAACCTCTCGATTGGTTCACTGTTGTCATGCCGAGATTGATCAATTGCTCTATTGTAAAGTCGCTTGTCTACCCTCACTAGCAGCAATCACCCGTCACTGATAATTTGGCATCCTAAGAATCAAACTTTAACTTCAAGGTTTTAGCATTCATTGATGACTGTTGCCTGAATCAGTTATTTAATTAGAGGTTGTAAAATGATTTTTCCACACTTCGTTTAAATATATTAGTCAGAATTCATATGAAAAGCAAAGTTCAGAAACCCAGACTATGTGGTTACCGTGAAGTACAGTTACTATGGGAAAGACCGGATAAAAGCTGAATTCTCCCCCTTTTAACTATCAAGTTTCAGAATAAAGAATTGGTAAAAGCTACCTCTTTTGACAGATTACGTATTGCCTGCTTTCACATTTAGAGTATTATTATGAACTCATGGATTTTTATATACTAAATATAAATAGAATTTTTAAAATGTTTGAATTAGTTTCTAGCATTTAAAAAAATCAAGAAAAAGAAATCTGGCTAGTGACAGTAAGCCTACATTTTTACCCCCCAATGTCCTCTACAGTGGAGTTTGGGCTCCATCCTCAGATGGGGCATGTGTTCTTTTATGAACGACCCTCCCCACCCAGACACAGGATTAGGTTGTCTGCCATGTTCCTGTGAGTATGTGAGTTTGTAGCCCCAAGTCCAATCACCTATGTCATAAATTAGGAAATTACAGTACAGAAAAGAGAAGCACAGTACAGAAAAGAGAAGTACGCTACGGAAAAGAGTACAGAAGTATAGTACAGAAAAGAGAAGGGACTGGCTGATGGTGGAATAGCAAAACGAGTGGCAGAGTTGGGAATAGAATCCAAATGTCCTACTTCCCAGGAGGACCAGTGGTCTCATCCTCAGTTACCAAGAGATGTTCCCAGAAAAGTCCAGGTAACGGCAGCAGCAGCTAGTGGAAAGTGCCCATTTAGCATATGCTCTGCATTTTCTGTGTGTAGAAGAAAGCTTATTGCTATTGCCAATGTGGCTCTCTCTGACCATGATTTAATCTTCCCCAAACCCTGGGCAGATTCAGAGGCTGCCCACAACATTAGCTCTAGTTCCGGGCCTTCCTCTGGGACTATGATCTACAGAGTCAATGTGAACTACTCCAAATAAATAAGATTAGTGCAACCTAATTAATTCGGAGACCCCCTTGGGCAATATATTTATCAAAAATTTAAGTGCACATAGCCTTTTTGACCAAGCAGTCCCACTGCTAGGAACTTTTCTAAAACTATATTCACAAAATATTCCAAGACATGTGTACCTTGAAGTTCACTGTTCTCATAGAAAACCGGAAGCAACCTTCAACTGGGTACCAGTTAATAACTTATGGCACATCTATATGAAGAAAGAGTATGTGGCCATTTAAAAGAGTTAGGTAGAGTTACATGTGCTGATACTGTAAGATACACAGTTAGGTGAGAAAAGGAAAATGTAGAACAGTGTGTATATTTTTTAATTGTGCTTATTTTAAATAATACGTATATATACCAGTATATGCATAAACATTTTTAAGAAAGATATATAAGAAAATATTAACCTCTTTAGAGGAAGAGACCAGAGGTCAGAGTGGGGGAGAAAGATATGGGTTTTACTTTTCATTTTACGTCTATTTTTTGTTTGTTTGTTTTTGTTTGTTTGTTTTTTTTTTTGAGACGGAGTTTTACTCTTGTTGCCCAGGCTGGAGTACAATGGTGCCATCTGGGCTCACTGCAACCTCTGCCTCCCAGGTTCAAGCGATCTCCTGCCTCAGCCTCCCGAGTAGATGGGATTACAGGCGCCTGCCACTGTAGAGACAGGGTTTTACCACGTTGGCCAGGCTGGTCTCGAACTCCTGACCTTACGTGATCCACCTGCCTCGGCCTCCCAAAGTGCTGGTACTACAGGCATGAGCCACTATGCCCAGCCAGATTATTTTTTAAATCATGGGCATATATTCTTTAATATTAAATTTATCAACAAGTTTGAGTGTTTGAATAAATCAGCTGGGTTACGGAAAAGCTAATGGTACCTTTCTTTTTAATCTGGTGTTGTGGTCACTTAATATGAGGGCGTTAGTAATGCTTCTCAAACCAATGGCAGCCAGTTGCCTTACTAGGCGCATCTGTTGAACTCCGTATGTATTGATTGGTGCAAAACTAATTGCAGTTTTTGCCATTAGAAATAATGGCAAACCCTAACCCTGACCCTAACCCTTTGCCATTGGAAGTAATGGCAAAAACTGCAATTAGTTTTGCACCAACCTAGTAAGTTCTGAGCACTTAGCCAGGTGCGATGGGCAGTACAGGCAAGTGGTAAGGAGCTTGCAGTCAAGTTTTGGAGAAAAGGCCAAAAATAACTCATCAGTAGCAGGGGTCTGGAATTCAAGGCTGATGGGGACTTCTAGACTTTCAGTGCCTCAGAATACAAAAGAAAATCTATCAGGAAACCAGCCAGACAGGGTGGAATACCTAAGCCGAATGAGCTGTAACAAGTGAATCCAGGCTGGATGGCACAAAGGGGAGGGAGAGCAGTGTGGGAGAAGGATGAACAGGACCAGAGCAGTGGGAGAGAGAAGGACAAAGTAAGGGAGCCGTGCAGAAAGTTTGAGGATGGTGATGTGGGGAGGAGATGGGTTTATAGCCCAGCCTGGCCACTTGTGGAGGGACCATGGGCAAACCCTAGTTTCTTCATAAAATGCATAAAATACATCATAGAGACATAGTAAAGATTCAAGTGTATAATGCATGATCAGTGTTCAGTATGTTTGTAATATACACCCAAACTTTGCTGGCTCTATGTAAGTATGTAGGGGAGGAAACAGTAAGAATAGAGGCAGCTAATGGCAGAGCCCTGAGTCACATAGTCTAGTTCCAATTCTTGACTCTACTGCTTTCTGGCTCTGTGACATGAAGCTTCCCTGACCTCCTGGATCCTTGGTTTTCTTTTCTGGTAAGTTGGGAGAAGGTGAAAAAACTGGTGCATGCTATATACATTTGACCCTTGACCGAAATAGGGGTTAGGGACACCAACCTCCCTCCTGCACAGTAGAAAATCCACATATAACTTTTGACTATCCCAAAACTTAACTATTAAGGCATCCAGTTAACAGTAGGCTCTTACCAATAACATAAACAGTCAATTAACACATATTTTGTTTGTTGTATGTATAATACACTGTATAAAATATGTTAAAATACTGTATTTTTACAATAAAGTAAGCTAGGGGAAAAATGTTATTAAGAAAATCATAAGAAAAAATAAATTTACCGTTGGTTAAATGGAAGTGGGTCATCATAAAAACCTCCGTCCTCATCTTCATGTTGAGTAGGCTGAGCAGGAGGAAGAAGAGGAGGTTAGATTTGCTGTCTTGGGGTGGCAGTGGTGGAAGAGAATCCACATATGAGTGGACCAGTGCAGTTCAAGCTCGTGGTGTTCAGAGGTCAAGTATACTTCATACATGGCAGTGGATTGTTGTGTAAGTGAAAGTCAATGCAAAAAATAAACGGGAGTTCAGCACAGGCAACATTTTACTCATGCAGTGTAGGTTTCATGCAGTTTTAAAACATTATTCTATCAAATCCTTTCTAAGACTCTCTAAGATAATTGAGGCAAGAGAGAGCTACAACACATGAGGGAAAGGTTTCTCTAAAACCACACATGATGAGACTCAGACTTGAACCTGAATTTGCTATGCTCTAAACTGCTGGCTTTCCCGCTATGATCCCGACATCTTATATGCCATCTAATCGTAAACCTTCCTTATTCCAAAATCTTGGACTGGAATTATTTAGAAGGGTAACTGAAGGATGGCTAAATGATGGCATTTCATGCTGCCAGAATGCATGTATGTATTTTCATTATGCTGACATGACTTGTATGTGGCGAGCCGGTTTCAAGAAATAACTTCCTAAGCTATGCATTTAATTTAGATACTGTGAAACCCTGTTTTTAATCAGAGATTCTTCATTAAAAGCTTATTCACTGGGAGCCAATGAAAAGTCATAGAAAGTACCTTTAAATCCACAATGCAGTTGTTCTCTTGTGTGTGGTAGTCACACCAGCATTTAGAGACCATGCAGAAAGGTCGGGTGGGGTGGGGTGAACGCTAATAGGATAGCTACCGGCAGCTCCAGGACCCCATAAATCATTCAAAATGTGTGCACGGGAGTTTAACATACATATATCTATTATATGCACAATAATTATTCCTTCACAAGTGTTTTTAAATAATCATTTTGTATTTAATTAACGTGCAGTATTTGTCTTGGGATGTTGAGGGTAAGGGGCAGAGAGAGGAGAGTTACAGGCAGAGAGAGGAGGCTGGCATTCGTCAAACCCATCAAGAGGCTGCTTGATTTTAAACGTAGCTTTTCTGCTTTTGGTTTCGTACCTGGTACAGAACAGCGGGCTGCTCTCCCCATTTCTAAGGTCTAATATTTTCATGAGTGTTTTCTTTACAAAAAGGCATGAGGGCTGTGATTTCCATGCCAATCTCATGGGATGGGGGCTCTAGTTGCCCTTCTGAAGGACACAAAGCATAAACTGTGTTTTAAAAGAGGTTCTCTTTGCAGAAGGCATTCTGATCAAGCATACAGATATGTTTGTTATTACCATCTCACTTTGCAATTGTGATGTTTTTTTCTTCTTTTTTCTTTTTTTTTTTTTTGAGACAGAGTCTCACTCTGTCGCCCAGGCTGGAGTGCAGTGGTGCCATCTCGGCTCACTGCAAGCTCCGCCTCCCAGGTTCACGCCATTCTCCTGCCTCAGCCTCTGGAGTAGCTGGGACTACAGGCGCCTGCCACCACACGCGGCTAATTTTTTTTGTAATTTTTAGTAGAGACAGGGTTTCACCGTGTTCGCCAGGATGGTCTCCATCTCCTGACCTTGTGATCCACCCGCCTCGGCCTCCCAAAGTGCTGAGATTACAGGCGTGAGCCACCACGCCCGGCGGCAATTGTGATGGTTTAATCCATCATTGATATATGGCCAAATATGTGTGTGTGTGCGAGTGTGTAAATATACAGATGCATGTAAGTGATTATGTAAATTTGTATGTATGTGTTTATGGATGAAAATATTTCTTTAAATGTCTGGAGTGAGCTAATATAGTAGAAATTGTTCATTTAGACACTTGAGTCTTAAAGATGATTGCTCTATGACAACAGAAAGAGAAAGTTACATTGAGCCTTCAGTTTCCATATCGTGTAAACACACAGACTTCACTACATAGCTAGCCTGAATCAGCCAGAGAAGTAAATACTCTAAAGTGACCCATCATCAAGGGGAGAAGACAATTCTTTTAAGAAGCTTGTTTTCAGCCCAGATGGTTTGGTCCTGCCCACAATCATTTGATGATGTGCTGCTTTCAGCTTTGGAATCACATACCTCTCTGTGCATGTTTCACAAGAAGAGAAATGCAGATTTGTAACAAATTTAGTGAATGGGTTTAAAGCAGGTTGTGCAAAAAGGAAGGTGGGCTTCTTTTGGGAGACAGAAAGGTTTCTCTAAAATGTGATGTGGCTCAGACTTGAACCTGAAAAGTAGAGCCAAGTCTAAAGAGATAAGTCCGGAGATCTTGGCTCAAAGGACGGTGAACTTCAATCCCTTAAAACGTGCTCAAACCCAGACCAGAAACCCAGGTTTGCTGCCAGGAGGAGCTGAGTTTGGAGACTAGCGGAGAGGAAAGCAGGAGGCATCGTTTTGTTCTTTGTGTCTCTTTCTTCTTATAATGCCTAAATAAATCTTCAGGCTCTATTCTCAAAACTCCAGGCCAGGGATTACCACTCAAATGTCTTCAAGTAAAGTCATTGAGTGAAGTGGGCAGGCATAATAAAATTATTTCTCTACGATAAGAAAAATAACAACGCAAGCTCAATGATAAATGGCAGTGGACACAGGGGCCTTAGTGTTAGGAGGCAACAGGGACTCCTGTGGGCGATGCTAAACTGGAAATAAGAATTGCCTGTACCTTCTACAGAGGGCGGCTGCCACTAAGCTTTGCGCCATGGGGGAGAGGACCTAAATTGATGGATATCTGGAGTTTGCAAAGGAAACCAAAAATCCAGATAGATGTTTGTGTGAATTTCCTGATTATAAAATGTTGACTCTGATTTTTTTTTAAAGAATTTGCAAGCCAAATTAAACACCAGTTTCCAACACATGCTGTAAGCAAAGGAGGAATCCATAAAAAGTAGGACTATGCCCAAAATATCAGTACTATGTGTGAGAGCAGCTCGGGGGTAGCCCTTGCTGTCCTAGCTGCTGTTTATTCACATACGCATGCAGGCATGATAGATGTGTGACCGGAGGACGCAGGCCTGTGGGAATGACATGGGTCTGCATAGACAAGCCTTTGAGTTGTTCTATTTGGAGAAAATGCAAGAAGCCTGGCGGGTACCTGGTGGTTTTCATGTCACCTTTCACAGCTGTAAGGGAGGTCACACATCCAAGTAGGGGATAGGTAGGCATTATGAGCATTTTTCAGGACCCTCTTATGATGGACTTGTAAGGTGTGCACCTCTCTGTGAGAAACATCTGCCATTCCTCCTCAGGTCTTACCATGGGAAGCATTTTTAGTTGAAATAGTAGTTGAACACCTCCATCGTTTGTAATAGATGGTATAGGGTAATAAAGGTTGCAGTGAACCTTATTGTCTAGCCTACTTTTCGTATGATTTCAGGATAAAGGAGTTCTGTAATGAACCCTGCTTGCTGGTCCTCAGAGTTGCTTTCAAGTGCAGGTCTTTGCCTTGTTCCCTTGCAGTTTGTTACCCTGATTATAGGTGTTCCAAAGTCCCTTGTCTTAAAAGCAGGGAGAAGTCCCTGGAGCCACCTCAGGAACAATCAATCCAGAGCACTGCTTCCCTTCTCAGTTTAGCAGTGCAGTCCACGAAAGGTCTGGGAATTGGAGACACTATTAATTCAGGCTCTTCAGTGTCTCCCGTCCTCTCCACCGCTCATCCGTCTTGACATCACAATTCATTCCCACAGGGTGACATCATCTCTGCTGGAAACCTGCCCTCACTCTTCCGCAGACCAAACCGTGGACTGCATGGCATTCAGACAGATTAGGAGAGGGCAAGGGTATGAGAAGGTCAGGACGACCCAGGTGACTCGTCTACCACTGCTAAGCATCTGCCATAGACACTGTCCCTTCCAAAATGTTTGCAAGGAATATAATGCAACCATTTAAAAAGACGAGTATTCAGAATGCAACAGCATGGAAAATGCTTACTGCAATATGGAATTATATTTTAATTTATTGGAAAATAGGCATTACATTCAAATGATTCAAAATTCAAAAGATATAAAAGGGTATAAAATGAAAGTCTCCTTGCCTCTCCTGTGTACAGCCACCCAGTTTGTGATGTTTGGTGAAAAAAGAATATGAAATGAAACCCCCCACCTCTCTCTCTCTCTCTCTCTCTCTCTCTATATATATATATATATATATATATATATATATATACACGTATAATATATATATAAAATAGATATAGATAGATCTATATATATATGATATATATCATATATCTATATGTATCTATAGATATAGATATATGTATACTTATATGTGTATGTGTGTAATGAAACCTCGTTCTCTATACACACATACATGTGTATGTATAAACAGATAATTTATCCATAGAAGAAAGACTGAAAGAAATAAGCAAAATATTTACAGTGGTTATTTTGAACAGAAAAACTACAGGTAATTGCTTCTACGCTTCCTGTGTTTTCCAAAATGTGCTATGCTATATGTATTTCTTTCAGGAAATAATAAATGCATTTCTTTATCATACATGTAATACACAGTCATTGAAGTCACTGAAGCAAGCTTGGACATGACTAGTCATCAAAAAGAGGAAAATGGAAGTCATTCGTTTTATCACAAACCCAGAACTCACGACTGATGGCACTTAACATGGTCACACACTACCTTCCTGGCCTTTTCTTTGCAGATACATGATTATACTTTACTACATAAGAAAGAAAGGCCCTCTAACTGGGGAGGATCTAGGTACATTTGCAACCAATCAACCAGCAACGTGGAAGAGGAAAAAGGATAGAAAGGAATTAGGCTCTTATGGTCAGCCTGTCAGTGTGAGGCCTTATGGCTGAGACTACCCCTCCAAGCTGACCCAAAGCTGTGGCTCTGCACCGACACAGGGCTAGGTAGGGCAGAAAGGCTGCTGTCAGCCTTGTGGAGCACAGAGACTTAAAAGACTGGTGAGAAAGTATAAAAAAATCCCAGCTGGGCGCGGTGGTTCATGCCTGTAATCCCTACATTTTGGGAGGCCAAGGCGAGTGGATTGCCTGAGCTCAGGAATTCAAGACCAGCCTGGGCAATGCAGTGAAACCCTGTCTCCACTAAAATTCAAAACATTAGCCGGGCTTGGTGGCGTGCACCTGTAGTCCCAGCTACTCGGGAGGCTGAGGCAGGAGAATCGCTTGAACCTGGGAGGTGGAGGTTGCAGTGACCCGAGATCACACCACTGCACTCCAGCCTGGGCAGCAGAGTGAGACTCCATCTCAAATAAATAAATTAATTAAATAAATAAATAAACAAAAAATCAATCCCTGCCTTGCTCCCAAGGACAAAGGGCACTTCAAAAATACAATCATTCCCTGAATTTCAACTTTCAAACACACACAACCTATAAACACTTTATTATTAAAATGATTTAAAATGCAGAAATATCTAGAGTTACAAAGTACATGTTTTTGGCCAGAAATTTTTCTTTTCCTCTATTTCGGAAAAAAATATATATATAGAAGATTCCCACTAAACCCTCTTCTCCCAAGGCCACTTATCCACGTAGAGGTAACCCCTGTGACGGTTTGGGATCTCAGCAGACCTTTTCTGATGCACTTGCATTCAAATTCACAGTCATGCACAAACACATAATGGATGCAGGTATTTTAAGAAAATTAAACTCTCTGTTTTTTCGTTCTCTGAGCTCTAAATCTCACTTATTTTAAACTCTTTTCCAGAGCAATAATGTTTCCCATGTATGAATCACCAAATGCTAAATGTGCTTTTCTCAGCAAATGCAATTCATTTGAGAATAGCTCCCAATAAATTGCCTGTGATGTTCCTTTATCGCTAGAGACAATGGGCAACACAAAGGCAAGGAAGGGTCGCACCAAACCAGTCATTAGTTTTAATTTGGTCTGGCAGTTTTAATCCTTACTGTATTTTTAAGTATAATAGCATAGTACGGTATGTTCAGATTTTCTTTTCATTCTTCTTTCCTTTCTTGAACATTAAAATATTGGGCAAGGTGGGGAGAGGAATGTGATCTCTTCCTTATGAAAAAACACACCACCTACCCTATTTTGCAGACTCCATGGAATGTGGGGTGGAAATTCGGGCTTGCTGATGATTAGAGTTCAGGACTTGCTGTTTCTACAGCTCCAGCTGAGTCCTCAATAGATCTTCGTATCTCTTTCGCGTTCACCTCCTTTAATGCTTTGCTTCCTGGCACTCCAGAATGATTGGTAATATTAAATCAGGGAGATACCACCTTCTTCTTTCCAAAGTCAAAAAGTCTAGACATCATCTCTGTGCCCACGTGTGCCTAAATATTTCCTTCTTTCTAAATGGGTGATGGTGGAAAGGCAGGGCAGGCATGCTAACCCAGGCTCCTCCAAGGAAACGCTGTGGTTCAGCAAGGGGTATACGAGTTTCTGGAGGCAGACAGACATGTGGAATTCCAATACCACTTTTCCCTGTACCCTAGGGAAAGTTGCCTAGTATTTGAGCTGTAGTGTCTATATATGTAAAACCAGAATAGCAGTACCTGCTTCTGATGTTTTGAAGTTGAGATGAGCACACTGTAGATGTGTTCACCTCTCCGAGTCTGTGTACAGACCTGAACCATGACTCCTCATATTTTATAGTCACACACTACTTTCCTTGCCTTTTCTTTGCAGATACATGATCGTACTTCACTACTGTTGAATAACTTGCCTTCTGATTAACAAAATATTAAGGATATCTTGATAATGAAAAAACAATTTTCAAAAGAAGAAGGCTGCACCAGCAAGCATACAGGTGTTGACAAAAATAGAAAGGCCCTCTGACTGGGGAGGATCTAGGTACATTTGCACCCAATCAGCCAGCAACATGGAGGAGGAAAAAGGATAGAAAGGGATTATGCTCTTATGGTGCTTCATGGGTGCACCTCTGTTGATGAGCAGGGTTTGGACATCCCCATTTTTTTTCTTTTTTTTGGAGATGGAGTCTCGCTCTGTCCCCAGGCTGGAGTGCAGTGGCATGATCTCAGCTCACTGCATCCTCCGCCTCCCGGGTTCGAGCAATTCGCCTGTCTCAGCCTCCCAAGTAGCTGGGACTACAGGTGCACGCTGCCACGCCCAGCTAATTTCTTATTTTTATTTTTATTTTAGTAGAGATGGGGTTTTACTATGTTGCCCAGGCTGGTCTCAAACTCCTGAGCTCAGGCAATCTGCCCGCCTCAGCCTCCCAAAGCGCTAGGATTACAGGCGTGAGCCACCACACCCAGCCGGATATCACCATCTTTGTAAAGAAGGCTGTGAGTTTGTAACATTGAGAAAACCCCAGGAATGTCTAGAACTCCTGTGGCAGCCTGGGGCGTCCTTGTGCTGCTGAAACTGGCACAAACTGCCCTCCCCCAGAGACCAGAGGCCTGATCCCTCTTGTTTGGGGTTTCTCTAATTGCACACACATGTCTATCAGAAATGTATGATCTCCATAGCAGTTCACCTTCCTGACGTCATTCTTGTCCCCAGAGCTGGAATTAGCATTTTGCAGTGAAGTCTGGGAGTTTTTTCTATATTCAGAAAGGGACATTGAAGGCTATGCCAAAAGGCTTAGAAACATACTAGCACATGATAAGTAAAGATGAATGAGGTATTATTATTATTATTATTATTATTATTGTTATTTCTAAAGTAAGATTTTCTGGATTAGCCCCACAGAGGAGAGTCAGAGGCTTTGATATTTTATAACTGCCTCTCTGAGGGGAGCTGATTTGTTGCTGTGAATACCAAAAGACTGATTATCAGGACTGGAGAATTAGTCTATTTGGTTTATTTCCCCCCATTGGAACCTTCTCACCAGTCTTCTACCAGAAGCAAACTTAGCAGAAAAGTCCAGGAGGGAAACAAAGGTTTATTTTTTTAATCCAGAATGTGTGATCCCCAAGTTGGCATGGTAGTCAGCAAGTGCAGGCGAACAAAACTTTGAGTCTTCATTGTCTCCCCCTACTCAGCACATCTCTAAGCTTCTGGGAGCGGAGTGAGAATGAGGAGGGCGCTGGACACAGGGGCAACAGGGCCTCAGTTTCAGTTCCCACTTTGCCAAGTGCCTCACACAAGGTATTTACCTCATGCCTCAGCCTCCACAGTAGTAAATTGAAGGGGTTGGTAAGGTCCAAAATACATCAAAGTGCTCTAAGCTACTGGGGTTCAACAAACTCAGTTCCCCTGTCATCCCACCCAGTGTCCCCACTTCGATCAGAGAAGCTTCAGTGTGATGATTTCTGTACATCAAGGTTTTATGGAAATGCCCATTTGACAAAACAATTCTACATTTGGTTATTTAATAATAATTCAAACCAGTGAACGAGGTGCTGGGAGGGACCGCCATGATTCTCTGATCTTTATGAATTGTAGAGGGGGATCATAGTGGGAGGTCAGGGACAATAACAGAGAGGAGAAGAAAGGAACAAGATGGGCAAGGCCCTCCAGGAGGGCCAGAGACAGGCCTTTGTGTTCCAGCCATGCATGCACAGCAGAAGGACCATTCCTGAAGACCCTGCTGCCCCCGTCCTTCACTCCATGCCCCCACAGGTGTCCTCTTTTTGCCCGAGCAGGTAGAACAAAGAGCAGGCAAGTCAGGGGTCATGCCCTGGCTTACTGTGACCTTGGCATCATGCTGCAAAGCCTCAGCCCTCTGATCTAGAGAATGGGATCCAGCTCTCACCTCAAATGAAACACAGGTGCTGAGAGGTTTATAACTCATCAGAAAATGCCAAAATAACTAAAGCCCTGACAGGGAAAACTGTGCTGGAACAGGAAATTTCAGCTTCCAGGGACACCAGGTTTGCACCCCCAGGAAGCCTGGCTGCTTGTGAATTCCTTGTCTTTTCATCTCCAGCCCTATGTGTATGTGGAGACTCACGGCTTATCCCTCACTGCAGAGAACTGAACGAGGAAGAGGCATATGGTGAGAGAGTGCCAGTCTGTGGCTTTTTAAATGAAAATTTACATGTAAATATGAATTAGCTGAAATATCAGTTATTTTTTAATTGGCTCTTCAAATCAGCACAAGGAAAACCTGTGCCTGTTGGTCTGCTGATTGAGTGATGTTGGCTTAGAGATTCTCATCAACAGTCAATGAAGAACTACACTCTCTCCTGCTGGAAACCCTTCCATGGCTCCTTCTCGTCCTCAGATCATATCCAAATAAGATCCCATCTGCCCATCACCTCCTGTCCTCCTAATCAGCCGCTATTCCCATTCTCATTCACTCAGCCACTACCCCCATTCTCATTCAACAGCCTCCCCTGCCCATGCTAACCACAGTCACCTTCATCTGCTTCTCAAATTCATGTATGTCATGTGCTCAGCCACCTCAGAATCCTCGTGCAGTGTCCCCTCTGCCCAGCAAGCTTTACACCAGTGGATTCTCAAACTTTGGTGCTCATAAGCATCACATGGAGGGGTTATTTAAAGCACAGGCAGTTGTGCCCCAACCCCAGAGCTTCTGATTTAGAACAGCTGAGATTAGATCTGAGCATTTCCCATTTCTAACAAGTTCCCAGATGATACAAATGCTGCTGGTCTAGAGACCATACTTTGAGAACGGCTGCATCAGTCCCCCACTAACACACACCCTTCCCTTGCATAATTCCTACTCTTCCTTCACTTCTCAGTTTAAGCTGTACTTCCTCTGACTGCTTATCACGCATTGAGCTCTCCTGTTGTGCATATTCCCATCATACAAACATCTTGTACTTCTTTACAGCACGTAACAAAAGTATAAACGCTTATCTGTACAGTTGTTTTCTTACGTCTATCTTCCCTACAATTCTATAAGCTTTATAAACAAAGATCTATAATGTTCCCCACCTATGCCTTTTGCCTGACACTGTGCCTGGCATACGGTGTTTAACAAATGTTCGTTAATATTTGGATGAATGGACAGGTACATGGATCTAGAAAGACTATCCATTTCAGGCCAGGCACAGTGGCTCATGCCTGTAACCCCAGCACTTTGGGAGGCCAAGGCGGGCAGATCATGAGGTCAAGAGATCAAGACCATACTGGCCAAAATGGTGAAATCCCGTCTCTACTAAAAATACAAAAGTTAGCTGGGCATGGTGATGCACACCTATAGTCCCAGCTATAAGGCAGGAGAATCACTTGAACCTGGGAGGCAGAGGTTGCAGTGAGCCGAGATCGCGCCACTGCACTCCAACCTGGGTGACAGAGTGAGACTCCATCTCAAAGAATATCCATTTCAACTATGGGCAGAGCACTAGGAGGACTGTCTATTCAAATGTCACAGGGCATATGGCAAAGAGGTAGCCAAGGAGAGAGGGCACCTGCCTAGTTAGCCAGATCAGCTGCTCCACCCAGACTTCCCTCACGCCCTGCCCTCTTTATATACAGCAGAGAGACACACAGGGAGGATCAGAGTGTTCCACACAGTCAGGACCTGTGTTCTTGCTTTAGGCTATATGACTTTGGGCGAGTCCTTTTTCTTTCGGAGCCTCAATTTTCTCATCTGTAAACCAAGATGGTTGGATCTTTTAGCTCTAAAATTTGTTGATAATTATGGGTTCTGAAAAAAAGATGCTTCCTTTTTAATAGGATCAGTAATAGTTGGGGTGTTGGTCCTCTTCCCTAATCATGGCAAGATCATGTCAGCAAAGGAAGTCAAACTGGGAGGACTGACTGGGTTGTTGGGTTGAGGATGGAGATTCTTTTTATTATTATCTGTATAAACTTATGGGGTAGAAGTGCAATTTTGTTTTGTTTTGTTTTGTTTTGTTTTGTTTTGAGACGGAGTCTCACTCTGTCACCCAGGCTCGAGTGCAGTGGTGTCATCTCAGCTCACTGCAAGCTCCGCCCCCCAGGTTCACGTCATTCTCCCGCCTCAGCCTCCCGAGTAGCTGGGACTACAGGCGCCCGCCGCCACGCCTGGCTAATTTTGTTTTTGTGTTTTTAGTAGAGACGGGGTTTCACCATGTTAGCCAGGATGGACTATCTCCTGACCTCGTGATCCGCCTGCCTCGGCCTCCCAAAGTTCTGGGATTACAGATGTGAGCCACTGTGCCTGGCCTGCAATTTTGTTACATGCACACATCACAGGGTGATGAAGTCAGGGCTTTTAGGATATCCGTCACCCCAGTAACGTACATTGTACCCGTTAAGTAATTTCTCATCATCCAGCCACCTTCTACCCCTCACGCTTCTGAGGCTCCATTGTCATTCTCCTCTATGTCCATGTGTACACATTGTTTAGCTTCCACTTCTAAGTGAGAACCTGTGAAATTTGTCCATGTCTGACTTGTTTCACTTACAATAATGACCTCCAGTTCCATCCATGTTGCTGCAAAAGACATGATTTCATTCGTTTTTATGGCTGAATAGTATTCCATTGTGTATATATACCACATTTTCTTTACCCAATCATCCATTAATGGACACTTAGGTTGATTCCATATCTTTACTATTGTGAATAGTGCTAAGATAAACATACAAGTGCAATTGTTTTTGTTTTGTTTTGTTTTGTTTTGTTTTGTTTGAGACAGGGTTTCACTCCCATCTCCCAGGCTGGAGTGCAATGGCACAATCTAGGCTCACTGCAACCTCCGCCTCCCAGGTTCAAGCAATTCTCCTACCTCCACCTCTTGTGTAGCTGGGACTACAGGCACATACCACTATACCCAGCTAAGTTTTGTATTTTTTGTAGAGATGAGTTTTCACCACGTTGCCCTGACTGGTCTCAAATTCCTGAGCTCAGGTGATCTGCCTACCTCAGCCTCCCAAAGTGCTGGGATTACAGGCATAAGCCACTGTACCAGGCCATAAGTATCTTTTTATATAATAATTTCTTTTCTTTTGGGTAGATACCCAGTAGTGGGATTGCTGGATTGAATGGGTAGTTCTATTTTTAGTTCTTTGAGAAATCACCATACTGTTTTCCATAGAGGTTGTACTAATTTACATTCCCACCAACCACGTATAAGTGCTCCCTTACCTCTGCATCCTTGCCAGCATCTGTTATTTTTTGACTTTTTAGTAATAGCCATTCTAACTGGGGTATGATATCTCATTGTGGTTTTAATTTGCATTAGTGATGTTGAGCAGTTTTTAGGTATATATTCTGGCCATTTGTATGCCTTATTTTGCAAAATGTCTATTCACAGAGAATGAATATTCTCGCTTCTCTTTTCCCGGGGCCTCTGTGTGGAGCCACCATTCCTCAGGAACTGGGAGGGGGTTAGTGGTGAAAGGGTGAGAGACCACAGACACAGCCTCATAGGCCAGAGCCTCAGGGACATCACAGAGCACAGAAGTCCAAGGGGTGCCCACTTCCTGCTTCCTGTCATCTTAGGGGCAATGTTCCATCCAATGGCCTGGCTAAGGTTTCAGAACTCAAGCGTTTAACCAAGATTTTAAATATATTTGTGAAATATTGCATGAAGGCCCCAAAGAAATTTATACTCTTTTCTTTCTTTTTCTTTATGGCAATCATCACTGTAGATAACAACTCTGAACCTACATGGCAATGCTTATAGCTTCATTCATTCTGTCTCTGATTTATTGGAAGGGATCCACAACAGTAGTACAAATGCCCAGCATCATGTACTTGTCATCTTTGCTTTTTGTGGGCTTTTTTTTAAGAGGCAGGATCTCGCTCTGTCACCCAGGCTGGAGTGCAGTGGCATGATCACAGCTCATTGTAACCTCAAACGCCTGGGTTTGAGTGATCCTCTTGCTTCAGCCTCCCAAGTAGCTGGGACTATAGGCATACACCACCATGCCCGGCTATTTTTTATTTTTCGTAGTGATGGGATTTCCCTGTGTTACCTAAGCTAGTCTTGAACTTCTGACCTCAAGTGATCCTCCTGCCTTAGCCCCCCAGAATGCTGAGATTACAGGTAAGAGCCACCAGATCCAGCCCACTTTTTATGTTTTTAGGTTTGCACCTGTCTAGAAGTTCTCTTTGTTTTCTGTTCTTAAGGGAATACAATTGTGGTTATCTACAGAAATAAACTGATGAATAAATGATTTAGAAAAGCTGAAAGAGCAAAAGGGTAGGAGAAGAAAAGAGAAGCCAGAATTTTTACTTTCTTGACTCATTTAGAGAAAATATGCTTTTAGCCTGACTTTTACAAAAGAGATTAAGAATACTTTTACCCAAATGTTTGGATGTTATGGTAATAGCCTTCTCACATAATGTCTTTTAACCTTATACCCTGTTTTCTTTGGGCTTTTGTCAGGGTGGAGGCTGTTTCTCCTTTCTGTGGGTGTACCAGGGAGCTCTGGTTGCATGTTATTAAAAAGCAAGCTCTAAGGACCAGAAGAAAGTGAGGGCGTTTGCAGGTTCAATGGTGTGAGACTTAGAAAAGTTGATAAGAAGGATTAGAATTGAAGGATAAAAAGACTCTTACAAAGCCAAGCCATTATAGGCCCCATTACTTTATATACATTCTCCAAAAATCACATGAATGAAGGGAAAGAAAGGAAGAAAAAAACTGGCTACAGTTCAGAACGTCAATTATGTCCTCTTTTAATCCCCTTTTCACGATTTATTTGACATTTTGAACAGTGGCCAAAAAAGCTATTATAACTATAAAACATATTCATTGGTATAAATCTCATTCGTTGAATGATTTAATTAAGGTATTGACATGCTTAATTGATATGCTAAGCCAGGACCATTTTTATATCTCATTTCCATATGCTTTCTGCTTTAAGAGAAGAGAGGAGCTGGATCTTTAAAAAAAAAAAAAAAAAGTCTCCCTCCATAAAAATGCTATAGATTCATCTGTGCCTGACATCCCGGGGGACCACTTCCTGCCACTTTTCTTGATTTCGAGCCAGCCACTCCTCTAAGTGGCGCTGCTCAGAGGGAAGGTGATGTATACCCAGCTTGAGTGCCTGTCAGGCCCTCTTATGATCAATAGGAGAATATTTATATTAATAAAGCACCAAGTTAATTAAATAAAATGGTCCTCTGGGTAAACTTAAGATACTAGAGGATGGGCAGGAATCGATATATTCTGCAATTTGAACATTAAGTATGTGCCTTGAAATTTTATGGAGCTTTTAAAAACTCGCTTTGTAATGTAAAAAGTTTGAAACCACAAGTTTTCTCTGCCAAAACCTTGTCTCTGGCTTCTGAGCTGAGGGGGACTGGAAGGACTGGAGCTGCTGGAGATGGGAGCTTAGGGGAAGCCCCAGCCGACCTTCCCCTGTTCTGGAGCTCCCCTCTGGCTGGATGCAAAGGTGGGGGGGTGTCTCAGAGGACAAGGCTGGGCTGAAGCACAGAGACCTGAGCTCGGTGCAGGGTCCAGGGAGGATGGCACGTCCTCATCCCCAGAGGAATCTCAGGAGGAGATCCTGGGGAAGCCCAAATGCTAAGATCTTTTGCAAGAACCTCTGTCTGCCAGCCCCATACTTGCTTGGCCTTTCCCTTTTGTTCTCTCAGCCTGTCTCTTTCTGTATGTCCCTTTGTGTGTGTGTGTGTGTGTGTGTGTGTGTGTACGTGCACCTGTCTCCATCCTCTTTCTCTTTGCCTCACATCCGTATCTTTCTCTGTGTGTCTCTTCCTTTCACGGTCTCTTCTGTGAAATGACTGTCTCTGTGTATGTGTGTTTCAGTCTCCGACTTTTATTTCTCTTTTGCTTTCTCTGGTTTTATTGTCTCTGTCCCACTGTGTCAGTCTCCCTCTTTAACTGTCTTTCTCTCCCTCTCTCTGTCTCTCTCTCTCTCTCATCTTTATATCTGTCTATCTTTAAAGGGATCACACGTTCATGGACTCAGCCCCTCAGCACTCAGAGGCTGACTTTCTGGTCTGTCCCTGGCTCCTGGAGCAGCCTCCTCCATGGGGTTTGGAGATGGAAAAGAGGAAAGACATCCAAGGAGTCCTGCCTCAAGCAGCTGGGTCCGCTTGCAGAGGTGACATCATACTTGTCACCCCACTTGTCCGCTCCCAGGGACTGTCTTCTTATTTTCTTAGTGTTGACCTGCAATGCCTAACGCCCTGGGTACATAGTAGTCACCCTAGTAATGATGATGCTTCATTGAAATGTAAGCCCCAAGACAGGTTTAATAGGGTTGTGAGGATTTCCTTCTCCAAAGAGAGTAGCCACAACTAAGGAATTTGTTTTAGTGGTGACAGATGAACCTCCCATTCCCACCTTGCATAATGATGGCTTTTCCTGCACGGCTCTGGACCCCTTTGAAGCTCACCCAGACCCCAGCCTCCTTTGAAAGGCAGAAGGGTGCTTTGACTTGCCCTGAGCCGGCACAGAAGTGGCTGGACCAACATTCTGCTCTTGGCCCAGATCCTGTGCTTGGGCAGGGGCCACTTCCCAGTGTCTTCCCACTGTCCCACCGACGCCCTTCAGGCCCCCCTTCTTTTCCCTTCTCTTTGTGGGAGTCTCCTGCCAACTTCTCCTCTGCACAGCAATTGCTGCACAGTCAACCATTTTCCAACCAGCCTCGTAGGGGCTGGGAGGCTTTAACCTGTGTTCCCATCTTTGCCATCTTTGGGAGATTGTGGTAGATTCCACGAGAGAGAGTCTCCCTGCAGGCCCCAGGAAAGCTTTGAGGCATGACAGGCCAAATGGAAACCAATTACTACTTTCTTTCATATTGAACTTGACCTGGAGTTGCTGCTTTACAGTCTTAGTGTTCCTCTGTAATATTCTGTGGGGCAAGAAGGCAGGGTTTTTCTTTTACTCACAGTGTTGAATGCTGACTTGAACAGATGCAAGTACTGATAAGAACCAGTACTTATCCAGTGCTGGTTTTTTATGAGGGACACAGCATGTGATGAACTCGAAATTCATTAACTATTTTATAATAATTCCCGCACGTAGGTATTTTCATGGTCCGCATTATACAGATGCAAAAACTGAGGCCCAGTCAAGCAAGTGACAAAGCTGGAGTTCACACCAAGGTCTTTTAGGCTCCTGAGCCGTGCCTTCACTACGGTACCTCACTGCCTCCTGGGGTCTTGGCCATAGGCACGACTTCTAGCAGGCATGTAAGGCAAGGAGTTGAGTTACCAAGAAAAGTATGGCTTGGGCTATAGGGGATGAACAGTCTCAGAAACACAAAGGAAGCATTTTAGAAGTTTCCCCCCTGCCTCCTACCTTGGAGGTCCTTTTCTCTTTGCTGGGGACAGGGGAGTTGATTCTATTTGGCACGAGACTAGTGGCAGCAGTCTCACATTTGTCACTAATGAATTTCATCTCTGCAGTTCATTGGGTCCTCCCAGTGCTCATGTCCCTTGTCTAGTGCCTTTCAGGCTTAATGGCCAGAAGCAGGTCTGGGATTAATTATTAGTGTTAACTTCCAACTTGGTGTAAATCTATTGAACTGCATCCATTTTTACATAAATAAGCAAGAGAACAGCATCTATTCTCCTGTAGTCAATATCAGCACATCCACAGGTGTGAGTTATTAGCAATAACTGTAATTGCTTTGAATGGAACAATAAATAGCGCATGGGGTCATGATGAGAAACGTCATTCTATAGTATTAACATAGCTTAATGGCTTAAGCTCCTATATATTTCATCCGTTACTGGGCTTCTGGAGGCCAGCTTTGCAACTCAGGGTGCTGAGCTCTTGCTGAATTGCTTTCCTGCTTTGGTGGAAGATAATTTTGAGCTTTTCTGAAGCATACTGATTTTATCAGCAGATGGCCCCAGGATAGCATCTCACCTCTACCATTGAGGTTTCACTTGTTTAATGGTCTTCTGAAAAGTTACAAGAAAGCACAGACATATACAAGTCCCATGTCCTTGAGCTGCAGTGCTGCCTGCCAAACTCCAACCTCTGGGCAGCCGCAGCCCAGGCACAGCCCCTCCCCACCCTGCCCTGGCATGTTCATGTTTCCTCAGTGGAACAGAGTGGGCCACATAAGAGGAACTCTAGTGCCATATCACAAAGAGTGTTAGGGTTAGGTAGATCCGGAGCAATGTTCCAAGAATCCTTTCTTCATGATCAAGCTGAACATTTAAGGTTACAGTGGGGTAGACACTAGGAAGTGGCTTCAACTTCTCCCAAACTGCAGTGCCTTAGCCCGCTGACTTCCTCTCTTTTTCTTACCTCCTCACCTCACTACAACCCTCAACTTTATTTCTGTACATCTTCAGCCTCTGGGAGGGTTTCCAGAGCTTTTAGACAATTTGCCTGGAAGGAGTCAGATCACAGTGTAGATTATCCCAAAGATCATCAGAACTTCCTCACTGCCAATGACCCTCTTCTAACATCTCCTGGAGGCTGTTGCTTAAAGTATCTCCTTCTGTACCTGAGCTTCATTATCTGTATTATCCTAATCTCTATGAGTGCCAGAATTCAGAAAGGAGGAGGGGAGAAGTTGTTCTTGGAGATGAAACGCTGTCAGGCACACAGCCCTTTTCTGGATTGAATGCATTTTCCAAATCTATTGTACCCTCTCAGGCCAGGTTTAATCTGTATTCCGAAAAATCAAGTTATCTGTCCACTTAGCCTACCTTCCCACTGTAACTGCTCATTCCCACGCCTCAGCTTAGCTCACTAAACCTTTCCCCATCAAAGGCTTTATCTGTGGCTCCTTAGTTCACAAGCCTGTTCTAGGAGCATTAGTTCTCAAGCATGGTATGCCACCAGGGTTGTAGAGGTAGAAGGATGGAGGAGGACAGCCAGAGCTCTTTGTAATCCAAAGGGACAAACTGGACTTGGGGGAAAAAAAGATTCCCATAGCTTGAGATGTATTCTCAGTCATCCATGGACCAAGCAATGGCATAAAATCATGTTCACTTATTTTTTTTATCCACTTAAATTTTTTAAAGCTATGCATCAGGCCTCATGCTGAGCAAATGCTCCTGCCTACACGAAGCTAATAATTTAGTCAGAGAGCCATCATAAAACACTACATTGCCAACCTCCCCATAGTCGGCATGGTGAAGCAACCAGCAACCTTTCCAAAACCAAACTTACTCTTTCCTGTGCCCAGGTAGCTACTCTGCCTTTAGGTTTTTTGATAAAGTCAAATTTGACAGGGCCCTGGGACAAGTTACTGAGTTAAAAAAGACCACCTTGGTGGAGGATCTGCCATTTTATTTGAGCTTTCTTTTTCAGGAAAAGATAAGAGGATGTAGAAAAGAGGTTGAATCAATCAGCCTCACTCCCCTCCTTCCTGACACCAACAGAAATGGGCCCAAGTGGTAACTGAGAATATAAATTTAAGAAAAACATGTTAGAAGCACACTCCCCATCCCCTTAATTTTTGCTAATTATCACATAAGTAGATCTTCACCTATGGGATACTATGCCTCTGAACCTAGGCTATCAGGCCACAGACCTAGGAGGCAAATGAGGGGGCCCAGGTCAGCAATTAATCACAGAGCAGGCCAAATGCACACACTTCATTTCAGAACAATTTCATAAACGTTCCCCTGCCCCTGCCACCTCCCCCTCACTCACAAGATTTCATCTCCTAATTGCAAAAGCTTTTTGGCATGGGAATGTCTTTGTGAAGAAGAGAGGACTCAATTTGGGCCATCTCTCTAAAGAAGACACGGGAACAAGGACGCTTCTCCAATTAATCAGCAAATGCTTGGCTCCAGCTTTCGGGCCAAAGGATCGATTTACATAAAGCTACTTCTTGAGATGAATTTGCCTCCCCCTCTCCTCCCCCTGCCTTCCCCTGCCTTCCCCTTGTCCAGCCAGCATTAGACATGCTACTGGATTTCAGATTGACAGTGTTAGCTATGACAATCAAATTAGGGATGAAAGCCTCAGATGGCTGCCAAGGAAAAGGGACAGAGGGGGTGGGGACCAGTATGTCAGCCTCAGAGGAGGATAGATTGTATAGAAATGGGTTCCCTTTCCCAAACCCCACTGGGCAGACACACAGCTTCAAACAATAAGAGATAAACAAAACGCCAGTCTCCATCCTTTTGAATCAGGTGAACAAGCTCCCTGTCCACACCCAACCAAGGTTGATAAATTAAACCAGAACTTCTCATTGGGTCCAAAATTGGCAGGGGACTATCTCAGGTACTCAATTAGATCTTTACAATCAGATGATTTTCAGCACCAGATTTCTGCACACAATGTGAAGACACCAAAATCGCAGTTGTACCCCCTGAAGTGTATATAATGAGGTACGTGTGGACTGTGGAATCAGACGCCTGTGGTTGGAACCCCACTGATATTTCCTGGACCACTTAGTGACACAGGGAAGCCTGGACCAGAACAGAGGGCATAATTGGGCTGATAATGAGAGCTCCCCAATCCCACCTAATGTAACTAACTGCCTTGTCGCTAAATTGAGATAATCCCAGGGATTAGTGAGCTGTTGAGAAGCTCAGCCTCTGTCCCATTTGCTGGAGATGATCAGTCAATTATAATGCTGTTTCATGAACACAAAGAGCCTTAGTTGGAGTTGCATATGATAATTAAATGAAGAAAGCTTCCGTTTGGACTGGAAGCATCAGTTAACTCTGATAGCCCTGGAAGAGTGGTGGTTTGGAAAAACTCAGATTAAATCCTATGGCTGCAAAGAGGTATCTGTTCACAGGAGGAATGGCTGAATGAATGGAATATTCTAAACCATGGCTTGCTGCCCTGGATTCAGGGCTTTCAACCTTGACTGATTTTCCTCCACATTTCCTATCTGTATACTCAGAACCCCCAAGCAGTCTTGTATCGGGCTCCTTAGATTGGTTCCAACATCTGAAGACTTTTTCCCTCCTTTGGCAATGAGATGCTGCGTAGCTACAGCATCAAGTTCCTTATTCTAAAACATACTGTCCAATATAGTAGGCACTAGCTATGTGTGATCACTGAGCACTCAGAATGTGGCCAGTCCAGATTGAGGTGTGTGTAAAATACACATCAGACTTTAAAGACTTGGAATGAAAAAAGGAATGCAAAGCATCTCATTAATAAATGTTTATATTGATTACATCTTGAAATGGCAATCTTTTGGATATATTGAGTTAAATATCATATTAAAATTAATTTCAACTGTTTCTTTTTACTGTTTTTAATATGGCTAATAGAAAATTTTAAATTGCATTCTTGGCTTGTGATATATTTCCGTGGGACAGCGCCATTCTAGAATTAGCAGATCGCCCCTGAGGAGGTGACAGTCTCTGCATCCTCACTGGTCACAAATCTGAGCCTGCAGGCCAAGTTCTTCCCAGGGTGAAGCATCCAATTGGCTGGCACAGAGAGTTATTTGGTTTTGATTTTGTTGAAATAACATCCCCAGCTCGCTTTCTGACTATTCCTGTTGTCCACATGCAGCCCGACTTCCTCATTTACTTTACCTGCACAACCCTGAAGCATCTGAGTTTGCAATCTTTGGAACACCTGCCCAGAAAGAGACAAAACAGGCACTCGTATTGGTAACTAGTCACAGAGCAAACCTATAATCTCAACTCCATCTGTAGCATTTTGTAGAAGCTTGCAGCCTAACAGGTTCTTTTCCTTTTTCCCTTTGGTCAGAATGCTCCCCTGGGACCAAGCATCTTATCTCCATAGTGCTTGGACCTCAGGCCTTCACCCTCAGTCACAGCTCCAGGACTGTTTCTCAGCCTGGCTGTTCAGCCCTGTTCATCACCTGCCCTCTAGTGATTTCTCCCAGATTTCAGCCTTCCTAGAAAACTGTAGGGAATCCCTGGTCTGTGAGGCCTTACCAGGAATGTCCTAATCCCAGCAACCAGTCTCCCCTCCAAGCTTGAAGGAGTCCAAGGACAAAGTGCTTGGTTTTCTTCTGCCACGTCTCTGGCTCCCAGGGGAGGGTGTAACCATCCATGGACTCTTACCCTTCTAGGTCAGCCTCCCCGGGCTCCTGAGTGGCTTTCTGAAATACAGATTAAATGTCATCATTCTCCCCACTTCAGCCTTCTCCTGTGCCTCTGCCTATCCCACAGGCATTTTGCCCAACATCAGCAGTCTCATGTCTGAGACACAGGAGGCCTTTGCATCCTGCTCCCAAAATTTTCCCTAAAATTAGACTTTAACATTTAAGGTAGTAGGATGCTATATTTGTGAACTTCATGCTAGAACATGAAGATAGGAATTTGCATTATATACTGCATAAGAGTTTAGAAAGCACTCGCTTGTCCATTATCTCTGATGCCTATCCCAGTTTCTTAGAAGTGCAAGTTGAGATTCAGAGAATTGAACTGGTGCTCTTAAAGACACACAGCATGTTGAGTAGCAGAACCGGGATGTGAACTTAGCACCTAATCCGATGCAATCATCATTCCACCCATGGTTCTCAAACTTGTTTAAAATTAGACTGAAGCCCATCCTTAGGGTTTCTGATTCAGTAGGTTTGGGATGGACCCCAGGAATCTGCATGCTTTTTTTATTATGGAAAATGTCACACATACATAAAAGCAAAGCACAGATGATAAATGAAACTCCCTTGTACTTATCGCCAAGCTCCAATAAGTATCAACCCATGGCCAACCTTGTTTCATCTATTCTTCTACCACTTCTTTCTCTCCTATATTATTTTGAAGCAAAACTTAGAGATCATTTTATTCTTAATTATTTCAGTATGTATCTCTCAAAGATAAAGACATAAATGAAAGAAAACATAACCACAATTCTATTCTCACTTTAAATTTTTAAAAATTAACAGGAATGAATGTGTATTTTGTTCTCATAGCAAGGTTCATGGTCTATCTGATCAGAAGATTATTCTATGACAACAACAGCCCCATACCATCCCAATTCTTGATAATATCTTTGTACTATTCTGATTTTTCTCAAACTGTCCACCTTGAAAGATAAAACCAAAGTACCTGATGAAACAAGCCTGCATTCCCTGTGAGTCCTCTTGATTCAGATTGGCATCTCTCTCTTTTCCTTCCGAAAATTTAAAAAGATTTTGGGCCCCAGCTAAAATAAACTGTAAAATCTTTTGCTTGGTCTGGGAGCAATCCATAGTGTGAGTTTAGAGACAAGCTTTCTTCTGGATAAAACGGAGAAACAGTGAAACTGGTGCTCTCTCTCTTTTTTTTTTTTTTTTTTTTTTAGATGGAGTCTCGCTTGTCACCCAGGCTGGGGTGCGGTGGTGTGATCTTGGCTCACTGCAACCTCCCGCTCCCGGGTTCAAGCCATTCTCCTGCCTTAGCCTCAGTAGCTGGGATTACAGGTGCCCACCACCACGCCTGGCTAATTTTTGTATTTTTAGTAGAGTTGGTGTTTCACCATGTTGGCGAGGCTGGTCTCGAAATCCTGACATTGGTGATCCACCCGCCTCAACCTCCCAAAGTGCTGGGATTACAGGCATGAGCGGCCACCCATCCTTGCTCTCACTTTTTGAGGTGTCTAGATGTTTATTTTATATTTGTAGAAGTAAGGGGGTCTATTTCTTTGTATCTGGGATAAATAAGGATGTAAACTGCAGGAGGACAGAAACTTAGGACTATCCACTTTTCTATCTCAACTTCAACCATAGTGGAACACATAGTAGGTATTCAATTCATTTTTGAGGGAAATAAGCATCTGAGCTGACACTTAATCCATCAGTATTAAACATCTGAATGGCATGGCCAGGACTTTTCTGATGAATCTGTGAGGGAAAGGATTGCAGAAGGAGCTTTTATTGATATCCTTCATCCAGTAACTTTTTAACCTCAAGGGAACACGTAAAGTAAACTCTCACTGCAATGAAATATTCAGAAACACAACTGGAGCAGTGGGAAATAATTGGCGTTTTTTTGTCCCCCATTGATACTTTGATTCCCTGGATCCCTGAGATAGGTGTCAGTTCTTTCAGGAAATTAGTCATTACTCCATTGTAATCTTCCTCAGACAAAGGCTGCCATTGACTAGACACCCAGCTGGAGGTACCAGAGCTTAGCTGGGACATATGCTTGGTGCTCATTTGATTTTGACAGTGACCCAACTGCAAACATACAATCTTGCTTATTAAGATAAATTGCCTGCAGAAGAGATGTACCTATTAAGATAAATCTTCCCTGAAGTCCACATTGTAGAATCCCCAGGGGATAATTTTTCCTGCATGTTTGTCCCTCCTGCTGTATAAAATAAAGTAAGCAAAACAGTGTCTTTCCCTTTAGCTCCTAGCACAGAGCGATGTGTCACTGGGTTACTATATATTAGAAAGTTGGGGTTCAGGGGGCAGGAAGAAAGAGTGCAGCTTTATGTAAGATGGTAGTATTGAGAGTACAGGAAATTTTAGATTTGTAGATTATCTGTCAAAATTTTTTAAATCCCTAAATGAGTTTTGATTGATACTGAATGCACCAATGGGCAGGTTTCCTCCTACTGGGCAGAGAATGTGAAAGTAATTTTAATATATATTCAGGCCAAAGAGAATCAGAATGGTAATTCACTGCCCTGATCCCAAATCCAATAATGGTTCCAAACATAAATGCTTTGAAGATCATCCCCTATTTTAGCCTAACTAATCAAGAGTTGATGGAATTTTTTTTAATGTTATTGAAAAGGCACCACATTGGTCTCAGTGCAGAGGGATTGAAGAGGTAGTCAAAGAAGTGCAAACCTCATCAGATGCCAGATTGGGTTGTTCCCACATTCTTTGGTCAGTTAGTTTCCCTTGTAGCCTCTTGATCTGTGGTCCTAGATATGCCGTCTTTTGAGAGTGATATTTTAATCTGCTGAGGACTTGTAGATTCAGAACTATCCCCGAAGCCTTCTTAGGAATACTTTGGGGTGGATCCCCTTGGGTTCCTTCTGTTGCTACTGGGTCCTATCACCTGCTTCTTTGAACTTCACTGCTAAAGTCTCCTAGCTGGGAACATCTTCAGCAATCTGTCCTTGGGTTGCTGGAGTCACCATACCCAGCATTCATGGAGGGCAGGCAGAGCCTGGGAGTTTACATTTCTCTTGAGTGGTCCCTAACCAAGGACTGTCTGATGCAGGGCTGCAGAAGCCCAGCTCCCTTGCTCAGAGACAGGAGTTCCCCATCATATTGGGCTAAGGCCAAGACTTCACCTGATTGTACTTTTATTTGCCTTTTCCATTAGGTTTCCATCCTCACTGGTCTCTCCCGGGAGCACTTCATTAATCACTTAACCCCCGTGTCCTTGGCTCGGTGTCTGTTTCTGAGAGAACCCAACATAAGACAGACCTCTTATTTCTGAATCCAGCTCTCTTGTTTTATCCAAAAGAATCTAGAATCAAACATGGCTACCCCTGTCTAGATGACAGAGGAGAGAAACTTTTTAATCCCTCCCTCAGATTTTATGGAAAGAGTACAGCAACATTTACGTATTTTATTCTTTGTAGAGTTGAAGGCATATGTCCTGGGGGTGCTGAAAAAGGACATTTTCAGCAATGTCAATCCAGTGCTAAATGGGAGGAAATTACAAAAAGGAAATGCAGCTATTCATTGAGTGCCTACGGTGTTCTAGGTGCTGTGCAGAGTGCTCTGCAGAGCACTACAAGCTGTAGTCTAATAAGTCATAATGGCACCTGTATAGACTTCCAGGTGGGACTGTGATGTTTCTGGGCGCACTATCCGTATGACTTAGGAAAGCAGTCCCATTTGACAGTTGGAGATGTGAGACAGAGTCATGCAGTTGACCAGATTCACACAACTAATGTGCAAATGATTCCACACGGTGCTCTACGTGTAATCATTTCGCTCTCACAACTAACTGATGAGGTTAGTAAAACTAACAACCCCACTGTAAAGATGGGGAAACTGAGGCAAAGAGCATTTTAGTAACTTGAATGATCATACAGCTCATAATTAGCCCCACCCACTTCAGAAACAAGAAATCTCCAAGTTTTGAGGAACTTCCAAACCCCATTTTGTAGCTTCGGAATTAATTTGGGAGTGACCTCTAGGATCAAATTCCCTCCACCAACTGCCATTTAACACAGACAGGATTTCCTGGTAGCATGAATGTGACCAAGACAAGTGCATTGTCCCCAGCAGGGCAAAGAGGAGAACATGTTCCTCCTCCTAGTCTTGCAGGGGTAGGGGTGAAGGTGGGAACTGTCATTCTCTGCTCCTCCAAGAACAAAGCATGCCTGACATTGCAGGGAGAGCCCCAGGAAGCATTTCAAAAGCTCCACTGGAACTAGACAGCCTTTCAATCCATTTATCAAAGTGTCTGCAGTTCCCATTTCAAGGGTAGATGAAGCAATAATAAATTTGCGAAGAAAGTTAATCTGTGTCCAAAGCATTTTAGTAAATTAAAAAGGTGGGGAGGGTGGCTGGAAGGGGGATATATTGGTTCTTGCCAACTCCTATTTGACTTACTGTCTCCTTAATAAGTCCTCTTTGGTCTTGTGTTTTTGGATGGAATAATCAGTTGGTTAATCATTTTCCGGAAGCTGGAAAATGCACTTTAGCTAATGCAGTTCTCCTTTTCTCTCAGAGCCCTAATTATTTAAAAAGGCATCCCAATTCCTAGCCCTACTCCCCAACCAAGAAAGCCTTTCCCACCAGCCATCTTCCTTTACTTACCCAGAAAAATACTGCACACCTCCCACTCCTGCACCCTACTCCAATCTCATGCCTTTCTTCTAGTGTTTAGAAAAACAAAAATCCCCTTCTCAGGTCACTTCTGAGCATGTCTGCCCTCCTCAGCCCTGAGCTGCTTCCCTCGTGAAAGGGGAGACACTAAAACCCCAACAGGAAATTGGCCAGCGCTAGGCTCTTGGGCATCGTGGATAGATTTTGTTATTTTTATTTAAGTGTCAGTGGAAAATGGTGGCTCTTGTCTCTCTCGAGGATAGTACTTAATGATAGCTCCATGCTCTGGCACCACGTAGAGATAAACACACTATTAGGAACTCTCACAAAGGCCCTGCGATAATTGTGAAGGGACTGTTACCGAAAATGAAGCGCCCAGCCCTGAACCCTCCTCCACGCCCCATCAGTAACACCATTGAAGCTGTCAGTTTGTCAGCCCACTGGAGGTATTTATGAAATCAATATACAGTCCTGCAGATGGATGGCAGCAGTATTGTTAGCCGGAGAAGGGAAGCTCAATGGAAAATAAAATTAATAAAATTTACAAGCAGATTGTCATGGGGATCAGATAAATTCCCTACAATCTACTGTTTTGCTCAATTGGGACAGGAGGAAAGCAGTGACAGGGAGATGGGAAGAAAGCTGTGTTTCAACTGGCTCCGTAAAGTAGGAGCAAGGCTGGTTATATTTACAGCAAGAAAATAGTGAACAGAAACCAAAGCGCTGCCCCACCCAAGTGCAGGATTTTGCCTGTGTGGGAGGTCTCCCAGCAACATGGCCAGATTTTTCTGCTTAAATATCGCTCTCCTCTCCTCATCCCACCGTATTGCAAATCAGAACCTTTGTACGACTGCTACTCCTCCCAGTGTATTATGGGATGTTGTCTACTCAAACAAGGTTAGTGCATTACTGGAACACATGCCCCCTCATCCAGCTTCCAGCTATGGTTCAAGCTGACAGCTCTAAACCTCTCTCCTGTTTGCTCCCCCTGCCTCTGATTTTGATCATCAACCATTTTCCAAAAGTGTGACTGGGGCTCATCTTCCAGAGCCGCCAGAGAGAGCAGCCAATCCTGGGAGGGTAGTGGGCAAAGGCTCGGTGGCCTACAGACCAGCTTCATTTGGCAGAAAAGACTGGACTCATTGTGACTGCCAGAGCCTCGGGTGCTGCCCAGATGCCTGGTGGAAATTGCATTAGTCAGATGACAGGACCTGGGCCCCTGCTCCGGAGGCTGATGGAGAGCAGCTGAGTGGCCTTGGTGACACCGCCTGACCTCTGCTGTCATCGTGGGCTTTGTTCAGCGCCCCGACTCCAGGCTGGAGCCCTGCTCATTGAATCAGGCCTGGCTGGGGGAGCCTGAGACAGCGCTCATTGTGCATCTGAATTTACTTACATCGGTTGCAGACAGAGGAAACTGGATTTGAGATAGGGAGCACCCTGTTACTCAGCCCCAGAAGCCACTAGTACTCACACCGGCACTCTACCCCAAGTCAGCCTTGTTTTGTGGGCCTAAAAGTAGCCCCAGATGATCGTCAAGTTTCGTTTTAGCTAGCTGCTCAGAGCACATGGCTTGTCCCAGCAGCAGATGGGAGATCAGAAAAAAGTGGACACCTCTTTTCTGCTTCCTCTTTTCCCTCCTGCCCCTTTGCAAAATGTTCATTTAGACTGCCCAGATTTTAGTGGAGGGCAGTCGTCTGATGTCTCCTGCCAAATATAACTGGAGTCATCTAAAGCTTTTGATTAGGTGCCCTTGGAAAATCAGCATGGAGTGTCCACAGGTACAATCTGTCCGTAGGTCAACTCAGGACCCATTTAACCTGTGACCAGCAAGTTCTCCTTCTAGGACCCCGTACCAAGGAGATAGTTAGACAAGTGTCCCCAAAATGTGCATGCACAGAAGTTCACCCTAGTGTTTTCATTAAATAGCAAATAAATAAATGCCTACCCAACAATTTGGGACCCATATAGCCACTCATACAATTGGACGATATACAACCATTAAAAATGTTGATATCAATGCACTATTAATGACAGGGACAGATGTTCTCAATATAGCAAGCAAAAATAATAGGTTATAATAGACTGTATATTGTGAGGTCATATTGGTGGAATTTCATATATATATATATATATATATATATATATATCTCGTAATTGGTAGCAGTAGTTAGATCTGCAACGTTTTTTTTTTACCTTAATATTTGAGGGTTTTTCGGGTGTTCTTTTAAAAAATAATGTGTATGTATAGCACTGTGTGTGTGTGTGTGTGAGAGAGAGAGAGAGAGACACCTTTTATATCTGAAGAAAGTGTAAAGAGCTCATTGTGTCCCTAGCCCCCGGCTCTGCACCCCCCGACCACGCCATAGTCCTCAGAGAGGCTTCTGCAGCCTGTGGCTGTGCGGGAACAGCCTGGAAGGAGGCCTGGCATGAGTGTTTTGCAGGGCCAGTTTGCACGCTCTGGAGGCCTGATGGGTCGGTCTTTACAGATTGATTACTCGTTGAGATCCAAGCAGGCCTGCGTTCTTAGTGAAAACAAGTGCACATGTTTGGTCTAGCAAAAACTAAATGTGGGAAACAAACCAAAAAAAAAAAACAGCCCATATCTTTCTTAGAAAGGAAGTAAGGCTTTGGGAATGCTTACAGTCTGGGGACATAGGTTTAGCCAGCTGTAGAACCTGACACTATCCCTCACCCTCCTCAAAGCAACATGCTGGCACTGCTTAATGCTAGATGAGGTGCCTGTGGGACCCCCACTTTGCATGGACCTGTGGAAATGCAATTTGAAATTATCGTGCCTGTCACTAAGAAGGTCTAGGGGCCCCCAGGAATCTCTGGGACTCTCGAGTAAGCTGAAGTGGTCATCCCCCATCAGAAAATCAGAATGGGCAGGCTCTGTTCCAATCCCCTGTGACAAAGGCAGATTGTCCTGAGCAGCAGAGGACAGCACTGAGAGATGGGAGATTGAGCGGCGTTGACCCCACAGTGGGGGAGGAATGCCGTGTGGGGGTTGGGGGGATGGGGGGCAGGGGGTTGTCTCCGGGAGGTGGGAAAACAGAGAATTGGGTGCAGTGTGTGCAACAAATAACCCAGCCTCTTGGCTCGTGGCCTGGAGGTGCGAGACCACCCACAGAGCCTGCCCTGGAGGCGAGCTGCTCCGCCTGGTAACCATTTCAGCAACGGCCATCACTTGAAGAACAATGTGAATGCTTGTAGCAGCCTGGGGCCCGAGACCAAACAGCCGCCATACACTCTGACCGCAGAGGCAGCAGCCTGGGTGGGGGGGATTGTTATCATTTAATGAGATGCAGATCAAGACAGCCTGGGTCTTTAATGCAGTGTGCCTCTTCTCTTCTTGTTTAGAGATTTGAGTGAAAACCAGATCCAGGGGATCCCGAGGAAGGCGTTCCGCGGCATCACCGATGTGAAGAACCTGTAAGTGATGTTTTCCTTGCTTCACTACGTATGTGGCTAACTTGGGCTCTCTGACCAGAGTGAGGGTGAGGGATGGGACAAGAGGGTGGTCCAGGTGCCTTCAGAGATGAAATTGAGGGCTGTGCTTGAGTGATTTCTAGGGAACACACGTTGGATGCCACAATACTGTCACAGAAACCTGTGCTTTGCTGGTTAGTCATCCCCAGATATGAGCACTGGAGCCTCAGTGCCTGCTGAGTTAGAGCCTGGCCCTACAGAGCCTTGGTGCAAGCCAGCTTTGCCCAGCATCATTATCATCTTCTGTAAAATGGGGATGGTAACCTTGTGGGCATGTTTTGTGCAACTGAGAAAGTGTTCAAAAGGAAGAAATATCTTAGTGCCTCATACATAGTACGTGGTCAATCAATTGGAACCTTGACGATGATGGTGCTGAAGCTCTCACTCTTATTAATAGGCTCATCATCGGCTCCTGAGAGAGCATGGGGACTTACATCCCAGGAAGTTGGAGAGACATAGCCAGATCCATTTCCACTGGCCTAGGATTTTTTTTTAAACTTTTTATTTTAAAATGATTTTTGATTCGCAGGAAGTTTCAAAAAATAGTAGACAAGTCCGTATACTAGTTTCCTCCAATGGTAGCATCTGACATAACCGCAGTACAGTATCAACACTAGGAAACTGGCATTGGTACAATCCACAGACCTTAGTCTTCAGATTTCACAGCTCCACGTGTGCTCACTTGTATACGCCTGTGTGAGCGCAGGCATAGGTAGTTCTGTGTGATTTCATCACGTGCAGATTTGTGCAGCTGTCACCATAGTCAAGCGCAGGACTGTTCCAGCGTGACATTTTTGAACTTTGACGATTTCCTACCTGGCTTCTCCTACTGACCCCTTATTCGTGACTCCTGGGCCCCTACAAGGACTATGCCTTGAATTTTCTGCCTAAACCTTTGTGCCCACGGGGTCGGAACATGCTTTTGGAGAGGGGTAGGGAAGAAGGTCTGATTTGGCTGAGCAAGCACTTCTGCCCAGCAGCCTTCTCTGCAGCCCCAGATTCAATTTGAGACGTCTTAAGGGAGGCTTAAAAAAAAGACATTGTCACTTTTCCCTGTAATGAATGCAGGGGTTTTAGTTTACTGGCACACTCAAGGCAGCTGGTGATGGCTTCCAGATGCAGGTTATCTGCCTCCCCTGTGGACTTAGCGGAAAGCTTTTGGTGTTTTACATGCAAAGCACGCAAGAGGGCAGAGGCGTCTCTGGGGGTGGGTGGAGGGAACAGAGAAGCAGAGAGGACTTCGCAAGGGGCTCAGGGACAAGGAGGCCGCCTGCTGCTGCTTCTGAGGGTGTTTTCCCAAGAGCAGGAGAGGGCGGGGTGGAGCAGCCACACCCACAAAGAATGGGAGCTCCTTTGCAGGACAGGTGTAGGCTTCTCGCAAGAAACAGCCTCCTGAGTTTATATCTTCCTGAGAAAATGAGATACAGAAAAGCCAAACCTTCAAAACCACTAAATAAATAATGAGAGATCTCTCATCCTGAACTGGCACTTTTAACATGTCAGAGCGCTTTTCTAGTATTTCGTTCCATGCATTCCAAGAACTCAAGACTGTTCACATGAACCAAAAACAACTATGTTAATTAGCCTGCCAGAACGTCAGGGTATGAGAAAATGGAGGCCCAGAGAGGGGCAGTGACTAACTCAGGGTCAACCAGCTTTCTGGTGGTTGAACCCCAAAAGAACATTTTGCGTATATAAAGTGATATATCAGTCAGATCTCATGACACTAATTTTAAATGGATCCATTAACCAAAAAGAACATATTGTAGTGATGTATAACCAGAGCTGGACAGTTAATTGCTGACTATGTTTTTGATTGTTAAGAAAGTGAATAAATCCCACAATTGTTCTTAATAGTTGCTAGGGTTTCTCAGATTTTGTTTTACAGGGTCTCTTTTCCCCTCTTACAATATCTCTAACTACGCAAAGGCCTCAGGACTTGAAAGGTTCAAGATTCTACAAACCCAGACTCCTAAGTCACTCCAGCACCCACCATCAGACCACCCTCTAAGCCATGCAAATGTGTATTACTCAGGATCCTAAACTCAGTGAGGATCTTCTCTTTGTTTATACTCACTACTAGCAGCTGGGCTTGCGGGGAAGAAGGAAAGGGGAGTGAATTCACTGCCTAAAGGATGAATTAACCAAAAACACCTAAGGGGAATTGAATACTGTGTACCTCTAATCAGTTCAGTCAGCAGGCACTTGTCAGGCAGGACCCAAAGGCCCCAGAGGTACAATTCATGTTCTCCAGTAGCTTACAGTGTAACTGGGGACAAGAATCATGTACATACAAGAAAATGTTTAGTAAAGTACCAATCAACATGAAAGTTGGCTAATAAGTAGCTATACGTAATGAGGGGCTGTCAGAGCTCAGAAGGAACAGACAGCTTTAGGCAATGTAGCCTAGCGGTTAGAAGCATGGTTTTGGCGGTCTGATAGAAGTATGTATGAATTCCATGTGTTCTAGGTTCTTAGTCTGTGATGTTAAGTACATTACTTGACACTTCTAAGCCTATGTTTCCACTGTATAAAATGAGGATAATAGTTGGACTTACCTCCTAGGGTTTTTGTGGAGGTTAATAAAATAATGCATATGAATAACTTAGTCCTACGCTTGATGCATGAAAGGTATTTAGAAAGTTCTAACTACTGTTGCTGCTGTATTCCTTTGTTACAATAGTGAAGACTGTAGCTGGGCCTGAATGGTGGTTAGAATTCACAAAGTAATAAAGATAGTACGTGCAAAGTGTAAAGGCAAAACTGTATAAGATGTGTTTCCAGCAGAGACATCTCATGGGAGTGGAGGGATCTGGGGCAGAAGAGTGTGTGATTGGGTTAGAAAGAGAGGTGGAAGCCGGTTGCTGGAGAGCCTTGACTGCGAGGAGCATGGGCTTTAGATGTAGGCACTGAGAATGTGGATGGCTTTTGCCCTGGGACAGATCACGGTGAAAACATTTGTTCTGGAAGGGGAACCGGGGACAGGAGGAGGTGGCAGAAGGAAAGGTCGGGGCAGGAGATGAGGCTGTAGTCCAATGTGAGGGTTTAGGCTCGTATCTCTCTCTCACGCTGTCTCTTGGGAGAGAGAAGCAGGAAGTGGAGAAAGAGGCCAAAGTAAGCAGTCCCTGGGGACAAAATCAACAGAGCTTCGCAGTCAGTGAGTTGCTAGAGGCCATGGAAAAGGAAGTGAAAAACGATTAGTTCCAAGTTCAGACAATACAGAGAATGATGGCAAATTCTCATAATCATTCATTCACACTATTTTTTGAGTGCCTTCTAAGTGCTAGTTCTGGGGGAAACAGCAGGGAGTAAGATATATCAATATAAATCTGTGAGCTCTGTCTTCTTGGAGCTTCCACTTCACAGAAATGGGAAGTTCAGGAGGAGGAGCCAGGCTTGGAAGATCCTGAGTTGGGTTGTAATCACATTGGGTGTGAAGTGATGTCAAGTCTTCTGTCAGCATTGTGGACAGAGCATCTTCTCTGTGTGAGGAAGTTTGTGATCTGACATCCTGTCCAGTTCCTGCTGGTTGAAGGACTTTGCTAAAGCCACGCTATGTCTCTGGTCCTCAGCTTCCTTGGTTTTAATAAGAGGGAGTCAGACTAAATAATCTTACAGCCCAAGAGAAAAACTCATGTGAGTAATTAGAACTGTAGGACCTGAGCTGAGGAGCTGATGCTTCATGGAGGAGAAGCATCTGGACAGAGGTGATAATGAAGCTGTATGTTTAAATATGCATCGGCACATGGAAAATAAGAGACATTTAGCACAAATTAAATTTCTATAAAACCTGCTAAGGAAACACTCCTCCTCCTACCAGTCCTCAGTTATGGAGATTGTCTACCTTGTGAATGATAAATAGCAAATTTTAAATCTCAGAGATGCATATCCTTGTCATCAGCTTGTTTGAGAACCACTACCCAGCCCCCAAGCCTGCTCCACCACAGTGTGTGAGCTCAGGGAATTCACACCATTCCACTATTACCTTAAAGACTAGAAGATAAACTGCTGGCATATCCAGCTTCAAACTGCATGCTATGTAAAATGACAACCAGTTGGGCCTATGTGTAACACCATACGCTTTACTACACGGAGAAAATAAAAAACTATCTGGTTTAAAAAATAATTTTGTAGTTTTGACGTATATTTTCTTTGCTTGCGCTGACATTTCCCTTCAAGAAAGAAGAGGCTGTGGCCAGGTGTGGTGGCTCATGCCTGTAATCCCAGCATTTTGGGAGGCCAAGGCGGGTGGATCACCTGAGGTCAGGAATTCGAGACCAGCCTGGCCAACATGGTGAAACCCCATCTGTACTAAAAATACAAAAATTAGCTGGGTGTGGTGGCAGGCACTTATAATCCCAGCTACTCGGGAGACTGAGGCAAGAGAACTGTTTGAACCCAGTAGGCAGAGGTTGCGGTGAGCCAAGATCGCACCATTGCACTCCCGCCTGGGAGACGAGTGAAACTCAGTCTTAAAAAAAAAAAAAAAAGGAAGAAACTGTGATACCCACATTTTCCACATAAAATTAAGTTTTCATCAATGTGTATAAGTTGGTAAAAGTCAGCAGATAAAATTAGGCCTAGGCCTCTGCAACTAAGCTACCATCCATCAGTAACACACCCAACCATCTTTTGGACTTTCGCCATGGACACTTCTGTCTACCCGGGTTCCTTTTCTCACAGCCATGCCTGCAAACAGGAACAATAAAGTGACCAGAAGCTGCTACAGAGCAGAGTCCCTATTCACCTAAGCAAGTAGGCAAGCATGCAACTTTTATCAGAGCCCAGAGAAAGGACGCAGGCGGCCTCTGAGCCCTGTGGACCTGAGGAGCCACAAGCATGATGCTCTCAGTGAAGGGACTGGACGCCTGCCCCTCCAGACAGCAGAAGGAAGTCCCTAATTGCTTCCTGCTTCTCCAGAGAAGAGAGAGAACGTAATTATCTGGGGATGCCACTCTACGCAATTACTGAAAGCTGGTTTAATGGGCTGGTCTCATTCTCCACTACTTGCCTAGAAGGGCGGAAGGTGCTGTATTTAAAGAGAGACAGGCGGTTCGATGGACAAAGTGATCTGGATGAAGAAAGAGACCCTTAGAGAGACTGTCCTGTAGAGAGACCAACACTCACCACTCCAGTATGAAATGCCTACTGTATGCAGAAACTGTGCTAGGTACTGGGCAAAGGCACAGCGAAAAGGAGAGAGGAGGGAAAGAAAAAGAAATCACGGAAAGACGTAGAGATAGAACCAAAGGAAATGAATTGGGAAAACAAGAGAGATGACAGGCCACAATCCAGCCAAGCCTAATAAGAAAAAGACAAAAACCAGTAGGGATTGTTTTTTTTTAAATGTCCCCTTGCCCTGTCTTTCTCAGCAGTTATGTTTTCCTCTGTTTTTCAGTTTCTATTTGCGAGGACTGTGTAGGACATGCATTCCAGAAGGGAAAATCAATAACCCCTGTCTCTGCCAGCTAGCAGAATTTGGAATTGACGCTTTGAAAACAAAGCTGGGCAGGCAGCCTTTGTGTTCTCTAGTTAGTCTGTGTTGCCGCACCGCCCGTGTCTGCCCTCCTGCTTCCTGAGATTAATGAGGGCTGTCTCCGCCCCGGTGAGCAGGTGGTAATCTCATGTGAGGGTGAGGGAGGTGTGGGGAGGGACACCAGCACCCGTTCGTTGGTAGCATCTCTGTCTGCTCATCTCAGCAGCCATTTGTTTTGTCACTGCACCTGGAGCAGTGTCCACACTCCTGGTCTTGTCCTGCAAGGCTGTACGTGAACTGGGTGCTCTCACTTATCTCATGCTTCCCATGCTCCTTTACATTCCCTGAACACCCCAAGCTCCTTCCTGCCCCAGGACCTTTGCACTTGCTGCTCCCTTAACATAAGATGCTACACCCTCAGACCTCCACACAGCCAGCTCCTTCTGATCCTTCACATCCCGGCTCAAATGTTGCCTACTGTCCCCCACTGCCTTCCCTCTCTATCCCATCACCCAGTCATATTTCTTCAGAGCACTTATCACCCTCTGAAATTATCTCATTTATTTCTTGTTACTGGATGTTATCCTGTTATTACTTGTCTCTGGATGCACATAGCAAACCTGTGTACACAGATATCCTGCCTGTTTCAATCACTGTGTTGTCCCCAGTACCCAAATGGTTCATGGCAGGAGTAAAGTGGACTAGAAATGTATTGAAAGAATGACTTTGTTCATTCATTTCACAGGTGTTTGCCGATGGCCCGTTACATACCAGAAATCATACACATTGTTAAAATGCTTTATATGAAAATTATATATACCATATACTATAGAAATAATAATATACCATATTGTATTATTATTGTGTAAGAATAATATACTATAGGAAAGAATAAGGTGCCATTCTTGTATCCGAAGAACTCACAGTCTAATGATATTCCCATTTTCCAGATGACAAAATTAAGTTTACTAGTGAGGGAGTCAATTAGTAAACCCGCAGTCATAGGCCATGGATTAAGGCTTCGTTGGAGCTAAGGACAACTATATGTGGAAGCCCAGGGAGACAGGTCTCATTCTGGCTTCACTCAGGAAATGACATGAGTTGGGTCTTGAAGGATGCATAGGAGTTCATCTAGGGGAAATGTATTGCAGGAAGAAGGAACAGCATGTGAAAATTCACCAACATATGTAAAGGGACAGAGGTGTGTGAAAGAGTTGATGCTCGTGAGAGATTTGTGGCTGGAGTATAGCTAGCAAGAGAGGCAATAAAGAGCAATGAGGTTAGGGAGATGGGGAGGTGCAGGAAGGTAGGACCTAGAACCCCATGATCCATAGAGCAATGGGGGTTTATTGGGGGGTTCCTAATAGGGGAGTGGCATGATCAGATTTTCACTTAAGAAAAACAGCTTCAGCAGCAGTGGGGAGGGTAGATTGCTGAGAGGCAGAGACTGAAGCTGTGTGGGCAGAGAGGAGACTTGTGCAGTTGTTCAGAAATATGGGGGACCTAAATCGAGCAAGTAAAGTGGATCTAAAAAGGCAGAGTCAAACTGCAGGGACTCAGGGGCTAGCTGGGTGGGGGAACTGAGTGCCTGTTACCAGGGCTTATCAACCAGAGACAGAGGTGTACTTCAGTGCAAGCCGGCTCTGACGCAGGAAGAGTGCCTGGCTCTCGTCTCAAATGGGGTGCTGCATCTTGAAGGGGGATTTAGGAAAATCTGCTCATCCGAGGCAAGGCCATGCAGATTTATCATCTCTGGGAAGTGCAGCAAGTTCCCCAGCCTTTCCTGCTTTGCATTCCTGACTGAGAGTGTCAGGTTCAGAATTGCTGCTAGAGGAAGTTGCACTGGGCCCCAGTTTGCTGAGTGCTACCTAAAAATGCTATCTAAAGACAGGGGTCATGTCTACCTTCCTGCCTGCCTCCCTCCACCCTTCTCTTTCCCTTCCTTTCTTCCTTTTTTTCCTCCCTCTTATCCTCCCTTCCCCCTCATTCCTTCCTGTTTCCCTCCCTTCCTCTCTTCCTGTCTCCCTTTCTCCTTTCATTTCTTTTTCTTTTTCTTCTCTTTCTCCTTCTCTTTCTTCTTCTTCTTCTTCTTTTTTTAAGGCGGAGTTTTGCTCTTGTTGCCCAGGCCGGGGTGCAGTGGCGCAATCTCGGCTCACTGCAACCTCCGCCTCCTGGGTTCAAGTGATTCTCCTACTTCAGCCTCCCAAGTAACTGGGATTACCGGTGCCTGCCACCACACCTGGCTAATTTTTTTGGATTTTTAGTAGAGACAGTGTTACACCATGTTGACCAGCCTAGTCTCGGACTCCTGACCTCAGGTGATCCACCCGCCTTAGCCTCCCAAAGTGCTGGGATTACAGGCATGAGCCACCATGCCCGGCCACCTTCCTCCTTTCATTTCTCCCTCCTTCCTCCTCTTTCTTCTTTCTTTCTCTCCCTCCCTTCTTTCCTGTTTTCTTCCCTTCTCACTCTCTTCTTCCCTCTCTCTTCCTCCCTCCCTTCCTTCTTCTCTCTTCCCTCTTCCCCCCTTTCTCTCTTCCCCCTCTGTCTTCCTCCCTTCTTTCCTCTTTCCCTCTCTTCCCTCCTTCCTCCCTCTCATTCTTTCTCCCTCCCTCCTTTTCTCCCCCGCTTCCTCCCTTCTTTCCTCCCCCTCTTCCTCCCTTCTTTCCTTCCTTTCTTCCACTCTTCCTTTTTATTCCATTCATTGTTACACAAATTACCACTGAGCCCTTACTCTTGTCAGACCTGAAGCAAATCTTAAGAAAGATGACTAAGACACGGTCCTGCTCTAGTGAATTTTTGTCTACAGGGGGAGACATGCACAGCAAGCATATATCACAGGATAAGCACGCCCCAGGGCACTCTTCTCTATTTGCCCCGGGGCCAATGGCATAAGTGCTCGATAAATACCAGCTGATTAGTTAAATTTCCTGAAATGAGAAAAATAGTAGAAGAAACAGGTAGATTTGACTCCATTAGTCTGATAAAGACATATACAGTATTATCTAAAAGCAAGGAGAGAGTGGTGGTAAATGCCCCATCCCAGAATTTCTGCCTGGGATTGGAAGTTGCATTGGTGACAAGTAGAATTTCTTCTAGGCCAAGATGACACAGTTTCATAGACAGTACCACAGGTCTTCTGGCAGACTTTGCATATTTCCTAAAACACCCCTCCCTGCGTTATAACTGTCTACTCAGCTGTCCTCCTCCTCCTATAGCCTGTAAGTTACGTAAAAGGAGAGGTTGAGTCTGCCTTTTTCATTGTTCTGTTTTTAAGAGTTAGTCCTATGCCTAGTATGTAATGCTCAATAAACAATAAGCGAAGGAATAAATGACTTGCAGAACAAAGAGACTCCCGTTTTTAGGGAACAGCTGAAACCCTGAATGAATGAATGAATGAAGGGGCATGATGATATCCTAGCAAAGAAGAATAAAGTCAAGGCAACAAGAAGGAGCCCAGAGAAGCACTGATGTTTTTTCAGGATAATGGAGACTATTATTTTAAAGCCAGCAGTACAATTTATTATCTGAGACAATTTGATTTGTGGACGAATTTTTTTTTTAACTCATTACAAGTATTTAACCCCTTTGAGCACTAAATGTACAGCAAGCAAGTTGTTTAAAACAGGCATATAAAATATAATCCTGTCTTTTATATACTCTGGCAAAAAGGAACAGTGATTCTGACCCCCTCAAAGTACGACTCAGGGGTCTTAGGAGACATTTGCCATTGGACTGAGTCTTTGCCTGGTGATTTTTAGCTCCACAGAGAAATGTAAGGGACTTAGGAGGAGATGAGTATTAACATGGAGATCATACTTTGAGGCTCTGGTATTCGTTGATGTTCTGATTCTTTATCTTATTGGGACCAAGTGAGTATAGTGATTAAAAGTATGAGTTTTGGAATCAGGTTTGGTTTTTTTTTTCAGCTTTGCCTCTCACTACCTATGTGAGCTTGGGCAGGTTTCTCAACTCTTAGTCTATAAAATAGAGAAAATACTAGTGAGGAGTCCAGGAGGGAGAAACTCTGTGCCTCGCATTTGTACGTTGCTTTCTGGTTTGCACGCAGCCTTCACGTGTATTATCTTATCTTTGAGAGAGAGAGAAAGTAAGTCTCGCTGTCAACCAGGCTAGAGTGCAGTGGCAGGACCTTGGCTTACTGCAGCCTCTGCCTCCTGGGCTCAAGCGATCTTCTGCCTCAGCCTCCCAAGTAGCTAGGATTACAGGTGTGAGCCACCACACCCGGCTAATTTTTTTTTTTTTTTGTAGAGACAGGATTTTGCCATGTTGCCCAGGCTGGTCTTGAACTACTGGGTTCAAGTGATCCGCCTGCCTAAGCCTCCCAAAATGCTGGGATTACGAGTGTGAGTCACTATACCGGCCATATGTATTATCTTGTTTAATTACTGCAACAGTCTTGCAGGACCACTAGGGAAAAGTTGCTTATCCTCTAGGTATAGAGGTGGAAATTGAGGCTTAAATTCAGAAACTCTCCCAAGGCCACAAGGCCACAGAATGGGTCATGGCAAGGCTACAGCGGGATCCCAAGATTAGCGTGGACTCTCAGGCAGTGTTTTTCTGAGAGATTGGCCGGGAAAAACCCTGAGATTTGGTGAGCATGGAGGGATGCCTGGAAGGAAACAGCAGATACAGACAGATTCATGGGGAGTGTTGGAAAAGCATTTCTGGCTTGGTATCAGCCAAGACCCAAGGTAGGAGCAGGCTGTGAAGGTCACAGTTGGGACAGAATTTCCAAGAAGACCATCAAGATTGTCTGAAAGTATGAACTTTTGGCCAGGCACAGTGGCTCATGCCTGTAATCCCAGCACTTTGGGAGTGCAAGGCAGGTGGATCATGAGGTCAGGAGATCAAGACCATCCTGGCTAACACGGTGAAACCCCGTCTCTACTAAAAATACGAAAAATTAGCCGGGTGTGGTGGCGGGTGCCTGTAGTCCCAGCTACTCGGGAGAGGCTGAGGCAGGAGAATCACTTGAACCTGGGAGGCAGAGGTTGTAGTGAGCTGAGATTGTGCCACTGCACTCTAGCCTGAGCGACAGAGTGAGACTCTGTCTCAAAAAAAAAAAAAAAAGAAGAAGAAGAAGAAGAAAAGAAGAAAGTACGAACTTTAAAAAAAAAAAAGACTTTAATTTTTAGAGCATTTTTATATTTTTAGAGCATTTTGAGGTTTACAGAAGAATTGAGTGGAAAGTGTAGAGAGTTTCCATATACCCCCAACACACAACCATACAGTTTCTCTTGCTATTAACACCTTGCTTTAGTGTGGTATGTTTGTTACCACTGCTGAGCCAATATTGATACATTACTAACTAAAGTCCCTAGTTTACATTAGAGTTCACCGTTTGGTTTGTACGTTGGATGGGTTTTGACAAGTGTGTAATGACATGTATCCACTATTACAGTGTTATACAGAATAGTGTCAGTGCCCTAAAATTTCCCTGTGTCCCACCTATTCATCCTTCCTTCCATTCCCCCAAACCCTCAAGTGTGAGCTTTTAATCATGCAGGTAAATTCTTTCATTTTCACAACAGCTTATATTTATTTGGTTTTTCATACTCTCAGATAAGAGTCTCCTTTTTCTTCTTTGAAAAAGGGTAAGTGACTCCCATGTGTCAAAGTGCATAGAGCAGGTCAGCAGGACAGCCAAGCCCTGACTCAGCTTCCCAGCCACAGTGTGAAGCGTATGAGTGTGAAAGTCTCTCCTTCAGAGAAAAGACCAGTGGTCCAAAGACCCTGCCCATTCCCGTAGCTGTGCTTCCCCAAAGAATCTCTGAGGAGGTTGACATAATGGTGAAGTGCTCAGACTCTGGAGTCAGGCTGCCTGGAGTCAAATCCTGGTTCTTACCACCTTTATGACCTTAAGCAAATTGCATGCCTCCTCCTTAGCCTCAGTTAACCCATATGTTAAGTGGAAATAATATAATCCCCCTTTATGATGTTGTTTTGAAGAGTAGTAATTATTATTGCTGCTTTTATTCCATCTCTGAGAATTAACTAGGCCCAGGTTATCACATCTTAGAGACTAAATCTTCCCTTCCTAGACAAATATGTGCCCCCAAAAAAAGTCATATTTATAGTTTCCTGGCTCTGAAATGACCCTCCCTAACTAGTAAAGATATTTAACTTCATCACTCTTTCTGTTATTTCTTTGAGTGGGGCTGACCTCTTCCGGCATATGGCTTCTAATGGGCTAGGTATAAAGTAGGCCAGAGAAAAAGAGGGTGTAACTTCCCTGCCCTGTCCCTTCCTCTTGTCCCCACCAAGACATGGAAAGGACGAAAAGAACTGAGGAGTCCCAGCTCCGCTATTAACCGCTGCCTGCCTAGGGTAGGCTGAAAAATGGCTCTTCTAAAAATGCCTACATCCTAAACTCTAATGTATGTGAATGTGTACTCCACATAGCAAAAAGGATTACAAATCAAGAATTCAGGTTCTTCAAGTGGATAGATTATCCTGGATTATTTGAGGGGATCCAATGTAATCAGAAGGGTCTTCATAAGAAAAAAGACATGTGCTGGAAGCAGAGAGAGAGAAAAGACCACGTGATTCAGGGAAGGAGGACAACCCCGATCCTGGAAAAGACAGGAAAACAGATTGTACCCTGGGGCGTCCAGAAGGAACGCAGTCCTGCTGACACCTTGACACGAGCACAGTGAAACTGATCTAGGACTTCTGACCTCCAGCATTCTAAGACAATAAATTCGTGTTATGTTAAGACGCTCAGTTTGTGGTAATTCGTTATAGCAGCCATGGGAAACCAGTACTAGAACCACCCTCAGGCTGTCACCAAACCCTGTCGTCTGGATTTCCTCTTCTATTAAAATAAATCATTGACATAAAATCAGTGAATTTCACCTTGTATTCTGAGAAACTCTGGTGCTTCAAGAGCCCACAAATAGTTATTTTCAACAGTGATAAAGATTTAAATTGCCTCTTTTGACATTAGTGTGCAACATGAGATTTTGTGTCACAAAGAGCCTATGGGGAGAAAAAAGGCTTGAAAAATAACCACTGGACTTGATAAATAATCTTTCAGGTCTACTCATATCACAGAGTTTGATGGTTCTTTGAGGCCATCTTCCACCAGGAAGGAGCTAGGTTTTGTCATTGAGGTAAAATTCCGTGGCAGGGTCAAGAAGCCAGCACCAGGTAGGGACAGCATAAAAGAGAATCAGGATAATGCCAGGTCTCTGGACTCAGAGCTGGACTTTGGAAGCTCAACTCCAAGGTTGAGGGTCTGAGCTGGGCTCACTGTGGGAGGAAAGGAAAGGAGAAGGGTTGGTGTTGACTGGGAGGTGATTACCTGGAATGGGGCTTAGGGCTTTTGAAAGTTTCCAGATATCCTTGGGACTGGTTAGGGATTTCTGCAGCAGGGCAAAGTTTAACTGGCTTTCTTGGCCATTCTCCCTTCCTTCTTGTAGCCCCAGATAAACTACTTTGCATCTGGGGGCAACAGCCAGTTCTGGAAAGAGAATTATTAGAGACTCATGTGAAGACATCGTGAGCCAGTCATCAAAAATATTTGCTAGATGAATAAATAAGTTGCTTGTGCAGAGTGCAGGACGGTGGTTTTCAGAGCCTGAGATCTCTGCCGCAATACTGCTCATGGTACATGTGGGTCTCTTTTATTGGAGCAGATGTTTCAGAGCAGGCTTGTATCAGAACTGACACATCCATATGCATAGCGCCTGCCGTGCCGGCACGGAGCACTTCTGTGTCTGCCACAAGCATTCAGCTCTATAAATGGATGTGTTACGATGTGTCCATTTACACCGACAGCTATTATTTGCCATTGTTAACATTCTCCTTTAAAGTTCTCTCTGTACGCAGTCCCCAGGCACAAGTGCGCAAACCTAAATTACTTTTAAATGCCAATGATCCGTTCCTGGGTACTGTGTCTGCCAGGAAAACTTCCTAGCCAGACAAGTAAGTACCCAGTGGATAAGGTTTGGTACATACAGCACATGGTCCAGTAGCAGTTCCAAGATTTCCCAGCTAATTAGCATTCTGTTTTTAAGGTTGTACTCCTCTTTCTGCTAATAGAGACAACACCATTTCTTGGGCTGAGAGATGGGGTATTTGTCTGAGATAACTTCTAAAGCCCATAATTTACCCCCAGGTGATCATATCTCCCCACTGCCGACATGTACACCAAATAAACAGAGGCTGTGTCAAGGAAGGAATGAAGCCTCAGAGACTTTCCTTCTTAGTAGGCAATAAGCTTTTGTCAAACCCTGACTGCATATCAGACACAGTTCTTATTAATTTCTACCTATTATCTCCCTTAATCCTTGTGACAACCTAGTGATTACCATCACCAGTTTACAGATGATAAAACGGAGGCATACAAAAGTGAAATGATTTACCCAGGGTCACATAGTCACTGAGTGGCAGAACTGGGATTTGAACTCAGTTTACATCTAGAACCTGTAACCTGAACCACTCTGCTATGCTGCCACAGATTAGAGAAGTATTTAATGAAAGGCAAAAACTGTGATCCAAATCCCAGCTCCAAACAACTTCAAGTTTCTTTTTATGGGGTTTCAAAAAATCAGTAAATTTTGCTTGAAAGTCTGGATTTCCAGCTTCTCTGGAGAAATTAAAAGTGTTAACACTGGGTGCCCAGTCCTGCCCGGCAACCACAGGCCAACCAGAGTGACAGGTCCCCTCTTAAACATACTGTGTGCCCTCCTATCTGCAGGGGGCCTGCTCCATGAGTCCTGCAAGCTTCTAGGGAGTCCCATTGATATGTGGCCACCTCTTACCCCAGAAAGATCCCATTCTCCAATAGAATAGGTGAGATTTTCTCTTTCTGTTTTGCTAGCTGGTGATCTTGGGCACACTGCTTCTCCTCCCTAAGCCTTCATTTCCTTTTCAATAAAATAAGGATGATTAATCCTTAACCAAACCATAATTTTTGCCTTTCTTTTTCTTTTTCTTTTTCTTTTTTTTTTTTTTTTTTTGAGGCAGATTCCCACACTGCCACCCGGGCTGGTGTGCAGTGGCGTGATCTCAGCTCGCTGTAACCTCTGCCTCCTGGGTTCAAAAGATTCTCCTGCCTCAGTCTCCCGAGTAGCTAGGATTACAGGTGCCCGCCACCACGGCCAGCTAATTTTTTGTATTTTAGTAGAGACAGGGTTTCACCATGTTGGCCAGGCTGTTCTCAAACTCTTGACCTCGTGATCCGCCCCCTTTGTCCTCCCAAAGTGCTGAAATTACAGGCGTGAGCCGCTGCGCCCGGCCAAGCCATAATTTTTAACGTGAAAGTTAAATGAACCTATAGTTCCAGCTGCTAGGGAGACTAAAGTGGGAGAATTGCTTGAACCCAGGAGTTCAAAGTTGCAGTGAGCCGTGATGGCACCAGTGCACTCCAGCCTGGGCAACACAGTGAGACCTGACTCAAAAAATAAATAAGTCAAATGAGATGACACATGGAAAGGACTTATTCAGTAGAGCCTGGCACAAAGTAGGTGCTCAATAAATACAATGTTAGTATTCTGCACCCTCATCCTCATGCATCCTTCATCCTTCATTGATGCACACAGAGTTTATCTTACAGTTGGGCTATTGGCTTGCGGGGTTAGAGGAGAAGGAGTTTTGGGGTTTGGTTTGGTAGTCTTGGGATTTTCTCTGATTTAGAAACAAGAAATTTAAAATTTTATTTGAAATTACTTGATTTTGAGATGTTGGCACCTAATGCAAAATCTTCTTAAGCACTAAGTGTCCATACCATGTTGGGCAAATCCAGTCATCTGTGGGTCCCATTCAACTACTGGCCTCTGATATAGATCATGCCTCCCAGTCACTGGGGTGAGCCTGCTGCAGGCCAAGGATGTGAATGGAAGATTCTGGTTTTTCCTGCAGCTGCAGGTGTCAATAATCTTGCTAATATGTTAGCAAGTCTTGATGCCATAATCCCTTGAATCAGTTTAAATCCAACTGCCTGCCAAGGCCTTGAAAAAGCGACTCTAATCGTGGCAATCAAGAAGGCTCGGGGGAGGCAAATATGGGAGCAGATCTTCCCAAAACCAACTCACATGGACCATTGCTAATTGTACAAAGCAGAGCACTGTTCCTGGACTTGAACATCCCTTTCTACTACATCTTGTAGTGTTTTGAGGCTGAGCACTCTGCCTACATCAGGGTATGGCCCTGGCATGTTCCAGAAGTGAGTGACTTTGCCCTACTTCTTCAAAGTCACACACCACTGGTCATTTTCACTGAAGCATCCCAAAGACTCCAAATACCGAGGGACCAACACATTCTTTAGCTTGACTCATCATTGTTTATTTAGACAGATTGTTTCCTCAATACATGCACATCTATGTGCCTCTCTGTCACCAGCACCATCTCGACTCTTGTCATTGATTGCCTGTTCTTTGAGAACAAAGTAGAGTCAACGACTCATAAGTCCTACAGTTCCCTTCCCCGGCCTACTCTAGAATTTTTCTCTAATTGTTTTTTAAAGTCATAATGGTAAAGTAATAATTGCATGGTTTCATTGTAGCCACGTGCAATGTTTCCAAGCATAGTTTGAAAACCACCTGCTCCAGAATCTCCCAGACCTTATTTAGAATGCAGGTTCCTGAGCCCTGTTAGCAACTAACTGAATCCTGATTTCTGGTCAAGGCCCAGGAATCTGCATGTTTAAACCACTCCACAGCTGATTCTATAACTTTTGAGAACGACTGGCATGCAGAATACAGACTTGGCATTGAAATGAGAAGAGATCTGGGTTCGAGTCTTAGTCTCCCCACTAGTCCTGAGCCAATTGCTAGCTTCTCTACTAAGCTTGGTTTCTTCATAGAGACTAAAGGTAGTACCTAATGCAGAGAATGTTTGTAAAAGAGTTAGCACTAACACACAGTAAGCACTTCAAATGTTAATTATTATTCTTATATCATTTAATTGCTGTAACAACCCAGTGGGGTTGGTGGGATTATCCTTCTTTAAAAGATGAAGAAACTCGGACTCAGCAAGGTTAGGTAGTTTGTCCAAGGTCACATAGCAGAGTCAAAATATGAATCTACATTAATCTGACTCACTGTTAACAGTGTTTAAAACAATTGGGGGAAATCAATCCAAAATTAAAATGAGAGTGAAGAGGCCTGAGAATAAAAAGTGGGGGAACTTCCACACATGTAAGGCAAGTGTCTGTTGTCTGTGTTGGATTTTCCTGTGTGCTGTTCGGCATCTGGCCAGGAGTGGAGATGAGATAGGTGATGGTTGTGGCTCACATTGAGTCCTTTGTGCCTAATATCCAAGCCTTCATTGCTCTTAATTTGTCAATCCCTTAGAATGTTGTCAGGCAAGGAGGTCCCACATTATGACAGTGGATTGGAGAATGTGGGAGGGCCTCATGTGGAACAAAGGCAAAGAACAAAGCCTCCCTCTCAGTTACTTTGAGACTTTTTCTCCAAACAGTGGAGGGTAAAGGACCTCTGGTTCTCTTTGGAGCCTTTTTGAGTTTCTCCCTGTGAGTGGCCTACAAGCTGAGGATGGAGTCTGGCCCGGCTTTCAGCAAATGCTGACTCCGCCTGCACTTTGGAAACATGACCCCGGCTAGGCTGCGAGCTGGCTGCCATCTGTCCCGGGCCAGTTTAATCCACACATCTTGTAGAGAGAAGGAAAAAGTGAAAAAGCTGTCTTGAAAAAGAGATGCAAAGAGTCACAGAGCTTCCTCAAATTGGGTTACTCTACCATAGTTGGGTAGATGGGAAGGTCAAGCTGCTTAGGAATGAGAATACAGTTTGAGATAAGGAATTAAACCATTAAAAAATCTAACCAATATATTATTAGTATTTTGTTTAACAAAGCAGATTATCAAATCATATATTCCAATTTAATTAAATAAAATGGAAGGTACATTTAAAAGTTTGAATATGATTTTATATATGTATATATTTGCATGGGGAAAAAAGCCTGAAGGACATAAACCAAATGATAGCAATTGTCAACTATAAGTGATAGGAATTTGGATGATTTTATTTTTTAAGTCAACTTTATTGAGATTTAATCTACCTAAAAAATGCATCCATTTCATCTGTATGATTCTATTTATCTTGACCAGTGAATAGCCATGTAACCACCACCAAAATGTCCTTCTGTCTTCAGCCAGTCCTCTCTCCCATGCATGGATCCTGGCGAACACCAATCTGCTTTCTGTCACTGTAGTTTTGCCTGTAGAACTATTTCATATAAATGGAATCACACAGTATGTTACCTTATGTAGCTAACATCTTTCACTTAGCGTAGTATTTTGAAATTCACCCTGTGTTGTATTGTCAGTAATGTGTTCTTTGTTACTACTGAGTAGTATTCCAGAGTATGGGTATACTTCAGTGTGTCAATCCATTCCCCTGTTGATGGGCATTTGGATTGTTTCCAAATTTGGGTTATTACGAATAAAGCTGCTATGAACATTGAATTATATGAGTCCTCGTGTGAATGCAAGTTTTCATTTCCCTCACGTAAATACTTAAGAGTGATTTTATTTTTTTTCCTTATCCATGTTCTTTTTTTTTTTTTTTTTTTTTTGAGACGGAGTTTCACTCCTGTTGCCCAGGCTGGAGTACAATGGCACAATCTTGGCTCACTGCAACCTCCGCCTCGCCTCCCAGGTTCAATTGATTCTCCTGCCTCAGCCTCCCAAGTAGCTGGGATTACAGGTGTCCACCACCACGCCTGGCTAATTTTTGTATTTTTAGTAGAGATGGGGTTTCACCACATTGGCCAGGCTGGTCTTGAACTCCTGACCTCAGGTGATCCACCCGCCTCGGTCTCCCAAAGTGCTGGGATTAGAGGCGTGAGCCACCGTCCTTATCCATTTTCTAATATTGCTACAATGACCAAACATTACTTAACAACAATGATGGCAAATACCAGAGTAGGGAAAATCTGTCCTCTATCCCATTGTCTTAGAAAACTAATGTAAATTGCGAAGAAAGCCTTCATCAGTATATATGGCCCATGGTTATCTTGACTTCAGACGGCATATTCAACTCCTTCCCATGAAATTTAGATGTGATTAGAGAGAGTTCTTGAGTTCTTGGTAAGAATTCAGAGGATGCTGAATTGGCAAGGGTGCTGGGCCATCTTTCACACTGACGGTGGGAATGCCAATTGGTATAACCCCCTCAACAGGCAATCTGGCAACAGCTACCAAAATTGAAAATACACATACTCTTCAATCTATCAATTTAACTTTGATAAATTTACTTAAACATAATCTCATTTAAGTCCCCAGAGATGTTTAGGTAAGTGTTATTTGCAAAGAAAATGTCTTGGGAGCTACCTAAATTCCAATAGGACCCAAAGCAAATGAATCATGGTATGTTCATTCACTGAACTATTGTAGAGTAGTTATAAAGAATGAGGTTGATCTTTATATATAATATGAAACATATCCAGAGCTCATAAATGAGAAAACTAGGTGCAGATGGTCTGTACAGTCTTTTACCACTTGTGTTTTTAAGCATTATGCTTGTATTTGTTCACATGTGCCTTTTATTTGAGACAAGGTCTCACTTTGTCGGCCGGGCTGGAGTGCAGTGGCTCACTGCAGCCTCGACCTCCTGGGCTCAAGCGATCCTTCTGCCTCAGCCCCTGCAGTAGCTGGGACTACAGGCACATGCCACCACACCCAGCTAATTTTTTTTTTTTTTTTTTGTATTTTTTTATAGAGATGGGGTTTCACCATGTTGCCTAGGCTGGTCTCAAACTCTTTGGTCTTCCAAAGTGCTGAAATTACAGGCATGAGCTACCGCACCTGGCCCACACATGCTTTTATATATGTGAAATATTTGTGGACAAATTCATAGGAAATGCTGACAGTAATTGCTTCTGGAAAGGCAAACTTCTCAACTTGGGGAACGGGGCAGAAGGGTGTTGCTTTTCATTCTATACTCTTTGATCTCTCTGGATTTTCTTTTGTCATGTGCATATATTTGTGTAACATAAAACAATTTTATGAGTTAAATCCACCTGATCTCAGCCCAAAGAATGGGGGTGCTCCCATTTCACTTGATTCCCTGGCATCTGATGCCAGAGCGCACTTTCCCAGCAAGAACTCACAGGACTCTGAGTTGGCCATGCCCTGCACTGCCTCTGTCTCTGCCACGGTTGACCCTCCATAACTGGAAACCATGATCATTACCATTTGCATAAGTACAACCACATTGACCCATGGCTGTGGCTGTCAGTTTTGAATGAGGGGAATTATTTGTATTCAACGGGCATTTCTGATTGTGGCCTTGACCAGCCCTGAGATATCTTTCAACAACGAATCACCAGCAGCCAACCCCATGACCTTTGGAAAATGAATTTGCCTGCCATTGGGCCGGCCTCAGTTCTTTTGCCCAAGTAAAATGTCAATTAGATCACTGGCTGAATATCGCTTTTGTCTACTTAAGCATGTTCAGCTCACAAAGCCATAAATGTTTGCTTGCTTCTTTCTTGAAAAAAGACTCCACACCCAAGTTCAAAGTATGCTCCTGGCTCCATATGGTCACTGAAAAAAAATTGATTCATTGGAAAAATGCAACTATTGAGTCATTATTCAATCATCAGGCAAGTCAGACTTTGGGTCATTGTCAACAGGCTGCATGTGTTTTGGGTCCGTGGATGCTTTCAGGCTCATAGAATAGGTGTTGTATGCATGGCATTCGTCTCCGTCTGCACCCCCAGCCCACATTGTTATCTACACCAGACAATGAAGAAGATAAAACCCAATGTTCAGTCTGGGCGCAGCGGCTCATGCCTGTAATCCCAACACTTTGGGAGACTGAGGCAGACAGATCACCTGAGGTCAGGGGTTCGAGACCAGCCTAGCCAACATGGTGAAATCCCGTCTCTACTAAAAATACAAAAATTAGCCAGGCATGGTGGTGGGTGCCTGTAGTCCCAGCTACTCGGGAAGCTGAAGCAGGAGAATCACTTGATCCTGGGAGGCAGAGCTTGCAGTGAGCCAAGATTGTGCCATTGCACTCCAGCCTGGGCGACAAGAGCAAAACTCCATCTCACAAAAAAAAAAACAACAAACAAACAAACAAAAAAACCAATGTTCTATTGAGTGATCTCTAGGATTTACATAGATTAGAGAAAAATGAATAGGGAGAGGGTCGTGGCTGAGTGATGGTGATTCAACCCAAAGCAATAAGAGTAAGGAGGTCACCATCATGTAGTAACACTTCAATTAACTGTAATTAGTTTCTGGAGTTTTCTGTACTTGACTTTTAATACATTTCACAGGAATTGAAACACAAGGAGTTTTCCAAAATTTTTCTTTAGCAGGATGTCCCTGGCCCCATTCCCTTTAATCTGCCTTTTGCTGCCCATACCTTATTTTTTATTTCCATAGGTTTTTGGGGAACAGGTGGCATTTGGTTACATGAACAAGTTCTTTAGCGGTGATTTCTGAAATTTTGGTGCGCTCATCACCTGAGCAGTGTACCCTGTACCCAGTGTGTAGTCTTTTATCCCTTGCCACCTGCCGCCCTTTCCCCCGAGTCCCCAAAGTCCAACGTATCATTCTTATGCTTTTGTGTCATGCCTTAAATATCTCGAGAGATTCCTTTGACCCAGTGTTAGCCTTAAACATGGTTTCCAGCTACATGAAAAATAAATAGACCACAAAGCCAAGATTCTCAGCTTTAGCTCTGCTTCAGAAATGGTCTTGTTTTGTTCTCTAAGGACAGTGTTGGTGTCTTGTAGTTACATCTCCTACGGCCCCATTAAATGATGCTCTCACGGCTGCTAAGCAGCTGCTAATGTTAAAAGGGGTACATCATTGCCCTGCACACCAATACACCAAGGTTCCCAAGCTAAGCCCTTCCTTATTGTGTGCCTCAGAAGTTGAACAGTTTAACTCTTCCTGGGCTCTCTTTACATGTTCTGGCCATCTTAAAGTGAGGGCTGGCACTGAACTTCCATTTGGGTCCATTGTGAAATTGCTTCACAGCATTTACACCTTTCCAGCCATTAGAATGGTCCACATGCAGCTTGGGGAACCTGCTGTCAACCCGTACAGTTGGGTTGTGGATGTGCAAATTTTCTCTGGTGAATTGTTCGTTGTCATGGAAGATGAGTCTTCTTGGTAGACAGTCAAGCCAAGTCCCTTTTCTGGAATCAGCTCCTTAATGCAATTAGATTTCCTGAAATGATTTCCTTTCTTTGCCCATTTTACTACCAAGGCAGGTATGAGATGTGCTTTTATAATAAGTGGTTTGGCTAGCATGCAATTCCTCTACTGCAGCCAGCCTTGCTGCCTATTGAAATGGGGCAAATTGGGCGGGCTGGTGGGGGCGGGGGGCAGGGGTTGGGGACGGACACGCATGGAATTCAGGTTGCTCTACCAAGAGTCATAGACTTACCAAGCTAGAGAGGGCTTTAAGAAATACGTCATATTCACAGGAAGGGGAACATCACACACTGGGGCCTGTCGTGGGATGGGGGGATGGGGGAGGGAAAGCATTAGGAGATACACCTAATGTAAATGACGAGTTAATGGGTGCAGCACACCAACATGGCACATGTATACATATGTAACAAACCTGCACGTTGTGCACATGTACCCTAGAACTTAAAGTATAATAATAAAAAATAAGAAATATGTCATACGGTCTAAATTTCTCCTTTTAAAAATGTGGCCAATTGGCCAGACCAGACCCTGGGTTCCCTTGGTCTGTGTCTGGGTCTTAATTTGTAAAGGTGACTGTTGGATGATACAGAGAGGTCAATGCCATTTACAGAAAATTTACTGTTACTCACAGGTCCCTAGAAATGAGAGGCACAGCATGTCATGCAGGGCCGCAGGGGAAGCACCAGAGTCGGGCAGAAACAGGAGCAAGGGGAAAGCTGGGGCCAAAGCCCTTATTGGGGTTTCATAGGAAAGGCAAGGCAGGGCAGGGGAAACAGCTTAAGAATGGCTAGTTTGAATAATTCATATGGGCCTTGGGGCATAAGGGCTATTCCTAGTCATCCTGTACCCAGCCTTGGGTTGATTTAGGGCAGAGTAAAGGCTGGCTTGGTGTGTGAGCTAGATACAGCTGGTGGTTAGGATATGGACTTGGGATTGGTTGGTCTGTATCTGAAAGATAGGCTCATTGGCAATTTGTTTACTATCTCTAGGAATGAGCTAGCTCTGGGAGGGGCAGTCTCTCTCCCCTGCCAAGAACCCTTCCCTCCCCCACCAAGATGTCAAACTATTTTAAAGTAGAGAAAATTTAAAAACATAATTAATATACCCCTAAATCCCTGGGACTCCTCAATCCCTCCCCATTAGGCCACCATTCCTCACCACATTTGAAGCCCCAGATGGAATGAAAGAGTCAAGCATCCCTGAGTTGCAGTAGCATTTCAGACTTAAAGATACAATTTAATCACCTTTTATTGTTTTAGTTTTTTCACTGGTATATCAGGTGTCACTTGTCTCTAAACAGTGTGACCCAAGGGGTTAGCAATCAAGTCCTTACTTCTCTGCCAAATGCTATCTTAGGATTTTAAGTAATTCTTCTCTCTAATCCTTACTTTCTTCTTCTGTTGAAAATTATGGGCTTGCATCTGATGATCTCTGAGATCACTTTCAACGGTGGCATTTTACAACTCTATAGCTGCAACCACCCAGAGGGCTGGAATCTCCTTCAGCAGAGTTGAAGTTCATAGTAACTCTGATTTTGTTAATAACCTAAAGGCAAACGGTGATGTTCTGAATTTCAGTGTGTGGATAGGTAGGGAAAGAGGAAGGTAGGATCATAGATAAGTAAGTAGGTGAATGTTTCCCAAGAAATCTCAGTGTTACAGTTGGTAATCAGGGCTCAGAAAATTAGTCCAAGGAAGATAACTCCTTAGGACTGGAAGACGTGGACAGCCCATCCCCTTCCTCTCCCTCCCCATCCTACTCCCACTCCCAAATAAAACAAAAAGGTCATCTCCTACATGCACACCCCTGAATTCTGTTCTGAAATATGTGGGATACATAAAATAGCAAATGCCGTCAGATCTCAAGTTGGGCAAATACAGAGACAGCATTTTTAGTCTCATTGAAAAGTAGTTGTCAGAAATATGCCATTCACTCAGAGTCTCTAAGTGCTCTGTCAAGCTTTAACTTGATTAAAATTGAAAACCACATTGCTTGAAAACCAAACGTGAAATCGAAATCTCTTTACTCAGTGCTCTTACATTCTGAAGCCTGGGCTTATGGATTATCCTCAGTTAATTTATGCCATCTTTGTGCCATACATTAATTTTGAATATATTTGTTGAAAATTTCCTGTAGCTTGCATTTATGGTTGTCAAAGGGGCTTTTATCTTGAAAAAAATGGTGCTGGTTTTAATTACAATTCTAAATAGCTTCATAACCATCGTGAACCCTGGATTTACATCATCTTTATGACAGCCACGCAATTCCCACTTTATCGATTTTGTCATTTGCTTCATTACAGTTAATGCAAACCTTTTGTACAGAGACAATTCTGGGGCCTCTCTCTTCTTGGAGGGGTTAATATAGAACATCATGACCAAGATAGACCCCGTCCCTCCACCCCCTGCTTCTGCCGCAGTGCTGACCCAAGGAAAAGTCAGGATGGAAAATATTTCCAAAGTGGCTATCCATCACAGGCAAAGGAAACGTTAGTGCTGATTATCCAACCTTTCTGATCAGGTGGGTTCAGACTTCTCTGCTTTGAAGTCCTAGAGATAGCATCACTCATGTTGCAGGACTATGTGTCCACCCCACCGCAAGCCTCACTCTCTGTTTAGAGAAGGGTTGCAGCAGCAGCCACCCACTTTTGCATTTCACATGTAGATCTTGCACCCCCTGCACCCAGCCCGCCCAGGGGCCTTAGGAACCAAAGCATAGTATGGTTGATGGGGATGTGCTGAGTCCCCGGGATGTAAATGCCAAGAATGCCTGTGAGTAACCTAGGATGGAAAATCGAAACCTTTGGTGATTAACTTGAAATGGAACATTTTAAAGAAAAGAACAGAATGAGGGAGCTTAAGGAAGTATAGGAAGACACAGCTCATCCATTTGTATCCATCAGGGACAGGCTTCCAAGGGCCAGGAGGGCCAGGAGCAGCTGAGGGAGCTCAGAAAGCTGCTGGGAGCCCAACGCGTAAGCCCAACGCTGCTGCAGGGGAGTTTGTGGATAGAGTCCAGGGCACTATGTAAGTGGCATTTGGATGGCTGAGAAAATAGCACATTTGATCTGGAAACAAGGAATTTTTCCCCCTAAGTCTCACTTGAAAGGACCTTACTTTCCCCAAACCAAGGCTTATAAGACAACTAGCCTTTAACGGGGATATAAAAGTAGAATGAACTTGCCAGAAAGGGCAGTACAAGTCCAAAGATCATTTCTGAAGGAGACAAAGGAGTGGGGTGGCCCATTTCTAATGTAATTTACTGGAGAATGTTGGGGAAAGTCCTAGAAGGCCCATTCTCTGCCCTTGCATGTCCCAGAACTTCTCAGTGAGTCGCTCCATTTGGGACTATCCCCGGGGATGGCTTTCTCCTCTTCCTCCTTCAGAGACTGTGTTCCGCACTTCTAGACTCTCATTTTTCCAGTAGATGTGGGAGTCTAGCCTTCGCTTTCTAAAAGCTATGAAATTATTGAATGCTGGAAACACTGTTGAATGCTCCTTAAAAGCTGTTTCTGTGACAAATGGGATGGGAAAATATGCTGTTTCTAAGACACAGAAGAGCTGAGCAGGAAGAGGAGACATCTCCAGAAGATGGGGTAGAAGGATCCCCGGTGGCCCGACACCTTGTGTCTAACCCCGTATGCATCCAGAAGCTGGAGAGCCAGTCTTGTCCCGCCTAAGAACTCCTACGTGAATCTCTACCTGATAGGCACACCGTTGAGGGCTTTTAAGCTCGGTGGTTTTCCGTGGAGCGCTTTGGTAGAAGTTAATACCACATTCATTCATACTTGTGTTTTTTTCCACCCTGCTGTTCAGCCCTCCGACCCCCTGGAGAGTCCTCGTCTTAACTGTTCAAAACCGGAGTAAATTCACACTTACATTCTCAATGTACTGCATTAAAAATAAAATCTGACTCCTCAGACAGTACCTATAACAACAAAATGAGAAAAACTTCATGTGAGGACTCAGGGACTGAATTAAAACTCAGCAGCCCTGAGTGCCAGCTCTTGAGGGGCCCATAGAAATCATCTATTTCATGCCTCTGTTTTACCGATAGGGAAATTTTAGCCCAGAGAAGTTAGGCCATAGTCCGACAAGGTCAAATATCCTTGTCATCTGATTCCTGAGCAAACTGTTTTTATTTTTCCACTAAATCACATCATCTTAAAACAAAACAAAACAAAACAAAACAAAACAAAAACAAAAACTCTACTGCTGGCAAATGAGAAAAAGAAAATCACTCTTTCTTATCCCCTACCCAGAACAGTGGCTGTCATCCTCAGTTCTTAAGTGTGAACAATGCACTTATTTCCCCTTTTGGAATCAGGGAAGGAATTAGAAATTTCTTCAGAAATTTCTTCAGCCAATTAAGTAGAAGTAGCTGCAATGGAGAGCTCTGGACCTGGAAGCTTGTGGGTAGAGCTGGCCTTTGCCCAGGTGGTCCCCAAGTAGGAACCATCTCTGTGGGCCCCCCAGATGTTTTCGGATTTACTTAGCTCGGTGAGACTGACTTGGCTGCTCCCGAGAGTCCTGGGAGAATTTAGAGACAGCATGAAGGAAAACTACTCACCATTTTCACCAGGCCCCCCCACCATCCCTTCCCCAGGAGCCGTCGCACGTCCGTAGCCCACCCAGACCAGAGGCCTCTGCAGGAAGGGGTTTCTGGTCAAAGGCACTTCCCTCACTGCCCTGAGTGAGGGTAACAGCCTGGCCTCCTTCCTTGCCTTCTCTGAGAACCAGTCTGAACAAAGGCGTGCGCGCGCGCGCACACACACACACACACACACACACACACACACACACACACGAGGAACTCAGCTTCTGAAATGCAAATGCAAATGCAATCTACTGAGATATCTGCGCTGGCTACTGATGCAAAAGGAGGAGCAGTGGTGTGGAAAATACAAAACAGTGGCTAATCCCACACTATTTTATGCTGGACTTGGGAGCCTAGCGGTGATTTTTCTCCTTCCATCAAGTTTACCGTCCTCATTCTCTTTGCCTAAACTGACATTTTCCCCCCTGAATCTTGAGTGATTGGGAGTACCCCCAAAGCAAGCTGGGAGAGAGAGTTTTAAAATTTGTTATAAATAATTCCCAAAAATAGGTGAATTAAATTCCCTCATGTTTCTCTCCTTCATTCGCATTGCTCTTCAATGTCAAGGTAGTTCTTCTCACACCCAGATAGAATCAGGTTTGCTATCTCATCGTGTAAGATCTGGTCCTAGGCTTCCCTACCTTTCACTGTGATGTCGTCAGAGGGAAACCACCCTCAAAATGGGGTGGTCTCATAAAGTTCCTGCCTGTCATGGAAAGAGCAAGCTTCACTTTTTCTCCTTTCCTACGGTAACATTCACATAACATAGAACTAACCGTTTAAAAGTACAATTCAGTGGCATTTAGTACACTCGCAATGTAGTGCACCCATCACTTTTATCTATTTCTTTTTGTTTTTTTTCTTTTGTAAGATGGAGTCTCACTCTGTCACCCAGGCTGGAGTGCAGTGGCACGATCTTGGCTAACTGCAACCTCTGCCTCCGAGGTTCAAGCGATTCTCCTGCCTCATCCTCCTGAGTAGCTAGGACTACAGGTGCCCGCTACCACACTTGGGTAATTTTTTTATATTTTTAGTAGAGATGGGGTTTCACCATATTGGCCAGGCTGGTCTTGAATTCCTGACCTCATGATCCGCCCGCCTTGGCCTCCCAAAAATCACTCAAGACTCAGGGGGAAAAAATGTCAGTTTAGGCAAAGAGAGTGGGGACGGTAAACTTTTGTCTATTTCTAAAACATTTTCATCACCCCCAAAGGAAACTCTGTACCCATTCGGCAGTCACTCCCCATTCCCTCCCTGCCCCCAGCCTCTGGCAATTGCTGATCTGCTTTCTGTTTCTATGAATTTACCTGTTCTGGATATTTTCTATTCATGGAATCACACAATAGTTGACCTTTTATGTCTGGCTTCTTTCACTTAGCGTAATGTTTTCAAGAGTCATCCATGTTGCCGCATACATCAGTACTTCATTCCTGTTTTGTAGCTGAATGATATTCCTTTATGTGTACATACCACAATTCGTGTATCCACTCATCCGCTGACAGACATTTGGGTTGTTTCCACCTTTTGGCTATTGTGAATGGTGCCACTATGAACATTTGTGTGCAAGTTTTTGTTTGAACACCTGTTTTTAATTCTTTTGGCTATATCCCTAGGGATGGAATTGCTGGGTCATATGGTAAGTCTATGTTTAACTTTTTGAGGAACCACCAAACTGTTTTCCACAGCAGCTGTACCATTTTACATTCCCTCCAGCTATGTAGGAGTGTTCCAGTTTCTCCACATCCTCACCGAGCACTTATTGTTTCTCATTATTTTAATTACAGCCTTTCTAGTGTGTGTGAAGTGGAATCTCATGTGATCCTAGGGCTTTTTACTGAGCACCTCCTGTGTGCCAGGCACTGTGGGCCAGGTACAGTAGTGTGTAAAACAGAGACTGTACCCGCTCTCCTGTTGCTGATAAGTTCAGGCATTCATTATTCCTTGAAAGTAATAGTAAAGAAAAGGAAGCTGGCCTCTTCTAGAGTATTTCCATGCTGTGTATTAGCTAGATCGAAAGCAGCTATCAGCACAGCACGTGCTGCTGAGTTTTGATGCTCCTTTTTTCAGCAGTTAATTACAAGGACCTTGATATCCCCCGAACACTGAGCTTGCAAGACATGTTTTAATTGGCTTCTGCTGCCACAGACATACCTTTGAGTGATGCCTCGCTAATGGCCACTCACCCCGAACACCCTACGACACAATCTGGTTACTGCTGTCCTGTTCCTTTGGTTCCCGTGGCTTGTATACCTATGGAAGACAAGCCTTGTCACCTCTGGGGAAGGCCATGCCCAGGAATGATGGCTTCGAATCTGCGTAATTTACCACTTTTGCCTGGAGCAAAGAGAACCATTTCTCCGGAGAGGCCATGCCTCTGCCCAAGAGAGCACTATGCTGTCCCAGCCTGGTCAGAAGGCCACCCATTGGATCCTACTAGGTGATCTGGAATTGAAGCATCCTCTCAAGGTGCAGACACCCATCCATGATCCTCAGTGACTGGAGCTAAAATCAGTTACCATTCCCAGTGATCCTAAAAGTCAAATGGACTGGGACTCCCAAGGAATCTGAGAGACAAGGAGGCAATGGTGGGGACACTGTTGAGTGTGCTGCTCCCCCCACCCCCCACCCTCAACACCATCTTCTGGGTAAGAATACTTTGCAGGCCAATGAAAGCAACTAGTTCCCAGTGACAAATACTGAGACTAAAGCTTGGCTTCCTCCCCATCCTCTTCCCAGGCTACAATAACTTGAGTTACACCCACACAGTCATATTAGGCTCCCTGTCTTTGTATTTTGAAAGTCAGAGAAAGGTGGAATAGCCTGATGGGTAAGCCCCGAGACTCCTGGATTGGGAAGGCAGGTTTGAACTTGACTCTCCCATGTACTAGCCGAGCTCCTTTTTTGATGCTACATAACAACCTCTCTGAACCTCGGTTTTCTCCTGTATTCAGAATTCGTCCTACTCTCTGAAGTAAGTGCTTGAATGAAGGGATGACCGAAGGGCCCTGAGAGCTTGGAAAGAGCAGTTCATTTTGCCTGAGTTTGTACAGGAAGGTCTCCTAGAAGATGTGGCCTTTGAGGAAGGCCTTGATGAATGAGGAGGGATTTCACAAACAGGGTAGGGGGCAAGGACAAGCATAAGTGAACGTGGAAACATGAAAGTACTTGGTGTATTCACATATTGCACAGAGGGAGGTGTAGCAATGTCATGCTAAGGAGTCTGGGCTGTTTCCAGAGGAGCAGCATCTCTTACAGTCATCGTGAGCATGGACAGAACTGGGTTCAATGCCAAGTTTAGAGACGTAGCTCTCAATGCCTCACTTTCTTCTTCTGTAGGAATTATTGTGAGATCAGACTGGCATAAGACACTTAAAAGGTGCTCAGTTCAATACTGGATGCTTAGTAAGTGTTAAATAAATGTTGTGTGCAATCATTATCATGGTTGTGATGGTTTTGTGATTGCTACAATTTATCATGTGAGCCACAGGGAGCCACTGAAGGTTTGTGTACAGCTTACGGAATGTTAAGATTAAGAACTTATATGCCATAGATGGTGCGGCATTTGACTATTTTAGGTGGTACATTACTTGATTGGTTATTAGTTGGAAGTAGCCACCAAGAAATGAGATTAAATTTTGCAATTTCTCTCCTTAGTTGTGTCAACTATGGGAATTGTGAATATGTGCACACATTGGTATCCTTCTTTCAGTAAGGGAGCAATTTGTATTTTCTTTGGTGTAGGTTTTTGGTGGCTTCTTGTATTTCAATCTTGTAATAGCAGGAGAAATACAAAAAGCATGTGAGTCTGAACTGCTGCCCTTAGTCCAGAAAGAATATATTGAATATCTCAAATAATAGATTCTTTGGTCTGGGATGGAAGAAGAAGGGACAAAGAGATAGGTTCAAATCACAGAAGGGTCTAAGTTAGATGAACAAGAATGTTTTTAGAATTTCATAAGAAACCAATTTCAGGTCATATAACTTCAGAGCTGAAGGAGAGCTTGGAGATTATGTAAAAAAGAATTCCTAAATTTAATATTACTTGTTTTAAAGCAAATAAAATTAAGTAATGCCACAAATACATTTTCAGAGTGCACACACTTCATTAATACACAAAAATTCCTTTTGGACTAAATGTTATCTGCCTTTTACAACTGAGACTGAGGGGCATGGATGTGAATCACTTAGTTTGCATAGTTACAAATTATACAAGCCCTAGTCTTCCACTTTTATAAGAAAAAAACAGGTAGCCAATAATGAGAGCCTTCAAAGGGTTAGTTAGTATGGGCTAGAAATGTGAAAAAATTCAAGGAAGTCTTAATTTTCTTGATGAGTGATCTATGTGATGTTTTTAAAGGGAAACAAAGATCTCTCGAGGCTGAAGGAGATGATGTGGTTTCAGTGCACTGTCAGGGAGCACTCCCCAGGATGTGCCGATTTGTGTCCTCGACCCTGAGTGGGGATGTTTGCCATCTTGTATTTGAATGAAAACTAACATCTCACCTGGGCACTGACCTCCTATCCAGGAAGAAATGTCTCAGCTCTGGCTCTTGCTTAGTGGTCATATTCACGCAGCTGGAATCATTTAATCTTTAGAGCCCAGTGGGAAAATTTTCTGAAACCCCCATGGGGATAAAAAGAAAAAAACTACCTCACTACAGTTTGTGCTGGGTGATTTAGAAAAACAGAGTAAAAAAACAGAGATGTGGGAGATAACTTTTCATGCCCGTTAACAAAAGCACATTTCATCTTCCCAGTTTCTCGCTTCTTCCTCCCTCCTGCGCCTCTGCCGGGGAGGAACCACAGATGGTTATCGCTCAAGAGTGTAACTAGGGAAACCATAAACCTGCCCCCATCACTATGGAGACAGCCATTTATTTGTCCAGCCTCTGAGTATTCATGACATCAGCAAGGCCGGCAAGTAAAACACTGATACTTCTTACAAAGAAATTCTAATTCCCAACGAGGAAGGCAGAGAATGCAAGGCCCAATGTTTCAGTGACTTTCAAGGCTCCCCCTGGCCTTGTCATGGGCTTGTTTGCAAAGAGACAGCCCATTTTACAGAAGCTGCAGTGAGGAGCCTTTTAGAGCCAACAGAACTGAAAGCTGGGTTTGCGAGTCAACAGACATTTTAAGGTTTAGGGATATGGTTGAGGGAATGAAATGCCAAGAATAAATCTATTTTCAACTGAGTCAGCCCCATGGGGTATAACAGGGTAAGCAGCCATCGCAGTTGGCCTGGAATTGATTTGTTTCCCAGGATCGAACACAGGAGTTTCAATGCTAAAACAGGGAAGTCCCATGTAAACCTTGGGGAGTTGGGCCACCGAGGTATAAAACCCTTTGGTCCAAACATGGGGATGACCACAGGATGCAGGTAGATTTGAGGCAAGCCTCAAAGTGTGACAGCACATTTTGCAAACAGTAACCAAACTTCCTTGGTCCCCTCGTCTAAAAGTTGCTGGAAAACAAATGATACTGTCTCGCTGTGAATATGAGGTGTTTTCGTTTGATTTGCTTTGGATTTGTTTGTTTTGTTATTGTTGTTCTTTTATTTATCTAGAAATGCCAGAAATTTGTTTCAAATTTAAACTCGCCAAAATTAAGTGGGATCTCTGCTTGTCCCCCGTAACTATCTTTTTTTTTTTTTTTTTGAGACGGAGTCTCACTCTGTCGCCCAGGCTCGAGTGCAGTTGTGCGATCTCTGCTCACAGCAAGCTCCGCCTCCCGGGTTCACGCCATTCTCCTGCCTCAGCCTCCCGAGTAGCTGGGACTACAGGCGCCCGCCACCACGCCCGGCTAATTTTTTGTATTTTCAGTAGAGATCGGGTTTCACCGTGTGAGCCAGGATGGTCTCGATCTTCTGACCTCATGATCCCCCTGCCTCGGCCTCCCAAAGTGCTGGGATCACAGGCGTGAACCGCTGCACCTGGCCCTATCTTTAATGATAAAGTGGTTTGCAGGGATCTTCCCCCTGCATTTTTCAACACAAATTCATTTGCCAAAAGCCCAATATACAGGAAAGTATGTAAACACAGAAGTGGAGTTATTGATATTTCCCAGCGATGTGTAAAACACCTCTTTATTCTCCAAGGTCTGGTGTGCCTCTTTGTGGCTAATCCATCATCGCTGTTTGCATTATTGCAGAGCTTGCTTTCAGGAGCATCTACTGGAGTGGATGCAGTTATTCTCCTGCTGAGAAGTTGCATATGTTGAACGGCATTATGATCTATATGAAATAGAAGGTGTTATGCTAGCTATGTGGCAAAGTATGCATAATGACATTTGTTGAAATAGACTTGTTCAATTTCCAACTAAGTTCTAAGCAGGCTATTCCGATCAGAGAGCTTAATTAACCTAGGACTTTGTCCTTTACAAAGTAGATTTGGTTGGTTGAAGTCTTTGGAATGCTAACAATCAATTATCTAAATATCTCTGTAAATGTAACTGGCTATACCACATTAAACGTCAGAGGTCAACAATTGCTTTACCAGTTATATATATTTGTATTTACATGGACACAATATTACATGTAACTACATATGTAGGAAAAATAGGCATAAGAGTTGTCAGTTTTATAGACAGGGGTCTTTGTGGATACTTAAATAATTCATGAATCAGTAAACATATCTATATGTATTCTAGGGTCTGGTGGGCAAGTGTACAAAATGAGCAAAATGATAGATTCACCTCCTTTTGCTCATTTGAGATGTTGTTTTAATGTAGAATTACAGTAGCCCTCAAATGATGAGAAGCAGTGACAATTCATTAGCAGATTGTGGCTTAGATCAAGTGTTTGATTTCTCTGAGGAAGTGTAACCAGTACTCAGTTATATGAAGTATATGCGTTTCTTTTGAAGATAATTTTTTTCCTTTTGTCAGTTAAAATAACCTTGAGCTTTATTTTTTTCAAAGACCCCAGCTAGCAGCAGACAAATGCTTCTATAATTTGTTCTTCAATAATGATTTTTTAGAATGTTAAACTGTCATAAAAAAAAACAACCTTCAAAAGCGCTTCTAGATTTCCTATTCTCTGCTTAAAGGACAATTGGATAATAGGGAGGAAAGAAATAGCATGTCAAGGCTGCTTCACATTTTGTCTTCTGCCTTGGTTCATGAAAGCAGGGATTCCCCTGGTTTTCTTTTTACAGTTACAATATTCTATTTCTCCTCCGTCTAGAAAAAGAATACTTCAAATATGTACATTGATGAACATATATATATTTCATCAAAAACTAATTCAAATTATTATAGTTTAGGTGTTTAAATTCCCTTAAACCTTTCAGTATAATTCAGCTGTGAAAACCAGAGGTGGCAACTTTCTTCCAAATATTTTCAAAGCGTGTCTTATACTTTATTCTTCATCCTGAGTACCTAAGACAGTGTGAACATCTAATAGTACTATGTTACTCTTATGGGTTAATTCCTTGTTGGATTTCATGACTGTTGACTTGCTTTGGGTTTCTAGTAAGGCTTCCCTTGTGAATTTCATGCAGAAGTCCCCACACTTATTTGGCACATTTGGTAGGGATAGATTTATTCAGAAATTAGCAAATTGTTAAACTCTAAAGGGTGCTGAGCCTTAGCTACTTCTCCCATTTAGCATGAGGAGGAACATGAACAGAAGCTCAGAGCAGAACGCTGCTGCTGGATTTGGGGCCTCTGGAGGGACAGTGCCCTCAGGCTAAGTTTAACCATCCACCTGATGAGATGCTGGGCCCCCAGAACATCTGGATGAGGAATGAACAACTGGATGGGTATCCCCTGATGTGCAGACCTTGCATGTAGATACCTAGTTTGGAATTCGACTTTTCTTCCAGATACCCAAAGCCTATTTCTGAAGATATCTATTTTCAAGGTATTCTTCATGGGGACTTAAATGCATCATTGAAATCCTGAATTTAAAAAAAATTCTTTTTCTTTTCCTTCTTTCTTTATCTCTTTCTTCTTTTTTTGGTTACTGTTGGGAGATAGTTAGAAGCTTTTTAAATTGTAGTCAGTTTTTTAACCCTTTGTAAAGGATTTAGATAGGCTGCTTTAATTTCTGAAGCACAAAAACATTTCTAATCCTGCTTCAATTACGAAATTTCACATTGTAATTGAAAGAGATGAACTGTGATAATAGGAGTATATTATGCTTACTAATGGGAATTCTTTCAAAAGTGCTATCTCCCAGTCTGCCGTTTGCGGAGATTATTTTAAGTCCTCACTCACGCTGGCTTTCCTTTCTGCCTTGTTTATATTCTCAGAGTATAAAAATACAGTAGTCAGAAAGCTGCTCTCGGGGAGTCTGCATTTAGTGCTTGTCGGAGGATTCCTCTCTAAATGGACTCTGGTATCATTTTAGCACTCATATTGTTTGCCGAAATTCGAGCTTCCTGGGGAAATTAGAGCAGTTAATTTAATATCATGAAACATTTTGGGGCTTCTTGGCTTATTCAGAGACAGGGGAGTGTAAATCAAACTGAGTATCCTGTATAAAGTAGAAGACAATAAAAGTGGCCTCCAAAAAAATAGCCAGCCTTCCCAAAATTTCTTGCCTTCCCGTTCCCCATCTTCATCCTGGACCCATAGAAATCTTGTTTTATTTCAAGTCTCCTTCCCAAGGGCTCCCTGATAGAGGTCTGTGTCTCAGAAAGACAAGAAGCAGGGAAGGTGCTTAGCCCTGTACAGTCACAGCAGGAGGGCTCAGTCTTTATTGTCGTCACTAGAAGGGCCACAGGGCCACAGTCATGACGATATGGCTTAGAGCTTTATTCCATACGGCTTGGGCTCAGCCCTGACACCTTTTCCTAGAAGGACTCATTCTGCAACCATTGGTGACCATCTGTGAAGTGGCTGGCACTGCGCTAGGCACTGGGGTAAGTTATGTTGCATGATAAGAAGCAAAGATTCAGCAGCTGTGGGAAATACACTTCTTATGGCCCAGGAAAAATTGAAAGAGAGCTCTCAGGCATCCTCCAACTGCTGGGTTCTCTCTGCTCACATTTCCAAAGCCCTTTTTGCAGATGCCTCCCGAGTGATAGCGTGCATGTTGCAGGGTAGGCAATGGGCTTTGTTGATTTGTTTTTGAGAGGGTCTTTGAAGGAGGCCTTTCAAAGGCACGATATGGACCTTTGACCTGAGAGCTCAGAATACACATCAGTGGCCCCCCGGTCACATCAAACCCCAGAAGCAAACTGCTAAATCGAATGTTTTGGCCTCAGCTTCGGAAGGTTCTCTGTGTGTTTAGTAACGCTCCACTCCACCATCCTCAAAGAAATGCTGGGCTTGTGTTTATTTTGCCTCCCTTCTCCTGTGCATCAGGACTAACTTTTATGTCGCTGAGGTGTCATTTTGCAAAGAAAAAGAAACCTGTCTGAACCAAGTGTGTATTTACTTTGTTTTAGAGACCTAGTGTATTTGCAGGAAGTATCAGGAATGCTCATGGACAATTAATTGGGCTTTTTACGAATACGCTGATGCTCGGTGCCATGGAGATGTAAGAGCTGGGAAGTGGAGTAACCGCTGTGGTTTTTGTTTACCTTATGGGGCCCCCATAGGTGTTAAACCCTTGAAGACCCTGGTAATGAATGTGGCATCTTGTCTTGAGAATGGCTCCTTGACCATCATGGTTGGAATATCCTGTCTGTTTTCATTTATCTGTGGTTAGAACAAAAGGAGACAATCTCAGTTATAATAAATGTCTTCTAGAAAAGCACACTTATGCATAAATATTTTAAATTTTGATGTTTCGTGTTTTAAAATAGTCTATAAAATACACCCACAGAGATGCTTATAGTAAAGCTCAGTTTTCCCCATTGCAAATAAACTTGATGTCAACTTGTGCCACCCACTGAAAATATTTAAACGTCACGTAATTAGTAACATATTAGATGTCTCTGCTTTTAGCCTGAAAATGATCAGAGCCCTCTCAAAGACTCTTGTCCCCACCACTTCAGTTTGCTGAGTAGCAGGACTGTGATGGGATATTTACTAGTGTGTGTTTAGTCTTTTAAAAAAATCTTTTGGCTATCTCCCCTCACCACATACTTTTTTTATTCTCTTTCTCCCACTTTGGTTTATTCTCTTCTTTCTATGGCATTTTCTTCTTCCCTGCAGATTCCATTCTTTCCACATAAAATTCTGTACATGTAGAGTCTCCTGTTTGATTTCTGGTGTTCTCAAAAAGAAAAGGAATAGAAAATGCTTCACAAATCCAGTAAATAAATAATATACTAATAGCAAGGACCTTTATGAAATGTCTGCACGAAAACCAATGCACCACAAACTGCCATCTCTACACACCCCAGACTTCCCAATGTGATGATTTAGATCCTTTTCTACTTAGGCGGATGGTGCCATTTTTGCCGAATTCAGCATGTTCATTGAACAGTTTCTCGAAGCCAAAAGCCAACTCCACTGCATTTCTGCTTGGTAAGGTTTGGTGGCCTTGGCGTGGGGTAGAGGTTGTTGATTCACCGGCCTCTAAGCTGATGATAAATCTAGAAGCTGGGCAGCAGGACTAGACTGCCTTCATAGAACCTCTGCAGGGAGTCGGCGGCCCCAACACTGCAAGAAATCTATGAAAAAGAGGCTTAGCAAACCCGTGTGAATAAAGGCTCCAGAAGAATTAGGGGTCGAGAAGATGTGGTGAGACTCCGTGTGAGTGGGCATCAGTGAGAACTTTGAACACTAGATACAGAACTCGCCAACTGAAAATGTGCTTCTGCTTCTCGAGATGCCTGTGGACTGTTTATTTTCTTAGTCTAAATATCTAAATCTTCTATCATGAGCATCTATTGAGATGATGTATTAATAATTGTCCATAATATCGTGACAGAGTCTGTCTGTTGTAATGCACGGTATCACTCTATTGCGTTTTATTTGTGTGCATTTATGCAATTCTACATCTGGATACTTATCCAAAGATAATAGTATTTTAATTTTAATCTTGCCTTCAGTAGAAAATAAAGCCCTGGAAGAGGGTTCCCAAAGGTAGCTTTGACATGTCTTTTGTGGAGAGTTGTCCTGGGATAGTTTAGCTCAATTTACACATGAAAATTCCAACACCAGGAAATCCCTCCACCTGAGAGGTGGAGAAGATTAAAAGAGTCTAGGAGTTTTTTAGTACAGCCATAGCTCTTTTCACCTGTCCTGCAGCCCCAAAGACCATAGTGTGCTCTGCAGACCGAGTACAACAATCTGGTGTCAATAACCAATTCCTGTATAACACCTTTTTTGTTGTTTTTTATGGTTTTTTAAGGAATAAAGTGGGTTATGTATGTAATATATGCTATTATAGTTGGGGTGTGATCATGGTTGATATCCTGACTTACACATTATATATATTTTGATTTAGGAAAAAAAAAACCCTGGTATCTGTGTATGATCCCTCAACTAAAATAGCTCAGTCTCCAACTAGAATGTATATTAGTCAAGGCATCTTTTTAAGAGACATTATTTTCATGCTCACAGGATCACAGGATGGAAAGGGAAATTACAAAGGAGTCTGGAAATAGGTGCATTTAATTCTTCCCAATTTAAATCAAAGTGGTGCATCTTTAAGGCAATAACGATATTCCTTCTTCCCCTCTTCATGAACGCTTCCATCAATGAATTTCTTTAATGTTGATGATGGCTGGTGCAGTTTGAGGGAATCTGTATTTAGTCAGAAAATGCTTCAATAGAATGACCTACCAGATGGGCCCCGTAACAATGCACAGAGGCATCAAACCACCACAGACATTTGGTGCTTAGAATAATAAAAAGACTATAAAATTAGATTAGTTGAGTCTAATTTGGAATTGGTATATTCCCCATGCACCCTTGCCGCTCTTGGGTAGATAAAGCCTTGAGATTTAGCACTGTGTCAGAGCAGAAGACTGCAACTTCCAGTAAAAGGGAGACGGGGGAACGGGAGAGAGGAAAAAAGCATTCTGGGAGGTCGCGGAGGGCAGAGCAGTGACCTCCAATGATTTACAGGCCTTTAGCTTAATGAAATTGTTTCAGTGACATGACGGTAAGAGCTCGTAATGGATTGGATGCCCTAATGTAATGAAATTACTCCCTTCTGCCTAAAAAAAAAAAAAAAAAAAAAATGCGCAATTAATATTTACTGAGACCTGACAGCCTTTTGGTGCGCTCGTCTGTGTAGTTCTCTCAGACAGTCAGAGAGGAGAGACGGAGCAGCGTGGCAGACAGGCTGGCTCTGCACGAGCTCCTGGCGGGGACCAGCAGCGCCTGCAAGGGGGTGGAGGGACAGGCGCTCGGGTGGCCTGGGCCGCCGGCCCCTCACGCTGCCCCCGCTCAGCCTTCATGCTCTCCCCTGCTTTTCCACAGGCAACTGGACAACAACCACATCAGCTGCATTGAAGATGGAGCCTTCCGAGCGCTGCGCGATTTGGAGATCCTGTGAGTTGATTTTGCGATCGCTGCCTTGTGTGTGCGTGCATGTGTGTGTATGTGTGTGTGTCTGTGTGGGGAGGAGAGAGGGGGAGAGTGTGTGCAGGAGGGTCTGTGTGAATGCATTTCTGGTCTCTGCTGCAGTGCTATTAAAATTGGGAACCAGGGGATCCCTCCGGCTCACCTTGGTCAAAGTGTTTGCAGGCAGCCAAGTGTGATTTCTTACCTCCCACAAACTGAGGTTCCTGCTAATTAAGTCTCAATTGAGTCTTTCTCCTTTTCCCCCAGTGCTCCTGCAGCATTCGTTGCTGGGAGAAACAGATGGGCTGGAGCAGAACCCCCCAGAGCCTGCCACAGCATCAGGGACAGTGTGTTTGAGTGCGGGCACACTGGGAGACAGGGGCCGGGGTTGGGGCCAGAGAGAGGGGTTAGTGCCAGGAGGTCAGCTGGAATTACCTGAATCAGAAAGGGACCTTGGCACAGGGCAGGGGAATGCCACACAGCCTGGGAAAGCCCAGTCATTGCTATTGCTCCTGGGATCTCATCTCAGGCTTCAATTCAAACTTTAAACAGTGACCGTGACCTTAAAGGGGCCAGGGGTAGGGGGGCGGGGGGCAGGAAATAGGGGGAGATGAGAGGAGACAGCCCCTTCCCCAAAATCCTACCCTATACACCTTGTCTAGAAAGAATGTGTAGCTGCCTTTCTGAGCTCTGGATTTTCAAATGAGTCTAACTAAGAAAACCTAACTCCCAGGAGGAAAGTCAGCTAGGAGTCATCTTGGGGTCATTCCAACTAAAGTTGAATTGTGTAAGAAAACATTTTGGTTATTCTCACCAAAGCTACACTTCTAGCTGTCCCTGATTTAGAGAAGCCCAGAGAGGAAGGCAGTACAGCACAGGAGAACCTGTGCCACTTCTGTCAGGAGACGTGTGGTTGAGTCCGGATTCTGCCACTGATTAGTCGTGTGACCTTGGGCAAGTCTCTTCGGCTCTGGGAGCCTCAGTTTCCTCATTTGTAAAATGAAAGGGTTGGTTGCTCTGTCTTGGGAGTGACTTCCCCTTTCCAAATTATGTAGCTGCTTGGTTCTAAAAATAATTCCCATGGTACGATTCTAGCCAGTGACTGATAGCAGAGTGGGGTTTCTCAAGCCTCCTCCTAAAAATAAAAAATTACACAGTCACAGGTTACCTATCTCTGATTCCAGAAGAATCAATGAATGCCAAATAAACAGGTGAATGAATATTTTGAAGCATTCCTTTGTATGTGAGAGAATGAGTGAAAGGTCCTCCCTCCACCTTCCTCTTCACCTGGCCCCGCAGATACTAGCAACGGGTTGGAGAGAGCCTCTCCACATTATTTGAGAGGAAGGTGATTCCAAGAGGAATCACGGGAAATAAAAGGGGATGCTGATGCTGCAAGCTGCTTGAAATCGGATGAAAGCCGAGAATTCCCGGTCCAGAAAAGACAGGACCCACAGCCAGGGAGGTCAGATTGTCATTTCTGAGATAGATTGTCTCTCCTCACTCAAACTCTGACCCTGGAACTGGCAACAAATGCCCGTCTGCCAGAGAGAGGATGCCAGCCCAAATTTAGTAACCTAGGACTCCTCTTATCAGGAGGCTGGGGCTGAGAAGGGTAGGCAGGATTTTCCCTGCCTGCAAAATAGCATTTGTAGAAAGGGCTGCTCACAGCACATCACCTTTTTCCTCCCTTGACAGAGAGAATGAGAAAGATGAGAAAATTCCTTGGGAAGAGACCAGGAAACGGAAGTCACCAGCTGCCACGAAACAGCTGTGACAACCTGACAGCCCTCACGGTCATTCTCTGTGCTAGGAACGGTGTTGTCTTACCTCACCAGGAAGGCAGTCTGAGGGAGAAGAGAGGGCTTTACAGCCAGACACACCTGGGTGGGGCTTGGGTCAAGTGTCTTCATCTCTCTGAGTCTATCTCCCCAACTTTTAAAAACAGACAGTGTATGTACTACATAGGAGGGGCTCTCATAACTGCCATCCCTTCCACTTTCCTAACTTTGCCCCCATACACCCTCACCCCCATCAAGCCCTTGCCCAGGACAGATTTGGACAGCTCTCCTCTACTCAGATACAAAAAAAAAAAAAAAAAACGAAAAAACGGTATCCAGATGCACCAGGTGTCTCCAAGTTGAAGCTTTAAAAACCTGTGACTGAAAGAAAAAAAAAAAAGTTCTCATTCCTTATCATTGCAAAGAGCCCATAGGATCTGATTAGTTTATCTTCTCAATTCCAAACAAAGCCAGATCAATAGCTTTGTTTTAAAGACACTCTCATTTGGCTTCACATGGCTAAGTACTTAAAATTAATCATAATCAGTTATTCCATGGGTTTTTAATTTCCAGCAGAGGCACACAGCTTTGAAACCATCCATCTTAATGGTGAGCCATTCTGAACTTGGCTGGAGCTGACATCTCCATTTAAAGAACCTCCCCTCCCCACCCCTAGACCTTCCAAATCTCATCCACACATTGACATTTTATAATGCTTCTCTGTAATCACAATTTAGGCTCCATAAAGAATCCTGACAATGAAATAATAAATAGGAACTCAGTGACAGTATTACACATTAGCTTGATAAATTTCTGAGTGAAAGAGGAGAGTTCAAAACATCCTATCCCCAGAAAGAGCATTTTAAAATATCTAAAGCTTAAAAGTCTGCAAATTAAGAAGACAAAATGTAATGTTTCGGGTATGTTTTCTCTGACATTAGGCAGCATGAAGTAGAAATCAAGCAAAGACACATTGGTTGTCCCAGAAAGCTCTCAAATTAACTTAAGGAAAGTGTATGGATGTCAACTGCAAGTAGAAGTATTTCGCATGCAATAACCCTGTTATTCCATCCCTCCTGTGGATGGAAATACCATAAAACTTCTTTCCATCGAGGCTGACAATGGTTTTACCAGTTACATTGAATGAGAACATTGGAGGTGAGCCTGAGAGGGAACCACTGACTATGTATGAGAAGAAATGAACTGGTACAAGGTTGGGAAAGACTGAAATCTGCCCACTTCAACCTCATTTTTGACTCATTCCCGATGGGGGATGTCCAGTGCAGAGTATGGTGGACAGGGAAAGGAGCCATCCCCTCCCCTTTCCAGGAAGTAAGAAGAAAAGCATAGTATCGGGGGCGAAACTTCTCATTCCTTCCATGCCACTACGGAGGAGGAATAATGAGGAAAATGAAAATCGCTAGCAGTTACTCAAGCCCAGTGATACCACCAGTGCTTTTACATGCACTAGCTCTTGCCATCCTCACAATCTCTCAATAGAACTACTGTTACCCTCACCCTGCTTTTACAAAAAAAGTAGCCCATCTCAGAGAAGGCAAGTAACTGCTTAGCTAATTAGCAGCAGAGTCTGTGTGATTAACCATTCTACCAAGCTGCCTTTTGGATGCATGTTGCCAAGGCTGCCATGGTGTTTGGCTGCCCTGAAGCATGGCGGCTGTGGGCTGCAGGGTGGTGTGAACTGGCCTCAAGAACTGATGGAGGCAAACTAGCAATGACTCACAATCCCGCTGGGGAGAATGTCGGAGCCTTTCACAGGCTTGTGAAATTGGCCCTGCCATTCCCTTTACCCAGTTAACGGGTGCCCACAAAGTTGAAGGTAAATCAAACTTGCAGGAGTAAGGAACTCGTCCTGCTTTTTCACTGATACACTTGTCGCCCCAGAGATGATTTATTCCCACTCGTGGCCATTGCCATAGACTTTGGCACTCCACAGTTTGGGGGCTCTACTTTCTAGAACTGTCTCCCCCTCCTAAAAAAATACAGCCTCAACTTTGTGGCATTTAAGGTTCTTAATTGAGGGACCGAGGCTCTGTGAGTCAGACCCTCTGCTGTTACTCAAATCATTGCCCTTTAATTTCCACCTGTTCTATGCTTTTGGTAATTCGCATACAACACTAGGTTTTCTCCAAGTAAGTCGTGCTTATACTGCAGTTGAATATGCCAAGACTGCATTCCTGGCTCTGTGTGGTCAGGATGCACTGTGCTGGTGCTCTGAGCCCTGGGTTTCTAGCCCATACCAGCCAGGCTGAGGATGGCCAGGCATTTCACCAGTTATAGTGGCACCTCCCTGACTAACGTACCATCATGGGTCAGAAAAAAAAAAAAATGCTTAACTCTAATGAAAAAAAAAAGTAGGGACAAGTTAAACAAAAATGAGAAAACCTGATTAATAACATATGTCATGAATTGTTTTTCGGTAGTATTATGGGAGAATAAAAAATACTTTTGGACATTGTCCCTTGACTAAAGGTAGCAAGTCAGAAGTTCAATAAATACGTTGTCAAAAATGCCGGACCACAGATAACAGAAACACATCCTGAAAATGCTCTCATCTCCTGGTGATTGGTCTGCCCTTGAGAAATCACTGGTGCCAGGTAAATGGCATGGAGATCCCAACAGGTCCATAGATAACCGGCGTGTGCTGTTTGGAAGCTCTCACTCCCATTTATGTCACTTGCCAATTTTGGAAATTCACTGACATTATTATAGGTTGGCGCTGGTAGGACCTTAGGTGTCTCCAGGATGACCTCTCACTGTCCAGATTAAGACCCAGAGAGCAGGCACTGGAGAGAGGCCCATGCCACCTAGCATTCTGCACCCTGAGCACCTCGCCTGGTTCACCCTAGGCCTGGCCCTGGCTAGGAGACTTGCCTGAAGTCAGCAGCAAGTTGGCGGTAACAGGGGAACTTAGAATTTGGGACTCCTCACCCGTGTTTCTGTCCGCATTGGGCACCTATATGCAATTGTTCAGAAGGGAGCCCCTGGTAAGATTGGGAATCCCAAGCATAGTTCATCCTTTCAAAACCCACCATTAAGTTTTGGGTATTATTTAGGAGACTGGGGGAGGGCAAATGTTTGTCTGTGACAGAAACAAGGGATGATCCGGCTCTTAGCTCTCTTTAAACCGGAGGCTACAAACTAGACCACACACCATATTGCTCCCATAGGTGAGATTTTTCTTTTGTCCTGTGGAATGTTTTTTAAAAATTGAAATTAGCATTTCACATTTAAAAATTGAGATATCTTACATAAAAAGCCCAGATTTCCAGCTTCTCTGGAAAAACTAGAAGCACTGGCAACTGTGGGCCGGCATTTCTGCATTGCAGTCAGCTGTGGCTGGGGAACACCTGTCCTCCTTGGACGGGGCATGTAGACCCCACTCTGCCACTGACCCCTACCAATTTACATTAACTGCCAGCCCACGTGGCCCCTGTGCTGACCCATCCAAGAAGAAAAGACACGCTGTGTGGCCAGCACAGTGCTGGGCGCTGGGTACAGTAAAGCTTGAAGTGAGCAGGTGCTTGGCAGGCTGAGCTCCATAGGCCAGAGCTCACCAGCATGATGGAGTGGACACACAGAGAGAGCTTAGTGATGTGGAGTCCAGGACGCCCGAACCTAAGCAAGGACACCCCAGAGGCAATCACGAATCCCTCATGTCTCACCTTCTGAGGAGCTCTTCTCAAGGGTTAAACTAGTCTCCAAATTGCCTTTGATGTTACAGCAGTTGTAATTGGTTTTATGCCTATGAGGGTGAAAAACAAGAGGTGACCCTAGCTCCACGTCTTCATCACAAGAGCCGCCCCACCTGCCCTGGTTCTTGTTCCCCAGGCCCCTGGATCAACTGGTGTACTGAGGCCACCAAGCCCACGTTTAGAGAGGAGAGATTGAAGAGTTAAAGCAATAGCAGAACTAACCAGATTTTTAGGGTAGTTCTAATTCAGTCATATCCTGGTGGGTTCAACGTGGCCTGATGCGGAACCCCACAGGTAGACGCAGAAGAGTGAATGGGGAAAAGGTCATTTTCTGGTACAAGAGGAAGGCAGTGGAAAAAAATCGACAGCAGTCCTGAAACCTAGGTCAGGGTGTGCTCACTCTCCTAGAGCGGGGTTGGTGTCCTGGTACAGGGTGTTAGGATATTCAAGCACGATGTTGCCCACTTCAGAGAACCCAGAGTTTAATGCAAGTCGCAGTGTGTTGGCCACTTCAGCTGAGCTTCCTCTGGATGCAGAGCCAGAGGATTAACGAATAATAATAATGACGTAACGATAATATATAGTACCATGGTACAATAATTATTAGTATGATTATATTATCTTGTTAGAGTCCCATGTTTGAGCATCTACTATTTTTGAGAGTCTACTTCTATTTTTGAGCATCTTTAGGTACTGTGATAAGTCAGTAGAATGAGGCATCTCAATTAAATCTTCACCACAACTTTATGAGGCACATCCTAGGAACTGCATTTCACCAGTCAGGAAACTGATGCTTAGAAAAGTTGACTGACTTGCCCAGAGTCACAGTGGCAAGTACGAGGGGACTACTCTTTCCGAACTCAGATCCAGTTCTGCCTGATATCTGAGCACCTGCCCTTAACAAAAATAAAAATTAAAATTAAAAGCACCTACCGGAACACACATACATAGAAACAATTATATGCACTAGTGAGATCATTATCTGTAGTGAATGCCCAGAAAACTTCAGAAACCATAGTTATTGAAACACTGACCCTTAGGGTGCTTAGATCTAAATTTATGACCTCAGCTTAATCAGCAACAGATCCAGTTCCACAAAACTGCCCCAGACATAAAGGTACAGAGCCATGGTTGAGCTTTGGAGGGGTTAGAGTCCTCTCATAGAACCAGCTTCCAGCTCATCTTTACCAGACTAGGTGGTTTGGAGTTCATTTCCTTATTGAAAAATGGAAACTGTAATTCCCAACCCTGAGAATAGCTGTGTTGGTTAAAAGAGATATCGTTGGTGTGTGCCTAGCAAATAGCAGGCTCCCAATCGGGACGCTCATAATAAGTAAAGCTGGTAAATACTTCTGTACTGTTTCTCTGCTTTATGTCCACATCTCACTCACTCCTGGCACGTACTAAGTGGCCGGTTAAAGTATGTGGAACCAAATCGAGTTGAAATTAATTAACTGAATTGAAGCCCACAACACCAGTCTCTAGAGTCCCTGTTATGGCTTGTCTCTGAAGAGAACAAGATATGGTTGTCCTGGAATCATTTTAAATGTTGAACAACGTAGTATTTTACTGAACCAGTCCACTTTTCACATTACCTTTGATTTTGCATTTCTCTGGCTAAATGGTGATCTTTCTTTCTCATTTTAATAAGGAACAAAATCGGAGCTACAGTGAAAATTGGTGTGTTACAGCAGAGACTAGACTCATTTTTATTTATTTATAAAATGTTTCACCTGGGTTTCTCTGGGAGCTACAAACATTTTATCAGGGTGTTTAGTCATGACATAGTTTTGAATATAGAACTGTCATGGCTTAATGAAAGTCTTAAAATATCTCCAGATATTTTTCTTTTGGTACTGTGCTGTAAATTGTGATATGTTCATGCAATCAGGATTAAAATTGCACTCTATAGAAAGCATCTGTAACTTCCATTCAGCCCCTAGAATACTAGGAAAGAAACTGGGTTTTCTATAAATGCTCTCGTGCCACTCAACACACACCTCCTTCTTAGTCATCCAGACTCCAGGTTCCATGACAGTCATGCTCTTCAAATGACTAGCTTGGTTTTGAGAACCCCAGCTTAAGGAAAAAGTAAAAATTACTTTGAAATCTAAATTTTTTTTTTCCATTTAAGTAAGTAGCACTTTCACCTTTAAAATACCTGGAATCTGCGGGAAACTTGTGGTTTTCTAGTTGATTTCACTTTCCTGTTAACCAAAAGCTAGTTTCATCTCTGAAGTTGAAAATGTATTGGTGTACATTCCTGGGTTAAGAGGATGTGGAGAAGATAATTGAATTGTTTTTGATCAGCAAAGGATCTTGAATCAACGAACCTCCTGTTAACTTCTCCCGTGAGTAGCGCTTAGGGGGAGTCGGCAAGTCGTGGTGGTCTTGCTGTCCCCAGGGGCCACACATTCCAGCTGCCAGATCTCTGCACTGGAATTCAGACTTGACAAACTTGGTTTGGGAGCAGTCTTTTGAAATGCTTTGTCCCACCTAGAACAAATGGGAAAAATAGTTCTCCATGTTTGGAGAAAGATTCCAGAGAGTTTTCTTTCAAGGGCAAGATGTGGAGGGCAGGGGAAATACCGTAGAGCAGCCACATGCCTACAGCGGTCAGTTCACTCCTAAGACCGGGCTTCTGTGCTGATTTGCAAAGGTGCCCCTGCCTGATGGTCAGCCTCTGCCCTTTCACCATCCCCTCAGCTCCCAGCAGGGGCTTTGGTGACCAGTATTTGAGAATGTTTAGTGAATAACTTGCCTCTAGATCAGCGCTCATCCCATGACACTCATGGACCTCCAAGCCAGGGAGCCTTGTTCCTCTTGAACAGCCAAACCTGCCTGCCACAGCTGCTGCCATTCCCACCAGGGATGCCCAAGATTGGACAGCTCAGCTTACCTGTGGCTGAGAGTCTGCTTTTCTATAGACCTGAGTCTTGAAAGTCAAGATCCTAGGAGCTTTCACAGGAATTTGGCCCTCTCCTACCCACTGGCTTAATGGAAGGAAGGATGATGTGGAGAAGGTGATGGAGACACAAGGCTGGGAAGAACAGGATCAACATTGCTACTTTTCCCTGAGCTTTCATTTTCTATCTTTGAAGGTATTAAAAAGTAAGGGATGGACCAGGTGAAGTAGATCATGCCTGTAATCCCAATGCCAAGGCAGGGGCATTGCTTGAGCCCAGGAGTTTGAGACCAGTCTAGACAACATAGCAAGACCTCTACACAAACTAAAACAAAAACAAAAACAAATTTTTTTTTTTTTTTGAGATGGAGTCTTGCTCTGTCACCCAGGCTGGAGTGCAGTGGTGGAATCTGGGCTCACTGCAACCTCCGCCTCCCCAGTTCAAGCAACTCTCTTGTCTCAGCCTCCTGAGTAGCTGGGATTACAGGTGCCAGCCACCACGTCTGGCTAATTTTTTTGTATTTTTAGTAGAGACGGGGTTTCACCACGTTGGCCAGTCTGGTCTCGAACTCCTGACCTCAAGTGATCTGCCCACCTCGGCCTCCCAAAGCGCTGGGATTACAGGCATGAGTCACCGCACCCAGTACAAAAAACAAAACAAACAAACAAAAAAACAACACTTTTTTTTTTTTTTTGAAGTAAGGGATGGTGGATGAAGGAGGGATGAAGGAAATAATGACTCCATTTCTCCAAGGTCATATTTGGATTCTTCAAACTCATTGTCAAAAAGCTCTAGAGAGTCCATTTTCTTTTAACTTGTAACTAAATCGGAGGACTCCAACTGCTGGCCCATGGGTTGAATGAAAACAGCAGATGTGGGATTTTATATTTTTCTTTAATTTTTTTGTTTACAAATAATTAGAATTTGTTGCCAACATTTAAAACTCAAGTAATTTTATGTAAAATTTATAATTCAACTTCCAATGAATATCTAGAAGGTTTGCCAACCCTGGGCCCGCCTGTGGCTAGGATCTCTCCAGCAGCACCGTCCAATAGAACTTTCTGTGATGAGGGAAATATTGCATCTCTGTGTTATCCAGGATGGAAGCCCCTGGCCACACGTGACTCTTGAGCACTTGAAGTGCATCTTACACAACTGAGAAACTGAATTTTTAAATTTTTAATTTTAATTGATTCCAGTGTGAATTGCCACGTGTAGCTCATGGCTACCTTATTGGACGGTGCAAGCTGGGAGCGAAGTGTGGGTGGGTACCCTGTCTGGACAGGGCATGTTCTGCAAATCACCATAGCTCCCACCAGGTCTGCTTCCCTGTCCTGCTCCAAATCTCTCCAGCCATTTCACATCCATTAAGAATGTTTAAACAGTGTCTTTTCTAGCAGTAAATCTTTGAAATATCTGCCACTCCCCTCACCTTCCACCTCCATCTTTTTTTTTTTTTTTTTTTTTTTTTTTTTTTTTTTTTTTGAGACAGAGTCTCGCTGTGTGTCCCAGGCTGGAGTGCAGTGGCATGATCTCAGCTCACTGCAACCTCCACCTCCCAGGCTCACCTCCTGCCCTCAGCCTCCTGAGTAGCTGGAATTACAGGCATGCACCACCATACCTGGCTGATTTTTGTATTTTTAGTAGAGACGGGGTTTCACCATGTTGGACCCCCCGGTCTCAAACTCCTGACCTCGAGTGATCCGCCCGCCTCTGCCTCCCAAAGTGCTGGGATTACAGGCATGAGCCACTGTGCCCGGCCCTTTCTCCATCTAAATTTAAGCATCTGGGTCTTATACCCACAAAACACCCATTTTTATCCAAACCTGGGAGTGTGATCCTTACAACAATGGCCCACCAAAAGGAAGCCCTTTCAGTGTAAATTCGTTCCCTGATCCCCATTATTTGCTTCTCACAGCCTTGCAAATGACTTCCACAAAGTCAACTGGGTAAGAAAATCACTCCCCTGCCTGAGCCCTTCCTGTCTCCACAGGTATACTAGAGATGCGGCAGCCGGTTAGGGAACCAAGCCCATTAACCCCACAGAAGCTGAGCCAGGTATTTGCATAAACAGAGAAAGAAAAAGAGCCGGCCCTGCCTCACTGTTTTCACATGCTGCACACTGGGGGCTAGTTGTGACTTCCAGACTTTGGCCAGATGTCCTGTCTGTGCAGAGCTGGGCAGATCTGGGCATCCATGACCACTTCTTCTAACATCTGGAAAATGATTCCCAATCCAGAAATGCTATTTTAGAGCCAGCACAACCCAATTGGAATTAGAGAGTGAAATTTAGGCTAGAAAGACCCTGGAGGTCAGCTGGTTCCACCACTTCATTTAAAAAAAAAGAAACTCCCTCACAAAGGTTAAATGACTTGCCCACAGCCATAGGAAAAATTCGTGGAAGAACCAGGCCAGAAAGCAGGTCTTTTGGCTCTTTATCCAGTTCTCTTTATTGCTGTCTGCTTGCCCCTATATTAGCAGACAGGAAACAATAGTAAGTGAAGCCAGCTTTCATGTCCTGTTCATGCCATCACCTTTTAATCTCTAGCATTTTGCTAGAGGGAACGTTTTGCATTCAGCATGAGGACAACACCCTCCCTTTCTAGGGCCTTCCAGGCCTTTGGCCACTGCTTGGGAAATGGCCACTCTAGTGCCCAATAGATTGTCCAGTCAGATGGCAGTCTGGAAGAGACCAGATTCCACATCATTGATCCCTGGCTGCCAGGGATGACCAGAAACCCGTTGAGTAAGCACTGGAGTCCCCTGCCCATTGCTGAGCCCAGTTAGCCCAAGCTGTAAATTGCACTCAGCTTCCTGGGAGACTCCCTCCCTTGCAAATATCAGAGGATAAAAAGCAGGACCTCTCTGGCATCTCAGCCCAGGAACAGAGCCTCATGCACCCTGTGCAGCTTTTTCTAACAGCTCTGAAGTGGCTCAGTTTCGACTGTCCACAAAAAGTGGCCTATATGTTTGGCCACAGAACTAATGAGTAGCATGCAAAAACCAGACAAGAGCTCACCTGCCTGGTGGAAAACAGTCTTACCTTTAGAAACAGAAACTTATTCAGGGCTCTTTGTCCCCAAGTAATGATGGTTGTGGGGGGAGAAACAATGAATAATTTACAATCATTTAAAGATAATTCATCACTGGTGGCTGCCCTTTGGGAGTTGCAGTGTAGAAGGAAGGTTTCAACTACATTTCACCATAATGCCATTGAAGCACTTTGATTTTCTTACTATATTTTTTTCTGATTTAAATTATTGAATGAATTTGTTTGGTTCGGAGACCAAAAACTGGCACCTGCAAGCCAGATCCAGCCCCCAGGTGTTTCATTTGTGGGTTTTGATACTCAAGGTGTTTTAGCTGCCAATATTAAAAAACCAGGAGACCTCATATGAAAATTCTAGACGTCTGGCTTTCTCTTTAAAAATAACAAAAGGGAAGAACTGGCAATGCTGCACCCCCATTCCAGCATAACACAGTCTCTTGAAACAAGAAGTGACGATCCCATTTAGTAAGGCTGGGTTTACGACAGTCCCCACGCAGCTCACTCACTTATATGACAAGCCTCACTCCCGTAGGCAATTGTGTTTGTACTCCTGGATTAGCCCAGAAGGCTGTTCAGAGTGGGAATTTATTTGTATCAAAAGATGCCAAAAACCTGACTGTTCATGCTTTGATATTCGCCAGCCCATTCAGTAAACAGTGAGGCTTCCTATGTGCCAAACACTGGGCCAGGCTCTGGCTACGTAACTACATGAAACAGACTTGCTCTCTGCCCATGCCTAGTATACACATTCATGGATATTTTCAAAATGTCCCTCTTCTTCCTCTCTTACTGGCTAGGCACCAAATGCAGCTGAGGTGGAAATTGCCTGTTTCTTCCCTTTTCAACTGCAAACTCACCTGTCCAGTAATGTAAGTTGGAGGTCACTCTTGCATCTGTGGACACGTTGGCAATTGCCTGATTTCTAAGTCAAGACTGTCCATGGTCTCAGTCTGTAGATGATGAAACAGAATTGGGAGACCAAGGCCATCTCATTCACATGGTCATTTAAAGTACATTTTAAAATAAACTCCATCATTGGAAGGCAGTTGAGCCATTCTGAATCACTGCTAGGCAGTATCTGTGATCATCTCAGTAAATGAATAAGGAGTTCTTCGGAGTCAAGGGACCCCCAAACACAGGATCTGATTGAGTAGTGACAGGATTTGAGGATTTATCTTTCTCTTTTGATCTTCCACTTTTAACATTTTTCGGAGGTATTGTTTTTCTTTGAACACCGAGGCTCTGCCGAGTGGATGGAGACGAATTTCTGCCTGTCATAATATGAATATATAATAAAAGAACCAAAGACAAGCCCTTTTGTTAAGGAATCTGTATTATCAAAGGCCCAAATTGGCAGCTGATTGTTTTTATTTATTTCTGTAGGTTTTACATGACACCTGGAGACCATTTAAAATGTTACTTGGCGGTGAGAGCTGTGTGTTTAAAAATAACGCTCACCCGGTGCCAAATCACTTTAGAGTCGGGTACAAATATTGAGACAAAAACCCCAGCTGTTATTGCTTTGGCTGCTAATTTGAGGTGTCAAATGAGAGCTCGACTGCTATACGTCAGTGAATAAGGCCCCTTGTGAGATCATTATGTTTTCTAACAGTTGAGAGTAATGGACTAATCAGTGCAGCATCAGTTGTTTTCATTATATGCCCACACAATGGTTATGAGCTTTAATTTAAACGGTCCACAGGGAGATCAAGGAACTCAGTAATATGCAGCACCCAGGATAGTCCAGGAAAGCAGGTAATGCGAAAGAGATGGCTTCCCACCCTTGTCTCACCTCTCCCTCCACTCTCCCCCACCCCCACCAATCTCTCTCACTCCTCCCGCCTCATATGCCCTTGGAGACCCATCGCCCACTCCAAACAAGCAAAAGAGAAGCTTTGCTTAAGGAGCAGGCAGATCTGTACTTTCTATTCTACAGGGTATTCTTAAAATTTCCAGTCAACCTATCCAACAGTAAGGGCCACTAGGCTTTTGGCAACACTGATACGTGTTAGCCAAACTTTGACCTTAGACGCCTTTGGGACCTAGTTGTCCTCTGTCCTGCGTTGCCTCTCCTGCTTCCCTCACTGTCTGTGCTGAGCTGTCCCTGCTCCTTGGACAGGAGGAGGGCTGTCTAGTGCTGTTGCCTTGGAGCAGCCTCAGCAGTGAGGCCAACACCATGTTCCCTGCCACTTCTGGGACCAGTAAAGGATGGGTCCCTCACAAACTCATGTGATTCACCTCCACCTTGGAAAAATGTGGAAGCTGGAAAGGTGACATCTGTCTGTCTGAAGACAATCCTGTAAGAGGCAGTTTTGTGTAATGATGAAAAATATAGGTCCTGGTGTCACACCTCTGGGCTTTGAATATTGGCTCCGCACCTCTGGCTGTGAGATCTGAGCAGAGTTTATGTCATTTCCTGGGCTTCCAAGTGGAAGTAATAATATCTCAGGAGTGTTGGGAGAATTAAATGAGATAATGTATGAAAAGTGCTCAGGCTAGTGCTGGGACTTAGTAAACACTTCATAAATAGTATCAGCATTATTTCTGCTATTATGAACATCATAGATACCTTTACTGGAAGATTTTGGCAAGCTTCAAAGCGATATCCTTGACTAGTCTAGCTCATTAGAGGAAAGTAGTGTGTTCACAGGAGAACCTATACTATTCTGCTTAGGTTTTCTCTAAGGATGCTTTATTGCATCGTTCTTATTCCTGGTTTCTGGAGCTTCCTAGAGCCCCCAGGCACATTAGAGCAGTGTACAGCTGGATGAGAAGGGCAAGTTCAACCTGGAGATGAGGGAAACAGTAAAGGGAGTTTCACTTAAAAATGATAGCGTACTTAGGAGGAGGTGCTGAGGATGGAGGCCCTGGGCTGAGCGGGAGGCTTGGGGATGCCCCTCTCAACCTGAGGTTGAGAGAGTGGGGTTGAGCATTCAGTGTATGCTCTCCTGGGACCAAGTCCACAAAGAGAAGCCATCCATGCAGATTCTAATAGAGCTGAGTCAGCCAATAACGATCACTCTTAGGACCTGAGTGTCGTAGGGCCTGGTCATCAGCAGTAGGCCCTGATTCCTGGTCCCATGTTGGCTGCCCATCAGCAGCTGCCCAGCAAGACTGAGAAGAGTGGCTTGCTTTGACCTGTGAGCCAGAGAGGAGAGCAGGCACATAAAGGACAGCCCCAAGAATCTGTAGTGTCCCCAGTTTCATTCCTCTTGCCCTGCCTGAGCCAAGCAAGAGGGATGGCCAGCAGTGAGTTCCCCTTGAGGTCCGCACACTGCCAGAACCCCTCTGTGCACATCGTCCCCTGCCTGTGGTTTAGGTGTTTCTCACAGGGTCCGGCCACAGGACTTATACTCTCAGCTGCTCTTCAGGAAAGGAGTCTGGTACTTTGGCTGCATCCACCTCTGTTAATTCACTGTAGGCACTGGCAGAGATTGCACTTTCTTCTAGGCTTGCTGTGCTGGCCATTGGATGCCCACATTTGTAAGTACAACTCAGGGCATGTCTCAGCCCACTTTATTAAATAGATATCCTGTCGTCATGGTGGCTGATGACTTACCAAGAGTCTCCTTCTTGGGGGCCATTAAGGAGGAAACCAGCTTGCTTATGTAGACTTAGGGAGAAGTCTATCTGCCTTGAGACAGGACATGAGTGGGCCAGCCCACCAAGAGGATCTCTTGGACCCAAGGAGTCTGGATCCCCACCTATGTGGATGGCAAGAGGAGAGATTCCAAGAATACCCACAGGAAGGTTGGCACACAGAGAGGCTGCAGTGGCACTTACTGCAGATGCCTGGTTTTGCAATTATGTGATACATGCTCACAGATAATATTGTTGCATTAGAGCCAATTACATGGTGTTATGGACACACAACACGCAGATTACAACCAGAGCCAGGAAAGCACAGAGTGAAAAAGCGATGGCCTAATCGGAGGAGACAGAGGGAAACATCAGCCTTATTAAGGTTGCCAGGGTGGGGTGGCTGCAGCTGGACGTGTCTCCTCCAGATCAAAGATGGCTATCTTGAGGGATGCAGTGGAGAGCCCCACGTTGACACTCAGAAGGGAACAGTGGAAGCCAGGGGCAGAAGCCAAGTTGGAGCTCTCCAAAGGTGGTTACAGCCACCTCCGTTGATTTCAGAGTTTAGGCTTCTTCCTAAGTGGGGAAACACCACGCCTGCCCCAGAAGAGGCCTTCAGTCCTAGTTGCTGCAAAAGAGCATCCTGTATACTACCCTCTACACTTAAGTAAAGGCTCTATTCTTAGCTTTTTCCGTAGTTCAATGGTTTTCCAACACGAACTTGCATGAGACTCCTCTGGAAAGCTCATTAAACACACAAGGCTGAGACCCACCCCAGGGTTCCTGATTCAGTAGGGGCTTGAGCATATGCATTTCTAACATGTTACCAGGTGATAGGCCTAGTCTAGAGACCACATTTTTTTTTCTTTTTTCTTTTTTTTTTTTGAGTCAGGATCTCACTCTGTCACCCAGGCTGAGTGCAATGGCATGATCCTGGCTCACTGCAACCTTGACTTACCAGGCTCAAGTGATCCTCCCACCTCAGCCCCTCAAGTAGCTGGGACTGCCGTTGCTCACCACCATACCCAGCTAATTTTTATTTTTTTAATGTATTTATTTTATTTTTCATTTTTTTGGTAGAGACAGGTTCTCCCTATGTTGCCCAGGCTGGTCTCAAACTCCTAGGCTCAAGCAGTCCTCCCGCTGTGGCCTCACAATGTACTGGGATTATAGGCATGAGCCACTGCACCCAGTCTGGGGACCACATTTTGAGAACCACTGCCCAAGTTCCTTCCATGCACAACCCAAGGTGGATTCACCTGTCGTCTCTCTTGAGCAGGGCCTTCCCCTAGGTTCCGATTCCATCACGGCATTGCAGGTTCCAGAAAGAGCGGGACTGATCTTCCAAGGTAGGAGTGAGACTACCTGCTTTTGAATCCCAATGCTACTACTTGCCAGTTGGGATTTCTGAAAATGTTTTTTGTGGTTTTTAAGTTTTGAATGCCTCTGACCTAAACCCCTCTTCTTTCCGAGCAGTTATGTGCCTTGCCTAGCATATCACATTTAATCACTGACAAAGGCAGAGACAGGATGGTTCAGTTCTACAGCAGCCAAGGGCCAACAAAATTTCTATAAAAATCCAGATAGAAAATATTTTAGCTTTGCAAGCCATATGGCCTGTGTGTCAACTACCCAGCTATTGTAATGCAAAAGCAGATCGACAATACAAAAGTGAATGCGTAAAACCAGTTTTACAAAAACAGGCTGCATTGGATGGGATTAGGCTTGTGGGCAGTTGTTTGCCAACCCCTGGAGCTGTCCATTATGTGAATCTTCATGTATTCATCCCGCCTGGGGAGCCCTTGTCCTGCCTCAGTACCCTGGCATTGAGCTAATAGGCCCCCAAAGATGTCCATGACCTCATCCCAGAAACCTATGAATGTTGTCTTACATGGCAAAAGGGACCTGGCACATGGGACAACATTAAGGATCCTGAGATGGAGGAGTTATCCTGGATTGTTCAGATAAGCTCTAAGGGTAATCACGAGGGGCCTTGTAAGAGGAAGGTCCCAGGAAGTGGAGATCACAGTGAGTGTCAGGAGATGTGACAACAGAAGCAAGAGGCTTCAATGGCTGTTTGGAGCTGTGTTCAAATATATTTTTTAAAAAATCGTTGAGTAACAAAAAGAAGAGGTTGAAGTGACGCAATGAAGCAGCCATGAGCCGAGGGGCATGGGTGGTCTCTACAAGCTGCAAAAGGCAAGGCAGCAAATTCTCCCCTGAAAGAAACGCACCCCAGAAACCCATTTTAGACTTCTGACTGCAAAACTGTAAGAGAATAAATGTGTGGTGCCTTGAGCCACCAAATCCATGGTAATCTGTTACAGCAGCCATAGGAAACTAACATGGGCCTCATTCCTGGACTCAGTCTTGCTTGGACTCAAATCTTGGCACTACCACATGCTTCAATCATGAAATGGAGGTGATATTAAAAGTCCCTGCCTCGTGGGATAATTGGAGGAATTAAATGAAACGATACAGGCTGGGCATGGTGGCTCACACCTGTAATCCCAGCACTTTGGGAGGCCTAGGCAGGCGGATCACCTGAGGTCAGGAGTTGAAGACCAGCCTGGCCAACATGGCAAAACCCTGTCTCTACTAAAAAACACAAAAATTAGCCAGACGTGGTGGTGGGCACCTGTAATCCCAGCTACTCAGAAGGCTAAGGCAGGGAGAATTGCTGGAACCCAGGAGGCAGAAGTTGCAGTGAGCCGAGATCACACCACTACCCTTCAGCCTGGGCGACACAGCGAGACTCTGTCTCAGAAAAAGAAAAGAAACGGTACAATGCAGTACCCTTAGCTCAGAGCCCGTCTGGCATATAATAAGCTCTCAGTTAATGTTAGCAGTTATCAGTAACATCTCATCTAATTGCCACTAAAGCTCTATGAGCCCAGTGCTATTATTATCTCCATGTTACAAAGGAGGAAACGTAATGAGATTAAGAAATTTACCCATGGTTGCATAGGCTGTAAGTGGCAGAGCCAGTCTAAACTAGTCTCTGCCTTCGAGGTCCATGCTCACCACCTCTCCTTGGCATTGGGGTTGTAACAACAATTCCTTCATTGAATGCCAGCTACTTAGGCAGCGGCACAAGAAGCAAATAGAATGCAGTACTCTGTGTGTGGGCAAAAGCTGCCAAGACTGGAAATCAAATAAATCTGTGTTTATTAGGGAAACGAAAACTGTAGCTGTCGTAGCAATCAGCGTCTGAGAGGTTACCAACCCTCTGACATCCCCGGGCTGGCCAGCCCCAAGCAGCAAATCATGAAAGTCTGAATACTGTGTTTAGTCATTTTGGTTCTGGAATAATTGCTATTATCGTAAATGTTTTATAGCACTCATTACGACTCACATTTAAATATCAGTGTAGTAATACATTAATAAGTCATCGCTGCTGGACTACTGCCGGATGCAGTTATAGTTGAGGCCCTGCTTATAATTGTACTGTATATTCAGCTAAATTAGAGCCAGGCTGTGAACTCCACCTGATGTTGAATGACTGGGTGTGCTTGGAAAGAAGCCCCTTCTCTGCAAAGGGTTCTTGCTCTTTGAAAGATAGGGAGGATGCTCAGATTTTTTTGTCTGGTGGTCAGTCAACAACCTTAACTTGGTTTCCCCTAAGTGTGGAGCCCAGAACTCTGAAATGGACAGAAGGTGAAATGGAGGGATCATTTCTGCCCTGGAGGCATTTCTAATCCAATGAAGAAGGGGAGAGAAGCATAGCCCTCACCCCCAGGAAGCTCCCTGCCAAGGCAGAGTGCCTGGTCTGATAGCAGTGACAAATTCTTCAGTGTTGTTTGATGAGATCTTCTGGAAGCTTTCTGGATGGACAGAGGCAGGATAGATTATCCCCCACTGAGCATCTCCCCACATACACACACACAGAAAAGAAGCCATATGAAACAAAACCGCTAAGTGGGCTCAACTTCATAAAATGCCAAATACCTGCATTGGCGAGTTAGTGAAGTCATAAAGTAGGCAGGAGCAGGCAATGTAAATTTTGTCTGTTCGTTCTTCTTTACCATCCCATATGCCTAACAGTGTCAGACACATGGTAGGTGCACAGTAAATATGGGAGGGAGGGAGGGAGAAAGAAGAATTAGGTTCTGTGCCTTTCACCACGCAGATGATAAGTAGATGTGGGGGATTACACGGATAGTCTGGGCCAAGGGAGGTGAGGCCACTGGAATCCTGCTTTGGACTGGGCTCACAAGGGGCTGGAGAAGGAATTGTTACAGGTCCCCTTGGGTAGGATGGAGAATATGGGGGGCACTGTATGCTGAGTAAACCTCTATTTCCATGGGGGTTGGAGTAGAGGGGAATATAATAGGCCAGGCCAGGACTAGATTCTCTCCATGAATGTCAGTAACATAGTGGCCTCCACTTACTGAGCACATACCCCATGCTAAGCCTTTTACCAGCCTGTGAGGTAGGTACCATTACCTGTTTCCTCCCACAAATAAAGAACCTGCAGATAAGAGATATTGATAACTTGCCCAAGGCCACACAATTCGGAAGTAGTAGGATTTGATTTCAACCATGTACAGAGCAGGACATGAGGCTATGGTAATGCACAGGACAGAAAATGGTCCTGCCTTTGCAGACGTATGATGTAGAGGGCATTTGAAGCGGAAGATAATGTGTTTACGAAAAGCCAAGGGCAAAAGACATCTGGCTTAACCCATGAAGGCTTCCAAAGAAAGGGTCCTTCCTGGGCCAGTAGGGACCCATGGAGGCTCAGGAGAGGGTAAGAGGAATTGGATTGTTGAGTAAGGGATGTCTGATGTGGTTCTGGGAGGAGCGGAGAATAGAAGGGCACAGGAACAAGTGGCCACCATGAGGAATTGTACCAAGGGCTGTATCCAACTCTTCCTCTTTGGGAGGTATAGTGAGGCAGGTGTGGGGTCAGGGAGCTGAGAGCTATGCCTGACTTCCCCACATATTATGTCTCTCCACCTGGGTAGTCACTGAAGTAACTGATGCAAAAGGCCCTCCTGCTACGTGATGTTTCTGCCTCTGCAGATGGCCTTCCTTAGGTGCCATGCTTTCCCTAGGCTTCCATAATAGGTTTCTCCAGAAGGGTAAGCCCGGGTACTTGCCTATAGCCTGGCTTCATTCTTCAACAGCCTCATTTCAGTCTGGTTCATTTATGGAGCTCACACCTTTCTCTTTGCTTTTCCCTGCACAAAAGTACCTGTCAGAGCTAACAGGCACCGTAGGAGCTCCGTTCATGGTCGTAGAGATGCACCGGAAAGAAGAGATGCGCAGAGCTCACAGACTTGTTTGAGATTAGATGTGCTGAAGGCTGACACAGTGGCTCACACCTGTAATCCCAGCACTTTGGGAGGCCAAGGCGGGGTGGATCATGTGAGGTCAAGGAGTTTGAGCCCAGCCTGGCCCACATGGTGAAATCCTGTCTCTACTAAAAATACAAAAATTAGTCAGGCGCCTGTAATTCCAGCTACTTGAGAGGTGGAGGCAGGAGAATCGCTTGAACTCGGGAGGCGGAGGTTGCAGTGAGCTGAGATCGTGCCACTGCACTCCAGCCTGGGTGACAAGAGCGAAACCCCGTCTCAAAATAAAAAGATTAGATGTGCTGAAAGAGTCAGAAGATGCCTAGAAAATACAGAATCACCTATCCCCACAGCATCCTGTGCGAGGCAACACATGCAATGGGAGTATCAAGGAGAATGCAGCAAGGTAGTGCTGGACTCAGATCCCACCTCCAGAGCTTTGCAGTGATTGTTCTTGGAAAACTTATTTTGCCTCCCTGTGGCTCAGCCTCCTCATCCATAATATGAGGATAACACATTTGTAGATTTGTGTGTTATTAAGCATATCTGTTTCCTTCTCCATAAACCGAGGACAGGAATAGGTAACTGGCATTGTAGATGTAAGAATTAGAGATGTTATAATGAAGCACTCAGTGCATAGGAGGGTTTCAGGAAGCGATACTCTTACTCAAGGTGGGTAGGCAAGTCCTGAGAGGACAGTAGAGGGAAGGAGGGCTCCACCTGAATAAAAAAGTCAGGGCATGCTCTTCTCGTCTGGAGACCTGTCCACTTGTCTTCAGCTGCTCCACTGGCTGGGCCATGACTGTTGACTCATGGTCTTGCGGTCACAACCATCCCTCCCCCGACCTACTACAAGCATCTTGGTGCCTCCCCTGCTGCTGCCTGGCTGACCATCTCCCTTGTCTATCTCCACAGTACCCTCAACAACAACAACATCAGTCGCATCCTGGTCACCAGCTTCAACCACATGCCGAAGATCCGAACTCTGTGAGTAAGAAGTCTGTGCATCTCTCCCATTTTCTCCCTACCTCACGCCCAAAGTGCAGCACTCTACGCTGCTTGTCAAACCTACCATGCTATGACTAGGCAGATGGTTCCGACATTCAAATTCCTCCTTCTGCTATTAACCAAGGGGTGCCTTGGCGAGTGAGGGTAGATGTAGAGTCAGGTCATGGTGCCACCAACCATGGTTCTGAACCACCGTTCTGCGTCAGACAGACTCATTTCTCTTACCCTAGAACTGTGGGAATTCTTCCTGTGTTGTGTGCATGTTTTCCGTCCTGATAGAAGAGATTAGTTTTACATTGTCACAAAGCATATAGAACTCTGACTGAATGATTCACCATTTGCTTAGCTAATGTCACGTAACATCAGCAGTTCTGTCAGATTGCCAGTGGTTGCAATGGTTTTCCCCTGAGGAATGACAGTACAGGAGAGTCACTCCTTCTCTCCACCCAGCCAGCCCCCACCCAGCACATTTCCCTGCTCACCTGCTCCCTGGATGATATTCTGACATTAGAATGCCGTCTTTCTCATACTTGGTTCTTTACCTTTGATGTCTTAGGTGGGCTTAAGTTTTCCAGGGTGCATACTCAGGAAACAAATCTCCTCATCGTGACCAATACCGAGAGCAGTTCTAGTGCTCTTATTACCTGGGGAGTTCCCCTCTGCTCCCAGTCAGGAACCTCTTTGTAAGTTTCTCTGTAAGTGGACTCTATCAGCCTTTCCAGAGAGGTTCAGACTTGATACTTGGCTTGTGTTGGTGGAGCTTCGGTGGTATTTGCCTCACACTGGTCAGGGAGAGCCAGCTCCCAAGGGTGTCAGCCAAAAACATTTAGGGCCAAGGCCAAGGGCTAGAATTCCTGCAGTCCCCTTTATTAGCTCTGTTTCCTCTGTTCCCTCCTCTATAAATAGGAATGGTGGTGAGGATCAGATGAAATTAGATATTTAAAGTGCCTGGCAAGCAGTAGACAATAAATGATATTGATTGTTACATTATTATCACACGATCAGAAATCTGGACTGAAAGTTCCAAGCAGCCATCTGATCTGTGCTGCCTGTACAATCCATGAGATTTGGAAATCCTTAGAGCAGAGCTTCCACAGTGGGGTCCCTAGACCAGCAGCATCAATATCACCCAGAACTTGTTAGAAAAGCAAGATTTCAGGCCCCATACCAGACATACCAGATCAGAATCTCTTGGGGTGGCACCCAGCAATCTGTTTTTCATAAGCCCTCCAGGAGATTTTAATGCTCATAAAGTTTGAGAACCACTGCATTCATGAGAAAGCAACTTTATCTTCAGGCAAAGATAAAACAAAGACCAAAGAAGCAATTTATATAAAGAGGTAATACAGAGAACCCTAAGAAGGACACAGAGTTTGCAGTTAGGCCTGAGTTTAAATGGGAGCTCTGCCACTTAATTTGAGCAAGTTTCTTCATTTCTCTGTGCTTCAAGGAAAGTGAGTTCATGAATGCTTGCCTCAAAGTTGCTGTGAGAATGAAGTGCAGTTTAACACATAAAGTGCCTGGTACATGGTGTGCACACAACAAATACTCGTTATTATAAAGAATAATAATCTGAGCCCTGCTTCCATCTTTGCTTCCCAAATTCTTTCCTGGATCCCTCATTGAAAAGCATAACTCAGCCAAGAAAATCTGTTCCTTTCCCTCCCTCTTAAAATAGGGTAGTGCAGTAATGGAATTTTAAGAAGCCATTTGGTCTTCAAAGACCTCTTCAAAGTTCCCAGCAAACCACAGATGAGCTGGGGAAAAGTGGGACCCAGGGCTTCTGGGCAAGAAGCCAAGAGTGCACCTCAGGGTGCTGGGCCTGCATTACCCCAGACATGTGGGTTGCATCGAAGAAAAATGACTCTCACCTGCAGGAATCAGCCGTCCAGCTCCTGTGAGCTGTTCCTGTGATTTATCCTTCCCTTCTTTGTTATTTTCAGTTTAGAAGCAGCAATAACAGAAGCTGGGCTCATTCCCTGGGAGTTGTAGGGACAGGGTTAGGCCTGGATCTGGGGTACTTTGTTTGGGCTGCAGTAGGGCGGGGGAAGAGAACAGGAGGGTTTTTTTCTACTGGTTTCTGTTGTCATTCTTCTCTGCCATCCCGAACATTCATCTGATGAGTTCAGATCAATCAATCAATCTCGTCTGTTCTCTTTGCTCCCTGCCTGCTGCCATTTTCTCTTTAGTTTAATTTCAGAGATGGCTCTGTACAGAACTCCCTGGAGACTTGAGCTGACTAATCCCCCTTCACTGTAATTAAAGTGTGTATGGGGTTGGGGGGGACGGCTGGTGGTGGTGGAGAAGCGGGGAAGAGGAGAGAGGAAGGAAGCCATAAATGGGATTTCTAAAGGAAAGCTTTTATATTGAATTTAGAAAGCCACATTTTATAGAAAATGAACACTGACCCTCTCTAAAAGGATTTGCTGGAAATTTAATTTAGCGTCTGTGGCTAAAAGGCACCTTTTATAAATTGGCATTTGTATTCATTCACCTTATGTTCTGTAGAGGTGGTTTCATCAACATGGAATATGATGTGTCCATCAGCAAAAGATTGCAGAACAACATGCAGGACCCACCTAGCCACCTCGGTGCTACAGTATCTAAATGAGAAACTGCAGCCTTGTCCAGGCAGGGCCATGGGCTGGGAAGAGAGTGAAGTCTGGAGCTAGTCTCCTGTCAGTCGTAATTAACAGTGAACATTTCTTCAGTGGTTTGCTGCGTGCCAGGCCTTGTACTAAGCACTTCCCATGAATCATTTCAATTCTCACAGCAGCCCTAGGAAGGAGGCATCACTAATATCCCCATTTGACAGATGATAACACTGAGGCCCAGAGTTAAATTGCCACCCGAAGTCAAAGTCAGAAAGCACGGAGCCAGTGTCAGACTCAGGCAGTTTGCCATCACAGCCTGAGCTCAGGCCATTCATCAGGAACAAAAGCAGAAGAGCAGGTGCCAGGTGAACAGAAGAAGGGGGATAAGAGCCTCTGCACAGCCCAGGAGCCTATGGAGGCCACCCTCCCTTGTGTCGTTGCTGTCACACCTCACCAAAACTATTGAAAGTAATTAAAATAATGTCCCTTCTCACTCAAGAGGATTAGCGCTACCCCTGACAGTGCCTAAGCTCTAATTTCATGCCATTATGATTATTTTTCTTTTACTATTTGACATGGTATTGCTTAGCTTGATCTCCCAAACATGTTGTGAAAGGCAAGAATCTACCCAGCTTGACTCTTTTAGCATTTCTGGTGGATACAATTCCAAGAAGAGGGAGTGGAGTCTGTTCACCACCCTGGACTCCACTGCCCTGGGCTTTTGACGAGAGCCCTCTGATGGCTCCAAATCAGTCTGGGTCACCTCTTTCCTCTGGTGCTCTTGGGAGGAGAAAAATTTCTATTAAGACGGACAAAGGGATAGGAACTATCTGTATCAAGATTAAGAAGAGAGATAGCTTGGGGCCAGCCAGCCAGGATTGAGACAGGATCAACCTAATAGAATCTTCCAAAAGGGAAACCTCTGACATTTTTATTATCCCAGAAATTAATCAGCTCAGTAAGGATCTGACTTACCTAAACGTCATTTTTGTTGTTCCATTGATCTCTTACCCTTGATCGGAACCGACGGGAATTTGTTTGCATTGATCTGTGATCCGCCACATGCACACATGCTCCTTGGCTCATAGAGAATCCCTGTTGCCTCAGCTTCCGCGCCTCACTGCACAAGAGGGCAACCACCTTTCCAAATAAAAGCCAAACGCTCATTAAAAGGTTCTGCTTCTCCCGGCACACAAAAGAACGGCACCTCAGCCTGCGCATGCCACGGCAGGCTGCCCTGTGGTCTGCTTTGTCCCAGACAGACCTACTGTTGCCGTGTTCCTTGGGCAACATTTATACCCGGCGAAAAGTCAGCTGAAAGTCCACTGCCAAGCCTCCTCTCTGTTTTTGGCATAAAGTGGTTAATGCTTAATGAATAAACAGAGGTTTTGCTTTCCCTCCTAGAACTGAGGTCCTTCCCACCAGCTTAGGATTCTGGTTCGCCAACCCCTTCCTGCCTGTCTCACTTCTTTCCAGAGTCCAGGCGAAGAGCAAGCAGTGCTTGCTTCAGCTCAAGAACTCTAAGCTTTCAAACTCAAAGGGGAGAACTGCGTGGGACCCATTGTACTCACTGTATCTTGGGCCCAGGAGCCTGTGAAAGTGTGTGCAACCCACTGGGAAATGCAAAAAGGAAATTACATCCAGATTAATTATTTTTGAAACAAAATCATAAAAGTCTTTTTCAAAATTGTTAGCAGAAAAAATTACATTTTATATGGGATATAGGTTCATTTAATCTATCTGATATGATGGGATCTGGAGCCCCCTGCGGCGGCCAAGGCCCCAGTGGCCCAGGCCTATGGGAGGCTTTTGCCCACACAGTGGCAGGAAGGCCCTGCTGGCATCCAGCAGGAGGTAGCTGCACTTGGCCAGTGTTTGGCAATGTTGACCTTACACTAAGTGGAGCTTGGTCAAGAGCCCTTCAGCTCTCTCTATTCCAGGCGTGGAGGGGGCTTGAGCCTCTCCACAGGGCTGACACTCAGTAATAACTGGCTTGACACAGACTACTTGAAAGTCTTTATATACTGCTAGCTGATTAGCATGTCCAGGATTTAGGCATTTAAAATGTGCATCCGAAATGCAAGTACATGACAAGCTGACGTGATGAAAACTTACCCACTACCAACTTCTAGTGACCTAGGGTTGTAGGGAACGTGGAAATGGGAAACCCCTGATAGAGAGACCTTGGGGGAAGAACCTGGAATATCCGTAGTTTGCCTTAGAAGCCCCTGGATATCCTTAGTTTGCCTCCCTGGTAGTGGAAAGGAAGTTCAAGTCACTTAACTTGATGGGATTCCCCTCAGAAGTGAAACACACAGATCCCTCCAGGGATTCTTATCTACTCAGGGGCAAGAAATTCATCCGGAACCACAACTACCAGAGGGGGAAAGCCAAAGCGTCCTAGAACTGGTTAGAAAATATTTTCAGCCATACCTGAATCAGTCAGAATAGCAAATACACCAGACAGAATTGAACACAGGAAGGAAAGCAAGGGCACTGTGGAGAGATGGCTATGGATTGCAAGAGTCTGGTACAGACAACACCTTATTTAAGTGGGAGGGTGGAAAGAAGGTACATCCTCTAAAAATTTCCCTTCTGTCTGCAGCCTGCTCACTCCAGCTAGTGCACACAAAGTGGTATTGGTTTTAAGCCCACAAGCATTACATGCAGTGGGTTTATTAAAGGACACTTAGCGGGGGAACGAAGAACAACTCAGGGAAAGGCAACAGCGTCTCTCAGCTGCATGTCGCTGGAGATGGGGGCATTGAGATTGAGAAGCATGTTTCAAGCAACCTGTAACTCATGCTGGCTAAAGTGCTGAAATTTACAAATAAATAGCCCTTTTGTAAGTTTGACTCCAATCAGGATGTCACTGTAATAATGTCACTCCCCTTTTCTCATGTGCTGAGGCTTGCTTGAGTGAAAAGAAAAGAGGGTGGACTTGCTATTAAAAAATGAGCTTTGCTCAGAACCCCGGAGGCATCCTTTGGATGTGACCTGGCAATGAAAGGGTTGGGGCTCCCATGTTTTTGGTAGTGCAGAGGGAATTGCTTCCCTGGGCTCCTAGGGATTTTCACACTGGAGAAAGGGGCAACAGGGGTTTTGGTCACTCTGTCTGGCCAGTGACAGCCTCCACACTTCACCTGTGACCATGCCTTCTCTCTGTCCCGCCCTCTCCCAGGCGCCTCCACTCCAACCACCTGTACTGCGACTGCCACCTGGCCTGGCTCTCGGATTGGCTGCGACAGCGACGGACAGTTGGCCAGTTCACACTCTGCATGGCTCCTGTGCATTTGAGGGGCTTCAACGTGGCGGATGTGCAGAAGAAGGAGTACGTGTGCCCAGGTGAGGATGCTTTACCTGCTCTCCCCTCCTGTGCTATGACCCACCCACCCATGAGCTCCCACAACATCACCCTGACCTTGAACACATACCCTAGCCCAGAGCTTGGTGTGGAAGGAACCCCATAGGTCGTCCTCAGTACTCAGTAGTCACTTAAAGAACTGTGACGTGCCTCAAAGGGTTTTAAAACAGAAACTCTTGTCATCTGGTAAAGGGAAATGCTAAAAGAATTCATGAACTACTTTTTCAGCCCCTAGTCCATTGATACTAGAAACCGAACATTTGTTGAGCCACACATAAAATGGAAACAGGTATAACGGAGGTGTTCTAGCATCTGCTAAACATGTTCCTGTCGTCCCATTGCTCATAGAAATTGGAAGACAAGATAATGTAGGCTCTGGAGTCAGCTGCTTGGCTGGAAATCTCAGCTCTGTCCCTTAGTGGTGTGTGACTTTGGCAAGTTACTGCTCATCCGCAATATGGAAATAATAATAGTTCATAACTCAAAGAACAGGTGGGAGGATTAAGTGAAATAATGCATATAAAGCACTTAGCATAATACACAGCCCTTGGTAAAAGCTAAATCAGTGGAGCTTAATTATTATAGTTTAGTGGGCTCACAAAATGTGCTGAGCAAACATAAGAGTTTGATCTGTGGGTAATCGAAATGTAACAGAAGCACAGATTGCCTATGTGGCACAGAAAACAGAATGATGCAGACACATAACTGAAGGCAGCTCAGATCTCTGGGGATGGGAGGTGGCTGAGTAACCCAGGAAAATCTTTCCAGGGGATGTAGCTTTAAAACAGAGTCCTGGCTGGGCACAGTGGCTCATACCTGTAATCCCAGCATTTTGGGAGGCCAAAGCAGGTGGATCACCTGAGGTCAGGAGTTCAAGACCAGCTTGACCAACATGGTGAAACCCCGTCTCTACTAAAAATACAAAAATTAGCTGGACGTGGTGGCGGGCACCTGTAATCCCTGCTACTCAGGAGGCTGAGGCAGGAGAATCGCTTGAACCTGGGAGGTGGAGACTGTAGTGAGCCAAGATCGCACCACTGTACTCCATCCTGGGCCACGACAGTGAAATGTCTCAAAAATTAAAAAAATAAATAAAAGAACCAGGGTCCCAAATTTTAGTTGTTTGCTTTTACTTTGCATTGGCACCTTCCATTCTCACCAACTCTTCCTTTTTCTGTGGTAAATAAGTAGAGCTAATTCCTTGACTTCCTAAAAAAACAAACAAACAAAAAAAACAGAAAGCATTCAGTTGAGAAATTTCCCAAAGAGGTATTTTGATTTCCAGGAAGCCAGTCCCAGAATTGGGGCCCAGTGGCCTCTAAAGGCTGAGTCTGGGGAGTTGGCATGCAAGAGGAAACAAGGACCCCAGGGAGCTTAAGCACTGTGAGCTCTGCATTTCTCTCACCTTTCTAACTGGTGCCCACCTTTAGTACTAAAGGGTTTACCGGGCCCAGCATGGGCTGCTGGACTCCAGTATGGCCAGAAGCGCAAACTCTCTGGCCTCTTCTGCTCTTAGATCACACTTGCGATATACAAGAATTTTCCTTGAATTCAACTTCATCTCATTCTCTGCCGCTTCCTCCTGTCATGTTGTTATTTTACCATGTTATTTATTATCTGAAAATATTTTAACATGTCTCAAGCAGTACCTCAATAACTTCCTATAGACACCCACTTAGAAATCACTTCCCATCAAACACATATAATAAAACCATTTATCACGCAGGCACCAACTTCAAATATAGTGACTATAATTACAGTAATTATTCGGCAAAGGGTACAATATCGGCATAAGTGAAAGAAATAATTATAGAGTACGAGAGTCATCCAAGAGGTAGTGAGAAAAACTAATTAGAATGATAAAACACATCATTACAGGTGAGTGCCAGGTTTAATGTAGTGTATGACCTCACACACCACTTCATCAGAGAGCACCTTCCTGTCAAAGGTGCAGCAAGACATTGCTCACCCAGCAGCAGTCAGGATCCAAAACCAGGGGAGAAAGGCTGACCCTCCAAAGTCCATTAAATCTGAATGCCTCACTCTTTCTCCTTTGGAAAGGCTAGGTCCAGCGGACAGGTTCGTAGTTACGTGGGAGCACCTTTATCAACTTCTGTTTATAGCAGTTAATCCCATTGCTTGTGATGGTCCCTGGAGCTTCTTAGTATGAAGCCAGGTGTCTTTTGAGAACATGAGAATTTAGTCCAAAGGCTCCAGACATGACTATGCTGTTAACCTCCACCCTCTCGCCTGTAGTATGAATTAAGGGCAGGGACATATTGAGACCCCTATGCATGAGGGATTCTTTAAGTGCCTTAGCAGACTCCCATGGGTTACCACCTAGAATGCTGTGAGCCGTTACTCTCTGAAAAGGTCAAGGTCAGATATAAAGATCTGGGGGCCCTGGTGCAGTGAACATCCATGAAGATTGAACTCCTACCATCATGAGTCAGGTGCATGTGGAACATGCCCTCCAAAGACTTCTGCTATTACGTGGGTGCAAAAATAATTGTGGTTTCTGCCATTACTTTCAATTGCAAAAACTGCGAATACTTTTGTACCTTTTGCACCAACCTAATGCGTTTTCAAAAATTGTTAAATACACTTTGTGAGACAATGACAAAACCTTGAGAGGAAGCAATGTGGAGGAAGGTTCAGTCTGTGAGTGTGCAGTTGAAACATGAGTGGTCAGTCTTTGAGGCCCTAGAGAAGGAGGTTAAGGAGAAGAGCTATTTTCAAGGACTGACCACACTCCACACGCCACCACCAACAACCAGTCCTGCCCCAATGCCTGAGCCCCACAAGGCATCTGAAGGATACTGTTTTGTATGGACCTGTCTATGGTGGGGTGTTTGTTTGTTTGTTTGTTTGTTTGTTTGTTTGCTTGAGACAGTTTCATTCTTGTTACCCAGGCTGGAGTGCAATGGCAGTATTTTGGCTCACTGCAACTTCTGCCTCACGGGTTCAAGCAATTCTCCTGCCTCAGCCTCCTGAGTAGCTGGATTACAGGCACCTACCACCCTGCCTAGCTAATTTTTTGTATTTTTAGTAGCGATGGGGTTTCACCATGTTGGCCAGGCTGGTCTCAAACCCCTGACCTCAGGTGATCCACCCGCCTCGGCCTCCCAAAGCCCTGGGATTCTAGGCATGAGCCACCGCACCCGGCCCTGTGGTGGTTTTTAACTGCAAAAACCCCAAATGCCCCTCATTCAAGCTATTCACCTGTTAAACCACAAGAGGAGAAATTCAGTCAAGAACTGAAGACAAGAACTTCTCTTACAAAATAGAGGTCATCCACTCAGGAGGAAAAGAGGCATTGGGGTAGCAATTAAGCCATCCCTGGGCATAGCTTCATCACCAGCAGTCCCCATCCAGGCAGCATAAGAAAAGCTCCCTGAGCCTTTAAATGGTATCAAAAATTTCACCAAACACATGGCTCCAGAGACAGGAAAGAGCTTTATCTCGCTCAGCCTGTGAGGGCTCTGCCTGCCCAAGTGCCTGATATCTCCCTTTGAATTAAATCCAGCTGTCTGGAGCCCAGCTTCTTCTCCCCAGAAGCCCTGGATATGGGCTCCTTATCACTCCAGCTAACCCAGAAATTTGCTAGCAGTGCACTTTGGCAAAATTCATCTCCTCTGTCAACTGTACCTTTCCAGTTGAAGGCATTTATTTTCTTCCCCTGGGTATTGGGAATTTTTCACAAGGGTGGGGAAATAGAGCTTTATCTTTTTATTAACTTTTTTCCCTATGTTATACAACTTGACTACTTGGCCCCCTTCAGCTTCTGCTGAAAGGATTTCTGTGAACTTTTCTTGTTTCAAGAGGAAGGTTAAGGCCCTACGGCTGGAAGTGTCTGGTTGCTTGTGGCCTGAACCCGACCAGAACTTTATCAAAGTTCATGATCATAGACCAGAGAAGAAGTTCATGTTACATGAGTTGCAAGTTGTTGGTTTTTTTTTTTTTTTTTCATCCTTATCTAAAGGGTTTATTTGGGGGTTTAAATTTTAGGATTTACCTTCCACTTGTTAATTTTCTGGTACCTTAATCTGGAAGGGTTTCTACCAGTCGCAATTTGTAATTCAAGGTTATTAGTTGACCTCCTAAATCAGTTATCTCTTTGCTTTGAATGTCTTTGAACCCATTGGTTTGTCCATCTGTTTCACACTTACCTGCCCTTGGCCTTAAATGTGAGATATCCTTTCCTACAGACATTAGTCTTGTCTTCTAGTAATGAGGGGCCACGTCGTACACTTTTTCAGGTGCCCCAAATGCCTAGAACAAAGCTTGAACCTAATAGCCTCTCAATAAGCACTTCATTTATTATTAAAAATGAAATATGCTTATCTCTCTAGAAACAAGAAACTTTCCCTTTTCATCGTCTTTTTTTTTTTTAATTTGGGACTAGTTACTAAGTACAAAGATAATTAAGGTAAGCCATGACCAGCCACCCATCTCCTTAGGAGGTTTTAATTAAAACACCATAATTGGACATTGCAGGAATGAGATTATTAGCTTTATTTAGCCATTCCCAAAATTATCATGCCTCTGGTATTTAAATCACATTCATTTATATTCTCATCATAATTGCTCGAGTCCCATTGTCATCGCAGTCTGTTGTTGGCTTTTGAAAGGCCAGAGGCCAGTAAGGATGCTTAATTTGAATACTGGAATTAATTTATTTCCACATGCTCACAAGGCCATTGGAGCTTTTGACTCTGCACTTTTACCAAGTGAGGTTTTTTTGTTGTTGTTCAGACTTTCAAAATATTCTGTAAATTTTTTTATTTTGTTTTGAATTGACACACAATAATTGAACATACTGATAGTGTACAGTGTGATGTTTCAATATATGTATATATTATGTAAAAATCAAATCAGAGGATTTAGCATGTCTGTCACCTCATACATTTGTGTTGGGAACATTCAAAATGCTCTCTTCTAGTTATTTTGAAATATGCAACACAATATTGTTAACTGTAGTCACCCTACTGGGCACTAGAACACCACAACTCACTCCTCTCTAACCATAACTTCATACATGCGGATCAGTCTCTCCCTATGTCCTCCTCCCGAATACCCTCCCCAGGCCCTGGTAAGCACCATTCTCCTTTCTACTTCTATGAGATCAACTTTCTTAGATTCCACATATAACTTAGATCATGTGGTATTTTGTCTTCTGTGTCTGGATTATTTCACCTAACATAACGTCCTCCGGTTCCATCCATGTTGCTACAAATGACAGGATATTTTATGGCTGAATAGTATTCCACTGTGTATATACAGCACATTGTCTGTATCCATTCATTCACTGATGAACACAGGTTGATCCCATATCTTGGTTACTGTGACTAATGCTGCAATGAACATGGGAGTGCAGATACCTCACCAACACAATGATTTTATTTCCCTTGGATATGTACCCAGTAGTAGAATTGTTGAATATGGTACTTCTGTTTTGAATTTTATGAGGAACCTCCATACTGTTTTCCGTTGTAGCTGTACTAATTGACATTCTCACCAACAGTGTATAAGAGTTCCCCTTTCTCCACATTGGTGCCAGCATTTGTTGTTTTTTGTCTTTTTGGTAATAACCATTCAAACTGGGATGGGGTGATAGCTCGTTGTGGATGAGGTTTTTTAAAGATGGAAAGAAAGAAACACTGCTCTAACACAACAGTGTTTGATCATCTCTAGTGTAGCTTACACAACCTGTGTCTCAGTCCCTGAGCCTGCTCTTCCTACCTCTTGAGATTCCAAGGCTCTGATGGTTTTCAGTTTCATGGCAATAAATGGAGGAATTTGGGGTTCCTTTTGGCAGAGCAGACAGAAAGAAGAGCACAGGGCTAAACATTAAAACATTGTTGTTCACTAGCTTTATGATCTTGGACAGTTTGCTTAACCCCCTATTCAGTTTCCTCATCTCATGCTAAGGGGGAAAAAAAGAATGGAACCTAAATCATGGGTTTTATGAGGATCAAGTGAGATAATATATACAGAGCACTCAATGCAGTGTCTGGCACATAGTACACATTGAATACATGTTAGTTGCTATTACGAGACTGATGGCTACTCTTAGTTTGGACCCCACTGTGTCCTTGGGCAAGTCCCCTCCTCTCTCAGGGCTTCTCTTTCCTTGCCATCTCCATGGGCCCATCTAAGTGTGAAATTTGGTGGTCTTTTTCCCACTCATCTCAGCAGGCAAGTTAGGACCTTTCGCTTTCACCTTGATAATCATCCCCATTTTACCATTTAGGAGAAGAACAATGTGGCTGGGCAGGAGGCAGGTCCCTGGTTATGGCTCAGTCTTTCTTCCCTCTGATAACTTCAGGGGGAGTTATACAAGCAGCAGAGATGGGATACTGGGCACAATACCCATGCAAGCAGCCGCAGGGACTTTCCCTGTGAGAGTTTGGGCTGGAGACGCATCCCTCCCCTCTCACTCACTTGAGTGTTCCCTGGACCGGAGGCAGCACCACTGATGATCAGTGAGGAGCTGGGAGGGGCCTCCATTCTCCCAGGCTCTGCTCTGTCCCCCTTGAAGTCATCAGGCCATGGTCCAGGGGGCCTTAAAGACATCTGAAGGTTAGGAATTGTAGTTTCTGCCCCGTTTGGCACAAAGACAGCTTTGGCTTCAGATAGAGAGCCCAGAGCCGAAGTGGTGACCAAGTCCCCCCCAGAGGGGAGACGCGTATTGAGCCACATCCTCAGCCCCCTTTTCTGGAGAAGAAATCCACCCCAGCAGAGCAGCATTTTAGTGCCACTGAAAGAGCTCCAAGAGCAGATAGTGTGGACACTTATTTAAAAATGAAGACATGCAGAGCAAGTCCACATGCTCCTAATCAAAACATCTTATAACAGGGGTTCTATAGCCTGGTGCATCACTGTGCTCTGAGTTAAGGCCACCTTCCTTGCCAGTACATAGGCTCACTCAAGGACAGTGTGGGTCATGAGACCGCCATAAGAGCATGCTGTACAAGAGGAACACACATGTGCATGCAGACAGATGCTTTCATCGGAGATATAGAAAGTGATTCCTTCTATCCCAATATAAAATTGCTATTCCCATTCCTCTCTGTTTCCCAACTTACAGTCATATAATTTGCTGGGTAAAAAGGTAGGTGTTTCCTTACTTTGTCCTCCTTGGAAATCCACTGCCTCTACCTTCCCCAACATGTGTGGACAGTAAGGGCTGGAAGGGGTGGATTTGCTGACAGAGCTCAGTAGACTGCTTAGGACACCCTGGCTTGTGCAAGTGAGATAGGCTCAGAGGGGCCCCAGGTGACTTGGACAAGTGATTTTGCCAGCATGGAAAGCTGTGGTGGAAAGAAGAGAGCTGCAGACAGAGTCCCATCTCCCACGGCCACTCCACCTCCCCATTCTACAGCTCATCCTACCTACCAGAGGCCAGGCACTCAAAACTCAGGAAGCTTCCCTCAGGGCCCTTCCAGAAGGAACACTCACCTCTGTAGCTTTGTGACATTTAGCCCCTCCACATGTGCCAGGCTTCTGGGCGAGTGTCCTTATGTACTTATCTTCTCATTTAGCCAAGGTATGCTTATGGGTCCGTGCTTTGTATGGAGCCCTGTTTTAGGCACTGAGAGTACACCAGTGATTAAGACCAAAAACACCACTGCCATTATGGAATTTACATTCCAATCTCAGTCCAGACAGGGAGCAAAGTGGAGGGACTTCTGCCATCTAGCTCTCCGTGGCCCACAGGGAATGGGCTTGGTCCATTGGCATCGATCACAGGAGAATGTTTCTAGGGAAAACGAACCCATCTTTCAACCTCATTGTAAGCCAGAAGTGTTTCGTTTAAACAGGAAGGTAACGTCCTCACCATGTGCGAATGCCTGGCTGGTGAGCTGCCAGCCCAGGGTGCTATCAGAGGCTATAATTACCATTGTTTCTCTCTGCCTAATTAAAGGTGGTGTTAGTGACCTGGTTAAGGAATCTTTTTCAAAGACTTCTTTTGCCTTGACAGCATCCCTTGAAATGTAGCACACACTGCCAAACAGAATGGGAGTCACCCTGCGGAAGACCCAGCCACTTCCCAGAGGGACTCAAGGCTGTGCCCTGGGTCTGGTTTAGAACAGAATTAATTTCAGCCTGGAAGTCAGAAAGGGGTACTTTTGGAAGAATTCCATGTTAGAACTTCCACCGCCATTATAAGCCCTTGAATATGGTATCTTTCTTTCCCCTTTTCCAACACACCCCATTCAAGTAATATTTCACAGATCAAAAGAGGGAGGGCCATCCAGTCCCTCCACCTGAACAGATGGAAAATGCAAGAGTTCAGACTCCCATTCCTGACATTTCCAAACAGGAAGGTGTCCCAAGTGTGGGACTTCTCCCTGGCTTTGTCAGGTGTGCTCTCCTTTTGATGTGGAAGGCCAGGCTCCGCAGTTTTCTTTAGGGAACGCCATCTGTACTTCAAACACCCTGACATCTGAGGCCAACTGCTCCCAACCTCCCTTCGATGTGGGTGATGGGATGGGAGCCTTTCACACCGTAGAATTCCCTTTGCTGTCTGCAAAGAGAGGTGGAGCAGGGGAGGTAAAGATGTTAGGTATTTTCACTCCTTCTCAGAAAGAACTTCAGTAATCATGCAATCCAAACTCCTTATTCACTGACATGGCACCAAAAAAAGCTCAGAGAGAGGTACTGTGACTTGCCAAAAGTCTTACAAACAATTTGTAGCAGAGCAGGCCCAATAATAACAATGAACATTACCAAACTCTTACCCTGTGCCGTGTATTCTAATAAAGACGTCTCAGGCATTACCTACCTTTGCCTTCACAACAAAACCATGCTATGAAATAAGTATTGTTATTTTCCCCATTTTACAGATGGGAAAACTGAGGCACAGGGAAATAATGATGAAATGATAGAACCAGGAATCAGATAGAGGCAGTAGGACCCAGAGCCCACATTCTCAGCCCCAACACTCTCCCATTCCTGAGCTGAGTCTCTTACAGGTTGGCTCTCTGTGGTTGCCACTTTCTCAGAAGTATAAAGGCTTTCCCAGTTTGGAACAAGGCCAGCATCACCACTCTCTCTAGGAGAATGTTCCAGCTGGGAATTCAGTGTAAGTCATCATCTTTCGGGCATTTTCCATGGTCTCCATTAGATCCACTTGTGTAGCACTGGCAACTTTGAGGTCCATGTACCCTGGACAAGAATATTTTCTCAAACATCCCCACTATGAGGCCATTTTTTCAGTTTTTGTTTTGTGTATATGTAAGTGAGGTCGAGGGAAATAAGAATCTTTGGTCATTGGGCTGGCACTTTCTGGGGAGGTAAACGTTCCAAATTAAGCTGTAGATGTCAACTGGAGCCCCTGCAGGAGGATCCACCCTTGGGGCCACGAGGACTATTGAACGCGGAGAGCGCACCACCTTCTGTTTGAAGCGTCCGCGTCCAAACGGGACACCAGGCTCTGCTGGTCGTCTGGCTCAATCCCTGTAGCTAGACCCACTCTGGCTTCCTAGACTCAGTTTCTCCAGTGAACAGGGGCCAAACCAAAAATCACTTTTTCCCTGCAGACTTTTTTCATGTTCTGTGTTTAATCTACAATTAAGAGCCCCCAGCCAGAGGCCCCATGTCCAAGCAGTGAGGCAATCTGCAGACCTCATCTAAGTTTGGTCTCAGTCATGGCTCTTTTCCCTGAGAGGACAATCTGGAAAGACATTGAAATAACCCCTGTTAGCTGGATCCAGCAGCAGTAGGATGAGGTCCTGGGAGGGATGTGGGGTTGGGCTTCTGTTTTGGACCAAAAAATCCACATTTGGAAAGCTAACCATATGATTAAGAGTCTTACCTCACTTTGAGGGAATAGTCATAGCATGCAAATGTTTACAATGTCCTTAAAACATTTGCATTTACTTCTTGTATTCAGGATTTAATGTGACCACCACAGAAAGTGATTTAGATTCCTGGTGACTCTTTGAATCTTGAGTTGGGTTAGTAATGGATATGTCTATCTACATTTGGCTTTCTAAATGAGCTCCTTAGGTACTATTTGCTTGGCTTTCTGTCACTTTGCTTGAAATTCACACTGATTCTCACCTCAAACAAAATTAACAGCTGGCTTCAAAATCTGTAGTAACTTACTCACCTTTTTTTCAGGCGAGATAGCTTTTATTTGCATGTTCCCTGGACAAAGAAGCCATTTGGAAATGCCTTGGGTGTAGCTGCTGGTGGGGGTATTAACACTTTGACAACATCAATGCCGCAAATGGGGACATTCTGCCACTTGGTTTTGATAGCCCCGTGGCTTGCAGCCACTAGAGAAAGGTCTAAAAGCTATGTTTACACTCAGCGTCCAATACCAGCTAAAACCCCAGGATGCATCCTGGGAAAGTGGTCCCATCATATGCTCTTTGGATTCTGGCAGCATATTTTCATGTGTGACTGACTCTGAGGGCCCCTCTTTCTCCAAAAGATGGAGATGACAGGATAACAGAGCAGGCGGAGCAACTCAAACAGTGAGGTCAAGTCAGACTCTCTCCTCTTTGCTGAATATTTAGCCTGTGGCACCTGTGTCTCCCAGGTGAAGGGAGATGTCAGCTGGTGATCATTTCTCAGATGGCTGTCAGGTCATGCTTTGCCCTTAGGATGCTGGTTAAGGACACAGAAGCCCAGGCAGCTCCTGACACTGACATAAGTTGACCGTTGTGTCTTGGCTCCACAGCCCCCCACTCGGAGCCCCCATCCTGCAATGCCAACTCCATCTCCTGCCCTTCGCCCTGCACGTGCAGCAATAACATCGTGGACTGTCGAGGAAAGGGCTTGATGGAGATTCCTGCCAACTTGCCGGAGGGCATCGTCGAAATGTAAGTGCACCTGTCTGACACCCCCAACAACTGTCGCCGGAGAATTCAGCTCCCTGTCCCAGCCCATCACCCACTAGGCCATCAGCGTGTGGGGCTGCTGGAGCTGACCATTAAAAACACTCAGGAATCTCTTTGCTGTCCTTCCACACTTTCCCAGCTATGATAGCTTGGTGGTCAAGAGCATAGACTCGAGATCAGAATCAGCAAGCTATAGCCTAGGGCCAGGGGTTCCCACTGCCTATTTTTGTAAATGTTTTTGAATACCTCCACATCCATTTATATGTGTCCTGCCTGTGGCTGGTCTCATATGGCAGTATTGAGCAGCTGTCACAGAAGACTGCATGGCCCACAAGGCCTAAAAAGTATGTTCTCTCTGGCCTGTCCCAATGAGTTTGCAAACTCCCCTTAGAGTCACGCTGTATTTGTATCCTGGCCATACCGTTTACTAGCTGTGTGACTTCAGGTAAAATAATGTCTCCTTCATCCTTTGTTTTCTCACCTATATTAATGTGACAATTATAGTATGACACCTCAGTGGGTCATTGTGAAAACTAAATGTAATACTACACGTGGAGCCCTTCATACAGTCCTCAGCACATGGGCAGGTACTCTGTAAAATAGTGGTGGAAGTGGTGGGACGTAAACAAATGATTCACTCATTTCTTAGCTACCATTATCTGAGAGGGGGACTGAGCTCTTAATTATCTCAGATCTGATTTTTGTCCTCTAGATTAGATCATTTTTAGGTAATGACACAAGATGGTGTTTGTCTCTGTGTATACATGAATGTCAAAAATTCCAGTAAAATGTGTTTGTCCACATAGTTCGGTCTAGTCCACTCTCCCCTCATACATTAGAAAATGGCCAGTATCTCATTCTAAAATGAGTAGAGGGCCAGTCAACACTGACCTCAAGATTATTCTTTAAATAGCGACAGTTGTTTTCATTTTTTTGCCTTCACCTTTAGTTGGCTTGATTAAAAAGATCATTATATGGAGCCCTTCTACTGAGAACATCATTAGGTAAAATCCCTCCAAATAAAAGATACATATTCCCCTTGCCTTTCTGCTTTGTCGTAATCTCCCCCCTTTCTTCTTTCCTCCTCTTCCTCCTCCTCCTCTTCCCCCTCCTCCCCTTCCCTGTGTGTGCCCTTCTGTTCCCAATGCATTCCAATTGATGACCATTGACTCCTTCATTCATTCTTGTATTCATTCAGTAAACATCTGTTGTGAGCCCACTATTTTCCTGTCATTGTTCTGTGCTTGGAAAGACAGAAACAAACAAAACAGACACATTTCTGCCTGTATGACACTTGCCTTCTAGTGATGGAGGGGATAAACAAGCAACAAAGTAAAGTAAGTTAGATAACATGTCAGAAGGTAGATTCTGTGGAGAAAAATAAAATAAGAAAAGGACATGAAATAAGCGAGAGAACCAAATGGCTATCTGGAGGAAGAGTATTATAGGTTGAGGGAATCGCATGTGCAAAGGCCCTGACGCTGGAGTGGGCCTGATGCTCCAGAAGGCCAGTGTGGCTGGAGTAGAGTAGACAAAAGGGATGGTAACAGGGGATGAGATCAGAGAGGTAAGGAGGGGCCGCATCCTGGGACGTTTTAAAGACTTTGGCTTTACCTTGATTGAAACGGGAAGAAGCATACGACTTACCACAGTGGAGTGGAGACTTCGCTTCTTCTTTCTTCACCTACTTTGCCAGCTTTTCTTTAATTCCTTTACAGTCCCATTTTCCAGCCATAGTAGACACAACCCATGCCTCCGCACCCTCTGGCAGGCAGGAGCTGGTTAGTAAAGAGTCCTTTCTGCCTGCCCTCTCCGCCTTCTGCGGCCCTCCACCTTCCTTTCCACAAATACTGACAATTCATTCCCTTAGGGTTTTAATGCACCTCTCCTTCAGTCCCTGTGGTCCAGTGCTCTAGCTTTAGAGAGCGCTCCCTCTACGGAATCTACTTAGTCCTCACCTACTTCTCCTGCTCCTCCTACGGCCTTCCAACATACTATCTAATTTACTTTAAATATCTCCCTCCTTCCATCATTCCTCCTATTTCCTATCCTTGCTCTCTTTCCTTTTTGCACTGTTTCCCTTTCATCTTTTTTTTTTTTTTTTTTTTTTTTTTTTTGAGAAAGAGTTTCACTCTTCTCACCCAGGCTGGAGTACAATGACACAATCTTGGCTCACTGCAACCTCTGCCTCCTGGGTTCAAGCGATTCTCCTGCCTCAGCCTCCCAAAGTAGCTGGGATTATAGGTGCCTGCCACCACACCCAGCAAATTTTTTTGTACTTTTAGTAGAGACGGGGTTTTATCATGTTGGCCAGGCTGGTCTTGAACTCCTGACCTCAGGTGATCCACCCGCCTCGGCCTCCTAAAGTTCTGGGATTACAGGTATGAGCCACCGTGCCCGCCCTCCCCTTCATCATTTTCTCCCTCCCTTGATGCATTTCTCCCCTTCTCTCCCTTGCCCTACCCATGGTCTTCCCACTTCTCTTCCCCACTCTGCCCACCTCTTTCTCCACCCAGTTAACCTTCACTTCCCTTCCCTCAACATCCAGCCACAGTGAGCCTCTGGCCCTCCCACAGTGGATGTTCAAGACAGAATTCCTGCCAGCCCTCATCTCATTTCAGATTCCTATGGATCGTTCCTTTCCTTCCCTGCCCTACCTTATTCTTTTCTCCTTCCATCTGCCAGGTTTTTTTCTCTTTGGCAGCCATAGACCGTCCCTCGGCTAGGTTCCCAAACTGCAGTCTGATGAAAGAGTCCAGTCCAGGTAGCCAGGCTGTAGCCAGTGAGCCCACCCCAGCCCTGATTGAGGGGCTCTGGGCCTGCCACCCCCCTTCCACTTCACATCTCTATACTCTCAGTTTGGACCTCGTGGATACACAGCTCAGCTCTCCAGGAGACAGAAATTGCAGATAACAACATCAGAGGTGGGCTCTGTGCAGGCCAGACCATACCTGAAAGGTTGGACTCACACCTGGATGTGTTGAATTTTAAAAGCAACATTGACAAGCTAGAACAGTAATTGCCAAAAGCCTGTCTATTACGACTGAGTTTTTCTCTGATATCAGGTAAAGTGAGAAAAACAAGAACAATGTGATATTTTTCTATTGAGCAAAAATATTCAGTTTAAAGGAGCATCCTTTCAGTTTTTGGACTTCCTTATTTTGTTATCATCGTTTTTAAAAATGTCTTTTATTTTATAAAATGATAGCCACTGAAGACAGAGTAGTCTCTGTGTGTTATCTATGTGTAATTATTGTATAATTATACTTTATGTGTATTGTATAGTAGATACACACAGATTGCCATAATTGGCAAAATAAAAGGTCTTGTCACCACCTTGTCTTTGAAATCCAAAAGTCTGAGAATGATCATCCTAGCTAGAGTGTTTCCAGAAATAAGGAGATACAAACAACCAAGAGGTTAAGAGTATAGACTGTGGATCCCAGCAGACATACATTCCAGCTTTGGCTCTGCCTTGTAGCCATGGGCAGATAACTTTTCTGAGCCTTGGTTTCCTCAGTTGCAAAACGCAGAGGCTAATGGCACCTCCTTACTGGTTCTTATGAAAGTTAGGTGAACGAATATAGTAAAATGCTTAGCATTGTGTCTGGTCCGTAGGATATACTATATTAACAATGCTTGTTGTTAGTTCATACTGGCAACTACTACAACTATCACCACGACCTTTATTAGGATGATGACAATGGTTAGAAACCACATCCTAGGAGCTGGAGCTACCTACACAAAAGATCCCTCCGTAAACATAGGTCAGTTCTTTGAAGGGTTATGGTTGAGAGAATAGGTTCTGGAACTAGGCTAGCCACTTGCATTATGACTTGAACCTGGGAGTAGCTCATCTTCATGCAAATGTATTCATATATGTAAATAAGACTGCCCCTGCGTATTGGGCACCCACGGTCTACCAGATGGATTGCCGAGGACTTTTCTTGCTGTGCTTGCCTCCTCCTCCTCTGTGATAAAATGAAACTGAAAAATTAAAGCAGAGGCGGCAAGTTTCTATGGCTGGATAGGGCAGTTCGAGAGGTGACATGTAAGAGAGAACTTGAGAGCAGGTTGGAGGGGGGATCCTGCTTCTTCCATGTACCTGGGGACCTGTGTGATGGCCTAAAAGTCTTCTACCATGTGAGAGGTCAGCAGATGGGTGGGAAGATGAGAAAAAAGGGAGCAGAGAGTTGAAACAGCAGGATGCACCCCAGGATGAATAGGAGTTATCTGATTTATCATTCCAAAGACATCCAAATGTCTTTTTTTTTTTTTTTTCTTATTGAGAATTCCACTCCTTGTCCATGGCCACCCATATAATCCAGATTTGTACTTTCTCCTTAGGAATGCTTGGTACTGTGTTAAGCTCTCCACTCCCTATTCTCAATCCTTAGCTACTAGTGATTCTCTTAAATTGCCTTAACCTTGGGTGGGGCTCTGCACTCCCCAACTTTAGGGGAAGGGGAGGGGGTTGCCTATCTCTCATGCAAAACAGTCTCGCAGACTCTCTTCAGTGTTTTCCAAAGCCAAAGCAGCTCAGAGGAGTGTGTGCTGGTGTCCCCGAATACCAGAGCCCATTCCTCTAAAAATAGTTTTCTTCCAGAGAACCCACAGTGAGATGATGATTCACTGCAGATTTTCTTCGAAGCTGAGCTCCCACCGATGGCACCGTTCTCACTGCACCCTGTCGGTTCTCTGAACCAGCTCTGGCTTCCAGCAGGTTTTGATTATGGGAAGCCCCAGAGACCCACATGTTCATCTGCTCTGTGGTCTTCAGACGCCCTCATGAGTCTTCAAAAGCTCTGGAGGGACCATCTGTCTTTAGAGTCCCATCTTCTTCCACTTTTGCTCTGTATCTCCCCATGGTGGTATCCCGTGTCTCGTATCTTCTGCTATGGAAGCTAAATGTCTTCCATGAAGAAGGGCTATGGACAGGCTTCCGTGTCCAGTCACAAGTGAGAGCATCTGGCAGGGGAAATAGCCCCAGTTTTCACCCTGCCTCCCCTTAACCACAGTGTCTCTCTGAGATAGGGAGGCAGCCACTTAACAATAGCAAATATTCCATTCTTACCAGCCACCAGGGGGTTTAAAAGACACACAGAATTAAAAACACAACAAAACAAACCAGCAAACAGAACCAGAGAGCTGGAATGTTCTAGAAATCATGGACATCAGTGACTCTTGGATTTTCTGAGAGCACCAGGTTTCCATGTAAGGGACTGTCACATGGAAGGAGGGGTGATAGGGTGGGATGGGAGCAGGTGGTACGAAGGAGAAGCTGATCAGACAGAGTGACTGGGAACAGAGCATTGGGATCCACACTTGGGGGTTCGAATCCTTGTTCTGCCTCTTACTTTAAGCACATTCCTTAACATCTTCATGCCTCATTCAGTTCCCCACTTTGCCTAAAGGGGGTCATCATACCTACCTAGAAATCTCCCGTGAAGATTAAATAACATAACATGGAGAACTGTTTGGAAGCTACTAAAAAGAATGTAAAAAGCAAAAACATCTGCACATGTATATGTGTGTGTCATCACAGAACGATTTAGTCTCAAGTTCCCATGCAATTCTTCATCCATTTTGTTCTAAGACAAAAAAATAATTTCCTCTGTGGCATCTGAGCACATGCACAGAATAAGCAAAGCAAATCTGGCTCTGTGCTGTGTCTGTACCTCTGCTTTCTGTAGGCAATACCAGGTGTCTACACACAGCACAGGTTGGGAATGGCTTTTCTCAGATATGCCTACATTCCTCATCTTCTCTATGGATCAAACATGTAAACTGGATGGGAGAGTCTAATACACTTTACCTTTCTTTCTTTCTTTCTTTTTTTTGAGACAGAATTTTGCTCTCATTGCCCAGGCTAGAGTGCAATGGTGTGATCTTGGCTCACTGCAACCTCCGCCTCCCAGGTTCAAGTGATTCTCCTATCTCAGCCTCCCAAGTAGCTGGGATTACAGACACCCACCACCATGCCCAGCTAATTTTTTTGTATTTTTAGTAGAGATGGGTTTCACCGTGTTGGCCAGGCTGGTCTCAAACTCCTGACCTCAGGTGATCCAACCGCCTCAGCCTCCCAAAGTGCTGGGATTACAGGCGTGAGCCACTGCGCCCAGCCAACAGTCTACCTTTCTGAAGAACCATGAGGACCAATGGTAAAGAAAGAGAGAGGCCAGAAAGGGACTGCCCCAGAAGGTGGGCCCAGAGCATAACCTTGAAAGGAACCTTCCTTTTTAGCCTTCTTCCAGCATAGGGAAGCATCAGGAACTGAACCTTTGGGGTCTAAGTTGTCTGGTCCAACCAACTAGCCCAGGATGACTTAAAGGAAGAATAAACATGGGGCTTCCTTCCTTCAGCGTGATCTGGACATCCTAACAAGAGTTCCCAAGTCAAGGAAGGCTGAGAGAGATGGGAAAGAGTTAAGAAACCACAAAAGTGGCTTCTGGGTGGGAGGCAGGATAGCCTAAGGGTTAAGAACACAGGGACTTCAACCAGACCAACCTGGATTCAAATTCAGGCTCCACCATTCACTAGCTACCTGACCTTAGGAAAATTGACCTCTTCGTACCATTATTTCCTCATCTGTAAAATGAGTACATTAATAATACTACTTGGTTCATAGTACTGTTGAAAAAAATAATTTGAGCCAGTGTGCAAGGAAGACAGTGTCTGACATATCAAAAGCCCTCAATAAATGGTAAATGTTCATATTATCACCACCACCACCACCACCAATGTTTCCACACACTCCAGGACCTTTTAACCAGGTGACTTGCAGACATGCCCCTGTGCCGGCCGTGCCCCTGCCAGGCTCCCTGGCATCATGTTGACTTCTGTATTGCTAGAAATATATTGTGTTTAGTCACATGTTTGCAAATGACAGATCATTAAGGAAGCATCTGAGGAACTAGGGCAAATCAATACAGAGCACAAATGGCTGAAATCCCCATCAGATGTTCCCATTGTTTTTGCTGGTGCGGGAAGACACTCAGATGTTTGATTTGTATGTTTGTTTTTATGCTAGTTCTATTAAATCAGTTTGCAGCCTGAAGAGTGTTTGCCAGACAAAGAAAGACACATGTGCCAGTTAAGAGAGACCTAAATCAGCTGTTGGCTTCAGACACATCCCTAAATGTGACAGTTTTTGCTGATGCAAATGCTTCTTTTTGTCCTTTCCATTGAGCTTTTCACACTAGGAGTCTGGACCTTTGCATCCTTGTTCTAGGTTGCAGGACTAGGCTAAGTGCAAAGACTTCCAGGAGTACCTGCTGCACAGAGACTGCATGTGAACCTGCACACATGTGTGCACACTTTCCAACCTTGCTTGCATGACAAAGGGGCCATTTTCCCTGTGGATGAGCTGGAAAGGACTAAGAAAATGAAGGCCCTTCAGCTCCAAATGGCATTCAGCAAAGCCTGGTGATTGAGAGTCTGGGCTTTGAAGTCAGATGAACTTGGCTTTGAGACCCAGCTCAACCTCTCCCTGACTTTGTGAATTTGGGCAAGTGACTTAATCTCTCTGAGCCTCAATTTTCTCATGTTTAATGTGGAGGTGGTAATAACTAATAAGATCTGACTCATAGAATGTGACTATTAAGTCAGACAGACCATGTGAAACTCTCAGCCTGGTGCCTAACAACTAAGCACCTGATCCATCATAGCTCTTGGTGGTAGTGGTGGTTATGGTTATCCCTCCCCTTTCCTTTACTTTACATTGAAGGTACACAAACTGTTCGCAACCACGCTCCCACTGCAGACAAATTCCTGCTGCCTCCTGGGGCAGGGTTGACCCTCATCATGCAATGGCCTTGGCACTCCAGGAGGGGCTGGGTGTTCAGCCAGTGCCCAAAACAGCCTGAGAAGCTGAGTAACTGCAGACAAGAATGAAACCCAGGCCAGGCGTGGTGGCTCACACCTGTCATCTCAGCACTTTGGGATGCTGAGGCAGGAGGATTGCTTGAAGCCAGGAGTTTGAGATAAGCCTGGCCAACATAGTGAGACCCCTCTCTCTACAAAAATAGAAGTTAAAAATTAGCCAGGCATGGTAATATGGGCCTGTGGTCCTAGCTACTCAGGAAGCTGAGGTGGGAGGATCACTTGAGCCCAGGCGTTCAAGGTTGCAGTGAGTCATGATCACACCACTGCACTCTAGCCTGGGTGACAGAGCAAGACTCTGTCTCTTAAAAAAAAAAAAAAAAGAAGAAGAAGAAGAAAAGAAAACCAAAAGCCAGAGTGAGCAAGTGTGAGGGGTGCAGGATGCAGAGCAAGATCTCTGCCAGGCTTAACAGGCTAAGCCTGGAATTCTTTTTTCTTCGTTTGGAAGCCACACCTTTGTACTCCATTTATATGTCTTATGTGTATTCACATCTATATTTCATCTTCTCTGGGCTCCTGCAGCTTTTCCCTGAATACCTACTTCCACAGAGACTGCATGACGTCTCTGTGTGTGAGCCCTGGGGTCCTAATCCCTTAAACTGTTCTGTGACTTTGAGAAAGTCCCCTTCAGTTCCTCCATTTTCACAAATATATAGAGGCAGCATATCCAATGGATAGAAACAGAGATATCAGTTCTGCCCGTTCCTGGCCCTGTCACTTTGGACAAGCTATTTGATTCCTCTAGGTTTTCTTTTCCTCATCTGCAAAATGGGGCCAATATGGTTTACCTCACAAGTGGAAGGATTAAAAGAGATAATAGACATAGTCAATTAGACCCCATAAATGATGGCTCTTGATGTTTATTATGGTAGCAATAAAATTTGGTTCTGTGATGCTCTTGGGCTGGTCTCTCTCATCAGATTCTCAGACTCCTTGGGGCCAGCGTCACATCATGTTCCTTGATTAGTCTCTCCCTCAATTCTTGCACCCATCATTAAGATGGAGGGTAATTGATTAGGAACTGCATAGAGAGCCCACAGACCTCACACCCAGTGCTAGCCTGACTTGCATAGGCTCATTGGCCTGCAGTTGGGAGCAGTGGATCCTCTTGCAAAAACTGAGGGGATTGCCGTTGTTACAGACAGTGGCTTTCCCTGGAGGCATCATCCAGCTGAAATCTCTTGCCACAGTGGCAGGTGAATGACGGGATTCCTGGAGAGCACGCACCACCTGACTGGCAGCCCCAGAGATCCATGGAGCTGCTGCCTTGGCTAAGAAATCTCTGCTGAACTCTATGCTCAGCTGGAAAATGAGCATGTCCTTGGAACTTCTCAGGCAAGGCAGGCTGCCTCAAGTCTGCTGTCTCTGTGGGTGGCTGTATCCAGTAGCCCACAGTCTCTGAGACCCTATGGTAAGCTTTTGTGGCTCTCTGTGAGCAGGCTAGCCAGGCCTGTGACTGTGCTCCCGGTAAAGTGCACTCCCCGCCCCCCTCCAGCAGGGTACAAAGGCATTGTTAATAGATCGTGGCAGTCTCATTTGTAGACTCTATTCATCCGGCAGCCAAGAATGATATGTCCTGATACTCCCTCTCTCCTCTCACCCGCCTTTCCCCTTTCTCCCTGCTTTCCCCCTTCCTTTTGCCTGGAGAGTGATTTGTCTGTGTTATGGGTTGGCCTGACAAACCATTCCACATTAGCAGCTGAGATGTTGTTTGAAATGGGAAAATTGCTGGCAAACTGCTCCATTAGCAGTTCCAGTAACAAATATTCTGTTCCCCCAATGAAGATGAGATCACAGAGGCACAAATTAATACGACTGTCTCCCCCACTCTACAGCGGGGATTACTCTTCAAGATGAATGGGTTCATCCCAGCCAGAAATGTGCATCCACTAGCTGTAGGCTTCAAGGAAGCCCGTTCCTCCCATCTACCCCTTTTGCTCCCACTACGTCCCCTGCCACACACACTTTTTTGTGTGTCTTCCCAGCTGAGGGTTTGGGGAGCATCAAGGCCAAATGAGGGGTGATGAAAAGACCTGCACCTCGGAGAGAAGGGAGATGGATGAGGATGAGATCCTGAGCCTGGGCCAGGGTGCCATTCATCACCCCGAATAGAGCGCCCCACCTCCCCCACATGCCTGTTTCCCACCACACCTGTTCTTGGTGACAGGAAGTCATTTGAGAGATGAAAGAATAAAGAATGGAAATGCTCACTCATTCCCCACGGCCCCTTCTCTTCCAAGGAAGTTCTGGGCCCTGGGCCTGCAGCGTCTCTTGTTGCTTTCAAAGTAATAGGAGAGGAAGCATTTCAGGAAACTCCATAAGAGGTTAAAGGCACAGATTCCAGCAGCAGACCCGGGGAGTGGTCCAGTCTGGGCCCCTGGGCCTTGCAGGATGTCAGGGAGCCAGTTTGATGAATGTCAGGCTGGGAGCCTAAAGACGTTAAGGCTGTTCCTGCACTGTATTAAAACAGCCCATGGAAAAGCTCAGAAATGAAGTCAACCATTGACATTTCTGCCCCATTAGCAGTGTGGCTGACTGTTTAACTGAGTAGTGACATGGTTCCATGACAGATAAGCATTGCTGGCCCATGGTCCATCTCTTTTTACTCTTCCTTCTCTTTATCCCTTTGACTTATTCCGCATTCTGCTTGGTTACTTCTACAGCTTTCTCTGAAGAAGACAGCTGCTGCCAAAAGCAGTTTATAATAATCAAGAATCAAAAATCTTCAAGGAAAGATCATCCTTTCCCTCTTTCTCCAAGGAGAGTTAGACCCTTGGACAGGTGCTCCATGTACTAGGACCTGAGTTCTCTGACTGCTGCAGTGTTTTGTCTGGTCTGCCACAACCAGACCGTGCACCTGTGACAAAAAAGACCTCCCTGTCCTTAAGGCCAGAGAACACAGTAGCCCTCAGTGACCACTTGTTGACAGGTGGATGGTTAATTCACTCTTCTCTGCTCTGTTTCCCAGACGCCTAGAACAGAACTCCATCAAAGCCATCCCTGCAGGAGCCTTCACCCAGTACAAGAAACTGAAGCGAATGTGAGTTTCCCCTGTGGAGAAATGGGCCCAAATGTTTTCAATTTCCAGGGTTGTTTGCAATGTGTAGTGGGCAACCTGTCCAGGTGACGGACCATGTCCATTCCTCCTGGGCAGTTCTGTTTCAGACCTGGAACGCTGTCCTAAGCTTGGGAGGTAAGATGTGGAAGTGTTGCCTGAAGATTGTGAGGTGTGTGGGCTTGGACATGTAGCGCTAAGAGCCTCTCCAACTAAAGCAAAGTAAAACTATCTGTGTGGGAGGTAGAGACGAATTAGCCTGGAAAATCCATTTCACCATTTATACTGTCCCTTGGCTCCAGTGATGTGGACCTAAAATAGGAGTTTCAGCAGAGATGTGATGGTGGCCCCGCAGCTGTCTACACCACTGTCACCAACATCCCTCCAACCAGGCATACATTCATATAACAAATACCAAGTGAATGTCTGCTGCAAGCAAGGATCTATGGATAGAGCAGTGAACAGAAACCAAGTCTGCTCTCACGGAGCTTGCATTCGAGTGGGAGAACGCAGAAAATAAAGAAACAAATATCAGAAATCAGAGTATCAGTGATGGTGGGAGGGTGTCTTTTAGGTAGGTGTGCCTATGAAGGTCTCTATGTGCAGGTGGCCTAAAGAAAGGAAGGAAGGGAGCCCTGAGCTCTCAGGAAAGACTGTCCCAGGCAGCAGGAAAAGCAAGTGAAAGGCCTTAGGGAGCATGTGTCGATGGTTTGTGGAATAGCAAAGAGTGGAACAAGTGAGGGGAGAGGATGGGGCTTGTGTTGGAAAAGTTGGTACTAGATCACATGCATCCTTTACCGTGGTACAGACTTTCTGTTCTTCCTGCATGAAATGAGAAGCCTCGGAGGGTATGGTCAACATGTGAGCACCCCCTACATCCCCATTAGCTCTGTAAGTCACACCACTCCACCACTGCATTACATCAGTGCCGGGTGATACCAACCCTGCTGTTCCTCCCTCACCACAGCAGCCTGGACGGCACCATTGCATCACCGCCCTCATCCCCACCATGTGACAATGTCATCATTCTTCCCCATCCCATGACGACCTTGAGCACTGCTCTGTGAGTCACTCAGAGCTGGGGGCTCTGCAGGGAGGACAGTAGGATTCAGAAACAGCCCAACCATTGCCATCAGTTCTGCACAGATACTCCTTCCCTTTTTGAGGCTAAGAAATCATTTAGTAGAGCCCAGTAACCGAGTTGCTGTTTTCATTCCACTTACTCTTTTCACATCCCCCCACACCTCACCCTCCCACAGAGGAAAGAGAGAGTCAGGTAGAAATATGCATGGACTCGGTCCTGCTTCTTCCTTCCACACGAGGCTGATTCATTGCTTTCCCTCGAGTGGGAGGGCCCACAGTAAAGAGGTTAAGTGTCTGCTGATTCCTTTTATGTTAAAAATAAATATCCCTGCGAAACAGTGGCATTGGTAGGCTTTACCCTCAGATCTTGGGAAGCCAACTTCCCATCTCCCTGGAAATCCAAACCAAACAAGCTTTTCTTCTGGTGCAATTCCAGAAGTGGAAACCAACATAATGAGGCAGCTCGAAGCACGTACTTCTTCCCTCCTCTTGGCAGCATTCCTGCTGGAGGAGCTGTATAAATATAGGCCTTAATATTTAAAACCTCGGGCCATTAATCTCCTGGTGTCCCTGCTTCCCCAGCCCGCTCTCCATGCATCCCCCCCCCCAATTCATTTTTAAAGCTCAGCTTGATTATGCAGCCAGATAGTAATTTCAGTGAAAAATGACAAGTTCAGTCACTGCCCCAACCTATATCTCCTACATGATTTAAGTTATTGCTCTAATTTTTTGTGAAGTCCAGGTAATTTAAAGCTTGACTATGTTTTACTGTTCCTTCTCCAACCTATTGGACTTGCCATGATCTGTGCATTCAAAATTCATAAGACCTTCTCAGTCACGACCTGGAAAGTGAATTTAATTTTTGATCACTTATGATGCTACTGATATTTATTATGATGCCCTTTTTTTCCCCCAAGAGGATGGCAATAGAGAAGAGAGCACACTTAAAAATGTTCGACTAATGGAACTTCAGAAACCTAGACTGAAGTGCAATCAATGGTTTGGGAGAGGTAGGGTCCCTGGTGAGAATGGATTTCAAAACCCTAATTTTTCCTAAATATACGTGACCAGTTTATCCCTAATATCTAACAGGAGGAAGTTTCCCCCTCAACTGTGACTGAACCACATCCTGCTCTTGTCTCTTACCAAAAAAGAAAAGAAAAAAGGGGAGGGGGGAGAGAAAAAAAAGAATTCTCTCTGAATGAATGGCTTTGTCTCTGCCTATTCCTAGTGGTTACCTTCGTATAAAAAACATTCCAAGTACAAACTAAAAGGTTGAGTATTCCTTATCCAAAATGCTTGGGGCCAAAAACATTTCAGCGTTCTGAATTTTTCAAAGTTTGGAATATTTTCACATACATAATGAGATATCTTGAGAATGGAATCCAAGTCTAAATATGAAACTCATTTATGTTTCATATATACCTCACACACATAGGCTGAAGGTAATTTATACAAAGTTTTTAATAATTTTGTGCATGATATGAAGTTTTGACTGCAATCCATCAGTCACATGAGGTCAGGTGTGGAATTTTCCACTTGTGACGTCATGTCAGTGCTCAGAAAGTTTCAGATTTTGGAGCATTTCAGATTTTGGATTTTTGGATTAGGGATACTCAACCTGTATCAAAGCAGAGAAGCAGTAGAAAGCACTGGAGACAGCCCCTCGGTCTTGCAAATTTGGTTAACTGACTGGTAGGCCTGACACCTGGGCTATCTATTATTGTGCCAGAATGGGGTGTTGGGAATTCTTTTCTCTTTCATGCTCTTAGGCAGAGCAACTCATTCCACAAGCTCCAGGACTTCCTAATATCTCACACTTATATTCCCTGCATGACCTTTGTAGGCACTTGAATTTGCCACCTCTATTCTGAACAGTCTGGAAAAGCTACCCCTTCTTGGTCATCCAGTTTATAAGCCCCAGAGGACCAACGTGGGTCTGAGACCATTTTCTAAAACATTGCGGCCTGAAGTATATGACCTAGGGACCACCTACATGGAATCACCTGGAGATGTGTTACATATACAGATTCGTAGCCCCAACCCCCAGCCTACAAATCAGACACTCTGGAGTGCATTTTTAATCTACACCCTCGTGAGGTTTGAGAAGCACTGGTCAAGAGTCATCCCAGTGCCCAGAATCAGTTCTAGGAGCAGCTGCTGTGGCTAGGGACAGGGTCATGCATGGAGGTCAGTGGGCAGCTGGAGCCATCTCCCATCTGCCTTCCAGCTCAATGCCCTGCATTGTGCCTCCATCACAACAAAATAGCAGAGGGGGCCTTGAGCTGATAGGAGACTTGAGATGCTTGCTCTGTGCCCAAATGGCTGTGTCCAGTCACTTATGGCTCCAGGTACTTCACCTCTCAGGGCTGCTGTTTCCTTCTTGCAGAATTAAGAATTAAGACGCAGTTTGCCAAATGTTCTCACTTATACATGGAATCTAAACAAAGCCAAACTCTTAGAAGCAGAAAGTAGAATGGTGATGTTCAGAGGCCGGTGGGGTGAGGGTGGGGTAGAGATGAAGATGACACAGATGTTCGTCAAAGGGTGCAAAATTTCAGGTAGACAGGAGAAGTAAGTTCAAGAGATCCATTGTGTTATACAACACGGTGAATGTAGTTAACAACAATGTATCGTATACTTGAAAATAGCTCAGAGAGTAGATTTTAAGTGTTCTTACCACAAATAAATGATAAGCATGTGAGGTAATGCATAGGTTAAGTAGCTTGACTTAGCTATTCCACAATGAAAGCATATATCAAAACATTGTGTTGCACACCA